>NC_000001.11:123807352-124133379 GCF_000001405.40 Homo sapiens | reverse complement strand
TAGTTTTGAAACGAAGATATTTCCTTTTCTGCCATTGACCTTAAAGCGCTTGAAATCTCCACTTGCCAATTGCACAAAAAGAGTGTTTCAAATCTGCTCTGTCTAAGGGAACGTTCAACTCTGTGAGTTGAATGTACACAACACAAGGAAGTTACTGGGAATTCTTCTGTCTAGCCTTACAGGAAAAAAACCCGTTTCCAACGAAGGCCTCTAAGTGGTCAAAATATCCACGTGCAGACTTTACAAACAGAGTGTTTCCAAACTGCTGAATGAAAAGAAAAGTTAAACTCTGAGAGTTGAACGCACACCTCGCAGAGCAGTTTCTGAGAATGATTCTGTCTAGTTTTTATAGGAAGATATTTCTTTTTCTACCATTGACCTCAAAGCGGCTGAAATCTCCACTTGCAAATTCCAGAAAAAGAGTGTTTCAAGTCTGCTCTGTGTAAAGGATCGTTGAACTCTGTGAGTTGAATACACACAACACAATGAAGTTAATGAGAATTCTTCTTTCTAGCAGAATATGAAGAAATCCCGTTTCCAACGAAGGCCTCAAAGAGGTCTGAATATCCACTTGCAGACTTTACAAACAGAGTGTTTCCTAACTGCTCTATGAAAAGAAAGGTTAAACTCTGTGAGTTGAACGCACACATCTCAAAGGAGTTTCTTAGAATCATTCTGTCTAGTTTTTATTCGAAGATATTTCCTTTTCTACCATTGACCTCAAAGCGGCTGAAATCTCCACTTGCAAATTCCACAAAAAGAGTGTTTCAAGTCTGCTCAAAGGATCGTTCAACTTTGTGAGTTGAATACACACAACACAAGGAAGTTGCTGAGAATTCTTCTGTCTAGCAGAATATGAAGAAATCCCGTTTCCAACGAAGGCCACAAGATGTCAGAATATCCACTTACAGAATTTACAAACAGAGTGTTTCCTAACTGCTCTATGAAAAGAAAGGTTAAACTCTGTGAGATGAACGAACACATCACAACGCAGTTTGTGGGAATGATTCTGTCTAGTTTTGAAACGAAGATATTTCCTTTCCTGCCATTGACCTTAAAGCGCTTGAAATCTCCATTTGCCAATTGCACAAAAAGAGTGTTTCAAATCTGCTCTGTCTAAGGGAACGTTCAACTCTGTGAGTTGAATGTACACAACACAAGGAAGTTACTGGGAATTCTTCTGTCTAGCCTTACATGAAAAAAACCCGTTTCCAACGAAGGCCTCTAAGTGGTCAAAATATCCACGTGCAGACTTTACAAACAGAGTGTTTCCAAACCGCTGAATGAAAAGAAAAGTTAAACTCTGAGAGTTGAACGCACACATCACACAGCAGTTTCTGAGAATGATTCTGTCTAGTTTTTATACGAAGATATTTCCTTTTCTGCCTTTGGCCCCAAAGCGCTTGAAATCTCCACTTGCAAATTCCACAAAAAGAGTGTTTCAAATCTGCTCTCTCTAAATGAAAGTTCAACTCTGTCAGTTGAATACACACAACACGAGGAAGTTACTGAGAATTCTTCTGTCTAGCATAATATGAAGAAATGCCGTTTCCAACGAAGGCCTCAAAGAGGTCTGAATATCCACTTGCAGACTTTACAAACAGAGTGTTTCCTAACTGCTCTATGAAAAGAAAAGTTAAACTCTGTGAGTTGAACGCACACATCACAAAGGAGTTTCTGAGAATCATTCTGTCTAGTCTTTATACGAAGATATTTCCTTTTCTACCATTGACCTCAAAGCGGCTGAAATCTCCACTTGCAAATTCCACAAAAAGAGTGTTTAAAGTCTGCTCTCTGTAAAGGATCGTTCAACTCTGTGAGTTGAATACACACAACACAAGGAAGTTACTCAGAATTCTTCTGTCTAGCAGAATATGAAGAAATCCCGTTTCCAACGAAGGCCTCAAGGAGGTCTGAATATCCACTTGCAGACTTTACAAACAGAGTGTTTCCTAACTGCTCTATGAACAGAAAGGTAAAACTCTGTGAGTTGAACGAACACATCACAACGCAGTTTGTGGGAATGATTCTGTCTAGTTTTGAAACGAAGATATTTCCTTTTCTGCCATTGACCTTAAAGCGCTTGAAATCTACACTTGCAAATTGCACAAATAGAGTGTTTCAAATCTGCTCTGTCTAAGGGAACGTTCAACTCTGTGAGTTGAAAGCACACAACACAAGGAAGTTACTGGGAATTCTTCTGTCTAGCCTTACATGAAAAAAACCCGTTTCCAACGAAGGCCTCTAAGTGGTCAAATTATCCACGTGCAGACTTTACGAACAGAGTGTTTCCAAACTGCTGAATGAAAAGAAAAGTTAAACTCTGAGAGTTGAACGTACACATCACAGAGCAGTTTCTGAGAATGATTCTGTCTAGTTTTTATATGAAGATATTTCCTTTTCTGCCTTTGGCCTCAAAGCGCTTGAAATCTCCATTTGCAAATTCCACAAAAAGAGTGTTTCAAATCTGCTCTGTGTAAATGAAAGTTCAACTCTGTGAGTTGAACACACACAACACAAGGAAGTTACTGGGAATTCTTCTGTCTAGCATAATATGAAGAAATCCCGTTTCCAACGAAGGCCTCAAGGAGGTCTGAATATCCACTTGCAGACTTTACAAACAGAGTGTTTCCTAACTGCTCTATGAAAAGAAAGGTTAAACTCTGTGAGTTGTACGCACACATCACAAAGGATTTCTCAGAATCATTCTGTCTAGTCTTTATATGAAGATAGTTTCCTTTTCTACCATTGACCTCAAAGCGGCTGAAATCTCCACTTGCAAATTCCACAAAAAGAGTGTTTCAAGTCTGCTCTGTGTAAAGGATCGTTCAACTCTGTGAGTTGAATACAAACAACACAAGGAAGTTACTGAGAATTCTTCTGTGTAGCATAATATGAAGAAATCCCGTTTCCAACGAAGGCCTCAAAGAGGTCTGAATATCCACTTGCAGACTTTACAAACAGAGTGTTTCCTAACTGCTCTATGAACAGAAAGGTTAAACTCTGTGAGTTGAACGAACACATCACAACGCAGTTTGTGGGAATGATTCTGTCTAGTTTTGAAACGAAGATATTTCCTTTTCTGCCGTTGACCTTAAAGAGCTTGAAAACTACACTTGCAAATTGCACAAATAGAGTGTTTCAAATCTGCTCTGTCTAAGGGAACGTTCAACTCTGTGAGTTGAATGCACACAACACAAGGAAGTTACTGGGAATTCTTCTGTCTAGCCTTACATGAAAAAAACCCGTTTCCAACGAAGGCCTCTAAGTGGTCAAAATTTCCACGTGCAGACTTTACAAACAGAGTGTTTCCAAACCGCTGAATGAAAAGAAAAGTTAAACTCTGAGAGTTGAACGCACACATCACGCAGCAGTTTCAAAGAATGATTCTGTCTAGTTTTGAAACGAAGATATTTCCTTTTCTGCCTTTGGCCTCAAAGCGCTTGAAATCTCCACTTGCAAATTCCACAAAAACAGTGTTTCAAATCTGCTCTGGGTAAATGAAAGTTCAACTCTGTGAGTTGAACACACACAACACAAGGAAGTTACTGGGAATTCTTCTGTCTAGCATAATATGAAGAAATCCCGTTTCCAACGAAGGCCTCAAAGGGGTCTGAATATCCACTTGCAGACTTTATAAACAGAGTGTTTACTAACTGCTCTATGAAAAGAAAGGTTAAACTCTGTGAGTTGAACACACACATCACAAAGGAGTTTCTGACAATCATTCTGTCTAGTTTTTATACGAAGATATTTACTTTTCTACCATTGACCTCAAAGCGGCTGAAATCTCCACCCTGCCAATTCCACAAAAAGAGTGTTTCAAGTCTACTCTGTGTAAAGGATCGTTGAACTCTGTGAGTTGAAAACACACAACACAACGAAGTTTCTGAGAATTCTTCTGTCTAGCAGAATATGAAGAAATCCCGTTTCCAAAGAAAGCCTCAAAGATGTCTGAATATCCACTTGCAGACTTTACAAACAGAGTGTTTCCTAACTGCTCTATGAAAAGAAAGGTTAAACTCTGTGAGTTGAACGCACACATCACAAAGGAGTTTCTCAGAATCATTCTGTCTAGTTTTGAAACGAAGATATTTCCTTTTCTGCCATTGACCTTAAAGCGCTTGAAATCTACACTTGCAAATTGCACAAATAGAGAGTTTCAAATCTGCTCTGTTCAAGGGAACGTTCAACTCTGTGAGTTGAATGCACACAACACATGGAAGTTACTGGGAATTCTTCTGTCTAGCCTTACAAGAAAAAAACCCGTTTCCAACGAAGGCCTCTAAATGGTCAAAATATCCACGTGCAGACTTTACAAACAGAGTGTTTCCAAACTGCTGAATGAAAAGAAAAGTTAAACTCTGAGAGTTGAACGCACACATCGCAGAGCAGTTTCTGAGAATGATTCTGTCTAGTTTTGAAACGAAGATATTTCCTTTTCTGCCTTTGGCCTCAAAGCGCTTGAAATCTCCACTTGCAAATTCCACAAAAGGAGAGTTTCAAATCTGCTCTGTGTAAATGAAAGTTCAACTCTGTGAGTTGAACACACACAACACAAGGAAGTTACAGGGAATTCTTCTGTCTAGCCTTATATGAAAAAAACCCGTTTCCAACGAAGGCCTCAAAGAGGTCTGAATATCCACTTGCAGACTTTACAAACAGAGTGTTTCCTAACTGCTCTATGAAAAGAAAGGTTAAACTCTGTGAGTTGAACGCACACATCACAAAGGAGTTTCCTGAGAATCATTTCTGTCTAGTTTCTATAGGAAGATATTTCCTATTCTACCATTGAACTCAAAGCGGCTGAAATCTCCACTTGCAAATTCCACAAAAAGAGTGTTTCAAGTCTGCTCTGTGTAAAGGATCGTTCAACTCTGTGAGTTGTATACACACAACACAAGGAAGTTACTGGGAATTCTTCTTTCTAGCATAATATGAAGAAATCCCGTTTCCAACGAAGGCCTCAAGGAGGTCTGAATATCCACTTGCAGACTTTACAAACAGAGTGTTTCCTAACTGCTCTATGAAAAGAAAGGTTAAACTGTGTGAGTTGAACGCACACATCACAAAGGAGTTTCACAGAATCATTCTGTCTAGTTTTGAAGACGAAGATATTTCCTTTTCTGCCATTGACCTTAAAGCGCTTGAAATCTACACTTGCAAATTGCACAAATAGAGTGTTTCAAATCTGCTCTGTCTAAGGGAACGTTCAACTCTGTGAGTTGAATGCACACAACACAAGGAAGTTACTGGGAAATCTTCTGTCTAGCCTTACATGAAAAAAACCCGTTTCCAACGAAGGCCTCTAAGTGGTCAAAATATCCACGTGCAGACTTCACAAACAGAGTGTTTCCAAACCGCTGAATGAAAAGAAAAGTTAAACTCTGAGAGTTGAACGCACACATCACGCAGCAGCTTCGGAGAATGATTCTCTCTAGTTTCTATAGGAAGATATTTCCTATTCTACCATTGAACTCAAAGCGGCTGAAATCTACACTTGCAAATTCCACAAAAAGAGTGTTTCAAGTCTGCTCTGTGTAAAGGATCGTTCAACTCTGTGAGTTGAATACACACAACACAAGGAAGTTACTGAGAATTCTTCTGTCTAGCATATTATGAAGAAATGCCGTTTCCAACGAAGGCCTCAAAGAGGTCTGAATATCCACTTGCACACTTTACAAACAGAGTGTTTCCTAACTGCTCTATGAAAAGAAAGGTTATACTCTGTGAGTTGAACGCACACATCACAAAGGAGTTTCTGAGAATCATTCTGTCTAGTTTCTATAGGAAGATATTTCCTATTCTACCATTGACCTCAAAGCGGCTGAAATCTCCACTTGCAAATTCCACAAAAAGAGTGTTTCAAGTCTGCTCTGCGTAAAGGATCGTTCAACTCTGTGAGTTGAATACACACAACACAAGGAAGTTTCTGAGAACTCTTCTGTCTAGGAGAATATGAAGAAATCCCGTTTCCAACGAAGGCCACAAGATGTCAGAATATCCACTTACAGAATTGACAAACAGACTGTTTCCTAACTGCTCTATGAAAAGAAAGGTTAAACTCTGTGAGTTGAACGAACCATCACAACGCAGTTTGTGGGAATGATTCTGTCTAGTTTTGAAACGAAGATATTTCCTTTTCTGCCGTTGACCTTAAAGCGCTTGAAATCTACACTTGCAAATTGCACAAATAGAGTGTTTCAAATCTGCTCTGTCTAAGGGAACGTTCAACTCTGTGAGTTGAATGCACACAACACAAGGAAGTTACTGGGAATTCTTCTGTCTAGCCTTACAAGAAAAAAACCCGTTTCCAACGAAAGCCTCTAAATGGTCAAAATATCCACGTGCAGACTTTACAAACAGAGTGTTTCCAAACTGCTGAATGAAAAGAAAAGTTAAACTCTGAGAGTTGAACGCACACATCGCAGAGCAGTTCTGAGAATGATTCTGTCTAGTTTTGAAACGAAGATATTTCCTTTTCTGCCTTTGGCCTCAAATCGCTTGAAATCTCCACTTGCAAATTCCAAAAAAAGAGTGTTTCAAATCTGCTCTGTGTAAATGAAAGTTCAACTCTGTGAGTTGAACACACACAACACAAGGAAGTTACTGGGAATTCTTCTGTCTAGCATAGTATGAAAAAAACCCGTTTCCAACGAAGGCCTCAAAGAGGTCTGAATATCCACTTGCAGACTTTACAAACAGAGTGTTTCCTAACTGCTCTATGAAAAGAAAGGTTAAACTCTGTGAGTTGAACGCACACATCACAAAGGAGTTTCTGAGAATCATTCTGTCTAGTTTTTATACGAAGATATTTCCTTTTCTCCCATGGACCTCAAAGCGGCTGAAATCTCCACTTGCAAATTCCACAAAAAGAGTGTTTCAAGTCTGCTCTGTGTAAAGGATCGTTCAACTCTGTGAGTTGAATACACACAACACAAGGAAGATTCTGAGAATTCTTCTGTCTAGCAGAATATGAAGAAATCCCGTTTCCAACGAAGGCCACAAGATGTCAGAATATCCACTTACAGACTTTACAAACAGAGTGTTTCCTAACTGCTCTATGAACAGAAAGGTTAAACTCTGTGAGTTGAACGAACACATCACAACGTAGTTTGTGGGAATGATTCTGTCTAGTTTTTATACGAAGATATTTCCTTTTCTACCATTGACCTCAAAGAGGCTGAAATCACCACTTGCCAATTGCACAAAAAGAGTGTTTCAAATCTGCTCTGTCTAAGGGAACGTTCAACTCTGTGAGTTGAATGTACACAACACAAGGAAGTTACTGGGAATTCTTCTGTCTAGCCTTACATGAAAAAAACCCGTTTCCAATGAAGACCTCTAAGTGGTCAAAATATCCACGTGCAGACTTTACAAACAGAGTGTTTCCAAACCGCTGAATGAAAAGAAAAGTTAAACTCTGAGAGTTGGACGCACACATCACGCAGCAGTTTCTGAGAATGATTCTGTCTAGTTTTTATACGAAGATATTTCCTTTTCTGCCTTTGGCCCCAAAGCGCTTGAAATCTCCACTTGCAAATTCCACAAAAACAGTGTTTCAAATCTGCTCTCTCTAAATGAAAGTTCAACTCTGTCAGTTGAATACACACAACAGAAGGAAGTTACTGAGAATTCTTCTGTCTAGCCTTATATGAAAAAAACCCGTTTCCAACGAAGGCCTCAAAGAGGTCTGAATATCCACTTGCAGACTTTACAAACAGAGTGTTTCCTAACTGCTCTATGAAAAGAAAGGTTAAACTCTGTGAGTTGAATGCACACATCACAAAGGAGTTTCTGAGAATCATTCTGTCTAGTTTTTATAGGAAGATATTTCCTTTTCTACCTTTGACTTCAAAGCGGCTGAAATCTCCACTTGCAAATTCCACAAAAAGAGTGTTCCAAGTATGCTCTGTGTAAAGGATCGTTCAACTCTGTGAGTTGAATACACACAACACAAGGAAGTTACTGAGAATTCTGTCTAGCAGAACATGAAGAAATCCCGTTTCCAACGAAGGCCTCAAAGATGTCTGAATATCCACTTGCAGACTTTACAAACAGAGTGTGTCCTAACTGCTCTATGAAAAGAAAGGTTAAACTCTGTGAGTTGAACGCAGACATCACAAAGGAGTTTCTGAGAATCACTCTGTCTAGTTTTTATAGGAAGTTATTTCCTTTTCTACCTTTGACTTCAAAGCGGCTGAAATCTCCACTTGCAAATTCCACAAAAAGAGTGTTACAAGTCTGCTCTGTGTAAAGGATCGTTCAACTCTGTGAGTTGAATACACACAACACAAGGAAGTTACTGAGAATACTTCTGTCTAGCCTTACATGAAAAAAACCCGTTTCCAACGAAGGCCTCTAAGTGGTCAAGTTATCCACGTGCAGACTTTACAAACAGAGTGTTTCCAAACTGCTGAATGAAAAGAAAAGTTAAACTCTGAGAGTTGAACGCACACATCGCAGAGCAGTTTCTGAGAATGATTCTGTCTAGTTTTTATACGAAGATACTTCCTTTTCTGCCTTTGGCCTCAAAGCGCTTGAAATCTCCATTTGCAAATTCCACAAAAAGAGTGTTTCAAATCTGCTCTGTGTAAATGAAAGTTCAACTCTGTGAGTTGAACACACACAACACAAGGAAAGTTACTGGGAATTCTTCTGTCTAGCCTTATATGAAAAAAACCCGTTTCCAACGAAGGCCTCAAAGAGGTCTGAATATCCACTTGCAGACTTTAGAAACAGAGTGTTTCCTAACTGCTCTATGAAAAGAAATGTTAAACTCTGTGAGTTGAACACACACACATCACAAAGGAGTTTCTGAGAATCATTCGGTCTAGTTTTTATAGGAAGATATTTCCTTTTCTACCATTGACCTCAAAGCGGCTGAAATCTCCACTTGCAAATTCCACAAAAACAGTGTTTCAAGTCTGCTCTGTGTAAAGGATCGTTGAACTCTGTGAGTTGAATACACACAACACAAGGAAGTTACTGAGAATTCTTCTCTGTAGCAGAATATGAAGAAATCCCGTTTCCAACGAAGGCCTCAAAGAGGTCTGAATATCCACTTGCAGACTTTACAAACAGAGTGTTTCCTAACTGCTCTATGAAAAGAAAGGTTAAACTCTGTGAGTTGAACGCACACATCACAACGGAGTTTCTGAGAATCATTCTGTCTAGTTTTGAAACGAAGATATTTCCTTTTCTGCCATTGAACTTAAAGCGCTTGAAATCTCCATTTGCCAATTGCACAAAAAGAGTGTTTCAAATCTGCTCTGTCTAAGGGAACGTTCAACTCTGTGAGTTGAATGTACACAACACAAGGAAGTTACTGGGAATTCTTCTGTCTAGCCTTACAGGAAAAAAACCCGTTTCCAACGAAGGCCTCTAAGTGGTCAAGTTATCCACGTGCAGACTTTACAAACAGAGTGTTTCCAAACTGCTGAATGAAAAGAAAAGTTAAACTCTGAGAGTTGAACGCACACATCGCAGAGCAGTTTCGGAGAATGATTCTGTCTAGTTTTTATACGAAGATATTTCCTTTTCTGCCTTTGGCCCCAAAGCGCTTGAAATCTCCACTTGCAAATTCCACAAGAACAGTGTTTCAAATCTGCTCTCTCTAAATGAAAGTTCAACTCTGTCAGTTGAATACACACAACACAAGGAAGTTACTGAGAATTCTTCTGTCTAGCAGAATATGAAGAAATCCCGTTTCCAACGAAAGCCTCAAAGAAGTCTGAATATCCACTTGCAGACTTTACAAACAGAGTGTTTCCTAACTGCTCTATGAAAAGAAAGGTTGAACTCTGTGAGTTGAACGCACACATCACAAAGGAGTTTCTGAGAATCATTCTGTCTAGTTTCTATAGGAAGATATTTCCTATTCTACCATTGACCTCAAAGCGGCTGAAATCTCCACTTGCAAATTCCACAAAAGGAGTGTTTCAAGTCTGCTCTGTGTAAAGGATCGTTCAACTCTGTGAGTTGAATACACACAACACAAGGGAAGTTACTGAGAATTCTTCTGTCTAGCAGAATAGGAAGAAATCCCGTTTCCAACGAAGGCCTCAAAGAGGTCTGAATATCCACGTGCAGACTTTTCAAACAGAGTGTTTCCTAACTGCTCTATGAACAGAAAGGTTAAACTCTGTGAGTTGAACGAACACATCACAACGCAGTTTGTGGGAATGATTCTGTCTAGTTTTGAAACGAAGATATTTCCTTTTCTGCCGTTGACCTTAAAGAGCTTGAAAACTACACTTGCAAATTGCACAAATAGAGTGTTTCAAATCTGCTCTGTCTAAGGGAACGTTCAACTCTGTGAGTTGAATACACACAACACAAGGAAGTTACTGAGAATTCTTCTGTCTAGCCTTACGGGAAAAAAACCCGTTTCCAACGAAGGCCTCTAAGTGGTCAAAATATCCACGTGCAGACTTTACAAACAGAGTGTTTCCAAACTGCTGAATGAAAAGAAAAGTTAAACTCTGAGAGTTGAACGCACACATCGCAGAGCAGTTTCTGAGAATGATTCCGTCTAGTTTTTATACGAAGATATTTCCTTTTCTGCCTTTGGCCCCAAAGCGCTTGAAATCTCCAATTGCAAATTCCACAAAAACAGTGTTTCAAATCTGCTCTCTCTAAATGAAAGTTCAACTCTGTCAGTTGAATACACACAACACAAGGAAGTTACTGAGAATTCTTCACTCTAGCATAATATGGAGAAATCCCGTTTCCAACGAATGCCTCAAAGAGGTCTGAATATCCACTTGCAGACTTTACAAACAAAGTGTTTCCTAACTGCTATATGAAAAGAAAAGTTAAACTCTGTGAGTTGAACGCACACATCACAAAGGATTTTCTGAGAATCATTCTGTCTAGTTTCTATACGAAGATATTTCCTATTCTACCATTGACCTCAAAGCGGCTGAAATCTCCACTTGCAAATTCCACAAAAAGAGTGTTTCAAGTCTGCTCTGTGTAAAGGATCGCTCAACTTCTGTGAGTTGAATACACACAACACAAGGAAGTTACTGAGAATTCTTCTGTCTAGCAGAATATGGAGAAATCCCGTTTCCAACGTAGGCCACAAGATGTCAGAATATCCACTTACAGACTTTACAAACAGAGTGTTTCCTAACTGCTCTATGAACAGAAAGGTTAAACTCTGTGAGTTGAACGAACACATCACAACGCAGTTTGTGGGAATGATTCTGTCTAGTTTTGAAACGAAGATATTTCCTTTTCTGCCATTGACCTCAAAGCGCTTGAAATGTCCACTTGCCAATTGCACAAAAAGAGTGTTTCAAATCTGCTCTGTCTAAGGGAACGTTCAACTCTGTGAGTTGAATATACACAACACAAGGAAGTTACTGGGAATTCTTCTGTCTAGCCTTACAGGAAAAAAACCCGTTTCCAACGAAGGCCTCTAAGTGGTCAAAATATCCACGTGCAGACTTTACAAACAGAGTGTTTCCAAACTGCTGAATGAAAAGAAAAGTTAAACTCTGAGAGTTGAATGCACACATCGCAGAGCAGTTTCTGAGAATGATTCTGTCTAGTTTTTATACGAAGATATTTCCTTTTCTGCCTTTGGCCTCAAAGCGCTTGAAATCTCCACTTGCAAATTCCACAAAAAGAGTGTTTGAAATCTGCTCTGTGTAAATGAAAGTTCAACTCTGTGAGTTGAACACACACAACACAAGGAAGTTACTGGGAATTCTTCTGTCTAGCATAATATGAAGAAATCCCGTTTCCAACGAAGGCCTCAAAGAGGTCTGAATATCCACTTGCAGACTTTACAAACAGAGTGTTTCCTAACTGCTCTATGAAAAGAAAAGTTAAACTCTGTGATTTGAACGCACACATCACAAAGGAGTTTATGAGAATCATTCTGTCTAGTTTCTATAGGAAGATATTTCCTATTCTACCATTGACCTCAAAGCGGCTGAAATCTACACTTGCAAATTCCACAAAAAGAGTGTTTCAAGTCTGCTCTGTGTAAAGGATCGTTCAACTCTGTGAGTTGAATACACACAACACAAGGAAGTTACTGAGAATTCTTCTGTCTAGCAGAATACGAAGAAATCCCGTTTCCAACGAAGGCCACAAGATGTCAGAATATCCACTTACAGACTTTACAAACAGAGTGTTTCCTAACTGCTCTATGAACAGAAAGGTTAAACTCTGTGAGTTGAACGAACACATCACAACGCAGTTTGTGGGAATGATTCTGTCTAGTTTTGAAACGAAGAAATTTCCTTTTCTGCCATTGACCTTAAAGCGCTTGAAATCTACACTTGCAAATTGCACAAATACAGTGTTTCAAATCTGCTCTGTCAAAGGGAACGTTCAACTCTGTGAGTTGAATGCACACAACACAAGGAAGTTACTGGGAATTCTTCTGTCTAGCCTTACATGAGAAAAACCCGTTTCCAACGAAGGCCTCTATGTGGTCAAATTATCAACGTGCAGACTTTACAAACAGAGGGTTTTCAAACTGCTGAATGAAAAGAAAAGTTAAACTCTGAGAGTTGAACGCACACATCGCAGAGCAGTTTCTGAGAATGATTCTGTCTATTTTTTTACGAAGATATTTCCTTTTCTGCCTTTGGCCTCAAAGCGCTTGAAATCTCCACTTGCAAATTCCACAAAAAGAGTGTTTCAAATCTGCTCTGTTTAAATGAAAGTTCAACTCTGTGAGTTGAACACACACAACACAAGGAAGTTACTGGGAATTCTTCTGTCTAGCATAGTATGAAGAAATCCCGTTTCCAACGAAGGCCTCAAACAGGTCTGAATATCCACTTGCAGACTTTACAAACAGAGTGTTTCCTAACTGCTCTATGAAAAGAAAGGTTAAACTCTGTGAGTTGAACGCACAAAGAAGTTTCTGAGAATCATTCTGTCTAGTTTCTATAGGAAGATATTTCCTATTCTACCATTGACCTCAAAGCGGCTGAAATCTCCACTTGCAAATTCCACAAAAGGAGTGTTTCAAGTCTGCTCTGTGTAAAGGATCGTTCAACTCTGTGAGTTGAATACACACAACACAAGGCAGTTACTGAGAATTCTTCTGTCTAGCAGAATATGAAGAAATCCCGTTTCCAACGAAGGCCACAAGATGTCAGAATATCCACTTACAGAATTTACAAACAGACTGTTTCCTAACTGCTCTATGAAAAGAAAGGTTAAACTCTGTGAGTTGAACGAACACATCACAACACAGTTTGTGGGAATGATTCTCTCTAGTTTTGAAACGAAGATATTTCCTTTTCTGCCATTGACCTTAAAGCGCTTGAAATCTCCACTTGCCAATTGCACAAAAAGAGTGTTTCAACTCTGCTCTGTCTAAGGGAACGTTCAACTCTGTGAGTTGAATGTACACAACACAAGGGAAGTTACTGGGAATTCTTCTGTCTAGCCTTACAGGAAAAAAACCCGTTTCCAACGAAGGCCTCTAAGTGGTCAAAATATCCACGTGCAGACTTTACAAACAGAGTGTTTCCAAACTGCTGAATGAAAAGAAAAGTTAAACTCTGAGAGATGAACGCACACATCGCAGAGCAGTTTCTGAGAATGATTCTGTCTAGTTTCTATAGGAAGATATTTCCTATTCTACCATTGACCTCAAAGCGGCTGAAATCTCCACTTGCAAATTCCAGAAAAAGAGTGTTTCAAGTCTGCTCTCTGTAAAGGATCGTTCAACTCTGAGAGTTGAATACACACAACACAAGGAAGTTACTGAGAATTATTCTGTCTAGCATAATATGAAGAAATCCCGTTTCCAACGAAGGCCACAAAGAGGTCTGAATATCCACTTGCAGACTTTACAAACAGAGTGTTTCCTAACTGCTCTATGAAAAGAAAAGTTAAACTCTGTGAGTTGAACGCACACATCACAAAGGAGTTTCTGAGAATCATTCTGTCTAGTTTCTATAGGAAGATATTTCCTATTCTACCGTTGACCTCAAAGCGGCTGAAATCTCCACTTGAAAATTCCACAACAAGAGTGTTTCAAGTCTGTTCTGTGTAAAGGATCATTCAACTCTGTGAGTTGAATACACAAAACACAAGGAAGTTACTGAGAATTCTTCTGTCTAGCAGAATATGAAGAAATCCCGTTTCCAACGAAGGCCTCAAGGAGGTCTGAATATCCACTTGCAGACTTTACAAACAGAGTGTTTCCTAACTGCTCTATGAAAAGAAAGGTTAAACTCTGTGTGTTGAACGCACACATCACAAAGGAGTTTCTCAGAATCATTCTGTCTACTTTTGAAACGAAGATATTTCCTTTTCTGCCATTGACCTTAAAGCGCTTGAAATCTACACTTGCAAATTGCACAAATAGAGTGTTTCAAATCTGCTCTGTCTAAGGGAACGTTCAACTCTGTGAGTTGAATGCACACAACACAAGGAAGTTACTGGGAATTATTCTGTCTAGCCTTACATGCAAAAAACCAGTTTCCAACGAAGGCCTCTAAGTGGTCAAAATATCCACGTGCAGACTTTACAAACAGAGTGTTTCCAAACCGCTGAATTAAAAGAAAAGTTAAACTCTGAGAGTTGAACGCACACATCACGCAGCAGTTTCTGAGAATGATTCCGTCTAGTTTTTATACGAAGATATTTCCTTTTCTGCCTTTGGCCCCAAAGCGCTTGAAATCTCCACTTGCAAATTCCACAAAAACAGTGTTTCAAATCTGCTCTCTCTAAATGAAAGTTCAACTCTGTCAGTTGAATACACACAACACAAGGAAGTTACTGAGAATTCTTCTGTCTAGCAGAATATGAAGAAATCCCGTTTCCAACGAAGGCCTCAAAGAGGTCTGAATATCCACTTGCAGACTTTACAAACAGAGTGTTTCCTAACTGCTCTATGAAAAGAAAGGTTAAACTTTGTGAGTTGAACGCACACATCACAAAGGAGTTTCTGAGAATCATTCTGTCTAGTTTTTATACGAAGATATTTCCTTTTCTACCATTGACCTCAAAGCGGCTGAAATCTCCACTTGCAAATTCCACCAAAAGAGTGTTTCAAATCTGCTCTGTGTAAACCATCGTTCAACTCTGTGAGTTGAATACACACAACACAAGGAAGATTCTGAGAATTCTTCTGTCTAGGAGAATATTATGAAATCCCGTTTCCAACGAAGGCCACAAGATGTCAGAATATCCACTTACAGACTTTACAAACAGAGTGTTTCCTAACTGCTCTATGAACAGAAAGGTTAAACTCTGTGAGTTGAACGAACACATCACAACGCAGTTTCTGGGAATGATTCTGTCTAGTTTTGAAACGAAGATATTTCCTTTTCTGCCATTGACCTTAAAGCGCTTGAAATCTACACTTGCAAATTGCACAAATAGAGTGTTTCAAATCTGCTCTGTCTAAGGGAACGTTCAGCTCTGTGAGTTGAATGCACACAACACAAGGAAAGTTACTGGGAATTCTTCTGTCTAGCCTTACATGAAAAAAACCCGTTTCCAACGAAGGCCTCTAAGTGGTCAAAATATCCACGTGCAGACTTTACAAACAGAGTGTTTCCAAACCGCTGAATGAAAAGAAAAGTTAAACTCTGAGAGTTGAACGCACACATCACGCAGCAGTTTCTGAGAATGATTCTGTCTAGTTTCTATAGGAAGATATTTCCTATTCTACCATTGACCTCACAGCGGCTGAAATCTCCACTTGCAAATTCCACAAAAAGAGTGTTTCAAGTCTTCTCTGTGTAAAGGATCGTTCAACTCTGTGAGTTGAATACACACAACACAAGGCAGTTACTGAGAATTCTTCTGTCTAGCAGAATATGAAGAAATCCCGCTTCCAACGAAGGCCTCAAAGAAGTCTGAATATCCACTTGCAGACTTTACAAACAGAGTGTTTCCCAACTGCTCTATGAAAAGAAAGGTTGAACTCTGTGAGTTGAACGCACACATCACAAAGGAGTTATGAGAATCATTCTGTCTAGTTTTTATACGAAGATATTTCATTTTCTACCATTGACCTCAAAGCGGCTGAAATCTCCACTTGCAAATTCCACAAAAAGAGTGTTTCAAATCTGCTCTGTGTAAACCATCGTTCAACTGTGTGAGTTGAATACACACAACACAAGGAAGATTCTGAGAATTCTTCTGTCTAGCAGAATATGAAGAAATCCCGTTTCCAACGAAGGCCACAAGATGTCAGAATATCCACTTACAGACTTTACAAACTGAGTGTTTCCTAACTGCTCTATGAACAGAAAGGTTAAACTCTGTGAGTTGAACGAACACATCACAACGCGAGTTTGTGGGAATGATTCTGTCTAGTTTTGAAACGAAGATATTTCCTTTTCTGCCGTTGACCTTAAAGCGCTTGAAATCTACACTTGCAAATTGCACAAATAGAGTGTTTCAAATCTGCTCTGTCCAAGGGAACGTTCAACTCTGTGAGTTGAATGCACACAACACAAGGAAGTTACTGGGAATTCTTCTGTCTAGCCTTACAGGAAAAAAACCCGTTTCCAACGAAGGCCTCTAAGTGGTCAAAATATCCACGTGCAGACTTTACAAACAGAGTGTTTCCAAACTGCTGAATGCTAAAGAAAAGTTAAACTCTGAGAGTTGAACGCACACATCGCAGAGCAGTTTCTGAGAATGATTCTGTCTAGTTTTGAAACGAAGATATTTCCTTTTCTGCCTTTGGCCTCAAAGCGCTTGAAATCTCCACTTGCAAATTCCACAAAAAGAGTGTTACAAGTCTGCTCTGTGTAAAGGATCGTTCAACTCTATGAGTTGAATACACACAACACAAGGAAGTTACTGAGAATTCTTTTTTCTAGCAGAATATGAAGAAATCCCGTTTCCAACGAAAGCCTCAAGGATGTCTGAATATCCACTTGCAGACTTTACAAACAGAGTGTTTCCTAACTGCTCTATGAAAAGAAAGGTTAAACTCTGTGAGTTGAACGCACACATCACAAAGGAGTTTCTGAGAATCATTCTGCCTAGTTTTTCTACGAAGATATTTCCTTTTCTTCTATTGACCTCAAAGCGGCTGAAATCTCCACTTGCAAATTCCACAAAAAGAGTGTTTCAAGACTGCTCTGTGTAAAGGATCGTTCAACTCTGTGAGTTGAATACACACAACACAAGGAAGTTACTGAGAATTCTTCTGTCTAGCAGAATATGAAGAAAACCCGTTTCCAACGAAGGCCTCAAAGAGGTCTGAATATCCACTTGCAGACTTTACAAACAGAGTGTTTCCTAACTGCTCTATGAAAAGAAAGGTTAAACTCTGTGAGTTGAACGCACACATCACAAAGGAGTTTCTGAGAATCATTCTGTCTAGTTTTGAAACGAAGATATTTCCTTTTCTGCCGTTGACCTTAAAGCGCTTGAAGTCTACACTTGCAAATTGCACAAATAGAGTGTTTCAAATCTGCTCTGTCTAAGGGAACTTTCAACTCTGTGAGTTGAATGCACACAACACAAGGAAGTTACTGGGAATTCTTCTGTCTACCCTTACATGAAAAAAACCCGTTTCCAACGAAGGCCTCTAAGTGGTCAAAATATCCACGTGCAGACTTTACAAACAGAGTGTTTTCAAACTGCTGAATGAAAAGAAAAGTTAAACTCTGAGAGTTGAACGCACACATCATAGAGGATTTTCTGAGAATGATTCTGTCTAGTTTTTATACGAAGATATTTCCATTTCTGCCTTTGGCCGCAAAGCGCTTGAAATCTCCACTTGCAAATTCCACAAAAACAGTCTTACAAATCTGCTCTCTCTAAATGAAAGTTCAACTCTGTCAGTTGAATACACACAACACAAGGAAGTTACTGAGAATTCTTCTGTCTAGCCTTATATGAAAAAATCCCGTTTCCAACGAAGGCCTCAAAGAGGTCTGAATATCCACTTGCAGACTTTACAAACAGAGTGTTTCCTAACTGCTCTATGAAAAGAAAGGTTAAACTCTGTGAGTTGAACGCACACATCACAAAGGAGTTTCTGAGAATCATTCTGTCTAGTTTTTCTACGAAGATATTTCCTTTTCTACTATTGACCTCAAAGCGGCTGAAATCTCCACTTGCAAATTCCACAAAAAGAGTGTTTCAAGTCTGCTCTGTGAAAAGGATCGTTCAACTCTGTGAGTTGAATACACAAAACACAAGGAAGTTACTGAGAATTCTTCTGTCTAGCAGAATATGAAGAAATCCCGTTTCCAACTAAGGACACAAGATGTCAGAATATCCACTTACAGAATTGACAAACAGACTGTTTCCTAACTGCTCTATGAAAAGAAAGGTTAAACTCTGTGAGTTGAACGAACACATCACAACGCAGTTTGTGGGAATGATTCTGTCTAGTTTTGAAACGAAGATATTTCCTTTTCTGCCGTTGACCTTAAAGCGCTTGAAATCTACACTTGCAAATTGCACAAATAGAGTGTTTCAAATCTGCTCTGTCTAAGTGAACGTTCAACTCTGTGAGTTGAATGCACACAACACAAGGAAGTTACTGGGAATTCTTCTGTCTAGCAGAATATGAAGAAATCCCGTTTCCAACGAAGGCCTCAAAGAGGTCTGAATATCCACTTGCAGACTTTACAAACAGAGTGTTTCCTAACTGCTCTATGAGAAGAAAAGTTAAACTCTGTGAGTTGAACGCACAGATCACAAAAGATTTTCTGAGAATCATTCTGTCTAGTTTTTCTACGAAGATATTTCCTTTTCTACTATTGACCTCAAAGCGGCTGAAATCTCCATTTGCAAATTCCACAAAAAGAGTGTTTCAAGTCTGCTCTGTGTAAAGGATCGTTCAAGTCTGTGAGTTGAATACACACAACACAAGGAAGTTACTGAGAATTCTTCTGTCTAGCAGAATATGAAGAAATCCCGTTTCCAACGAAGGCCTCAAAGAGGTCTGAATATCCACTTGCAGACTTTACAAACAGAGTGTTTCCTAACTGCTGCTATGAAAAGAAAAGTTAAACTCTGTGAGTTGAACGCACACATCACAAAGGAGTTTATGAGAATCATTCTGTCTAGTTTTTCTACGAAGATATTTCATTTTCTACTATTGACCTCAAAGCGGCTGAAATCTCCACTTGCAAATTCCACAAAAAGAGTGTTTCAAGTCTGCTCTGTGTAAAGGATCGTTCAACTCTGCGAGTTCAATACACACAACACAAGGAAGTTACTGAGAATTCTTCTGTCTAGCACAGTATGAAGAAATCCCATTTCCAACGAAGGCCTCAAAGACGTCTGAATATCCACTTGCAGAGTTCACAAACAGAGTGTTTCCTAACTGCTCTATGAAAAGAAAGGTTAAACTCTGTGAGTTGAACGCACACATCACAATGAAGTTTCTGAGAATCATTCTGTCTAGTTTTTATACGAAGATATTTCCTTTTCTACCATTGACCTCAAAGCGGCTGAAATCACCACTTGCCAATTGCACAAAAAGAGTGTTTCAAATCTGCTCTGTCTAAGGGAACGTTCAACTCTGTGAGTTGAATGTACACAACACAAGGAAGTTACTGGGAATTCTTCTGTCAAGCCTTACAGGAAAAAAACCCGTTTCCAACGAAGGCCTCTAAGTGGTCAAAATATCCACGTGCAGACTTAACAAACAGAGTGTTTCCAAACTGCTGAATGAAAAGAAAAGTTAAACTCTGAGAGTTGAACGCACACATCGCAGAGCAGTTTCTGAGAATGATTCTGTCTAGTTTTTATACGAAGATATTTCCTTTTCTGCCTTTGGCCCCAAAGCGCTTGAAATCTCCACTTGCAAATTCCACAAAAAGAGTGTTTCAAATCTGCTCTGTGTAAATGAAAGTTCAACTCTGTGAGTTGAACACACACAACACAAGGAAGTTACTGGGAATTCTTCTGTCTAGCAGAATATGAAGAAATCCCGTTTCCAACGAAGGCCTCAAAGAGGTCTGAATATCCACTTGCAGACTTTACAAACAGGGTGTTTCCTAACTGCTCTATGAAAAGAAATGTTAAATTTTGTGAATTCAACGCACACATCACAAAGGAGTTTCTGAGAATCATTCTGTCTAGTCTTTATACGAAGATATTTCCTTTTCTATCATTGACCTCAAAGCGGCTGAAATCTCCACTTGCAAATTCCACAAAAAGAGTGTTTCAAGTCTGCTCTGTGTAAAGGATCGTTCAACTCTGTGAGTTGAATACACACAACACAAGGAAGTTACTGAGAATTCTTCTGTCTAGCAGAATATGAAGAAATCCCGTTTCCAACGAAGGCCACAAGATGTCAGAATATCCACTTACAGACTTTACAAACAGAGTGTTTCCTAACTGCTCTATGAAAAGAAAGGTTAAAGTCTGTGAGTTGAACGAACACATCACAACGCAGTTTGTGGGAATGATTCTGTCTAGTTTTGAAACGAAGATATTTCCTTTTCTGCCATTGACCTTAAAGCGCTTGAAACCTACACTTGCAAATTGCACAAATAGAGTGTTTCAAATCTGCTCTGTCTAAGGAACGTTCAACTCTGTGAGTTGAATGCACACAACACAAGGAAGTTACTGGGAATTCTTCTGTCTAGCCTTACATGAAAAAAACCCGTTTCCAATGAAGGCCTCTAAGTGGTCAAGTTATCCACGTGCAGACTTTACAAACAGAGTGTTTCCAAACTGCTGAATGAAAAGAAAAGTTAAACTCAGAGAGTTGAACGCACACATCGCAGAGCAGTTTCTGAGAATGATTCTGTCTAGTTTTTATACGAAGATATTTCCTTTTCTGCCTTCGGCCTCAAAGCGCTTGAAATCTCCATTTGCAAATTCCACAAAAAGAGTGTTTCAAATCTGCTCTGTGTAAATGAAAGTTCAACTCTGTGAGTTGAACACACACAACACAAGGAAGTTACTGGGAATTCTTCTGTCTAGCATAGTATGGAGAAATCCCGTTTCCAACGAAGGCCTCAAAGAGGTCTGAATATCCACTTGCAGAGTTTACAAGCAGAGTGTTTCCTAACTGCTCTATGAAAAGAAAGGTTAAACTCTGTGAGTTGAAGGCACACATCACAAAGAAGTTTCTGAGAATCATTCTGTCTAGTTTTTGTACGAAGATATTTCCTTTTCTAACATGGACCTCAAAGCGGCTGAAATCTCCACTTGCAAATTCCACAAAAAGAGTGTTTCAAGTCTGCTCTGTGTAAAGGATCGTTCAACTCGGTGAGTTGAATACACACAACACAAGGAAGATTCTGAGAATTCTTCTGTCTAGCATAGTATGAAGAAATCCCGTTTCCAACGAAGGCCACAAGCTGTCAGAATATCCACTTACAGAATTTACAAACAGACTGTTTCCTAACTGCTCTATGAAAAGAAAGGTTAAACTCTGTGAGTTGAACGAACACATCACAACGCAGTTTGTGGCAATGATTCTGTCTAGTTTTGAAACGAAGATATTTCCTTTTCTGCCATTGACCTCAAAGCGCTTGAAATCTCCACTTGCCAATTGCACAAAAAGAGTGTTTCAAATCTGCTCTGTCTAAGGGAACGTTCAACTCTGTGAGTTGAATGTACACAACACAAGGAAGTTACTGGGAATTCTTCTGTCTAGCCTTACATGAAAAAAACCCGTTTCCAACGAAGGCGTCTAAGTGGTCAAAATATCCACGTGCAGACTTTACAAACAGAGTGTTTCCAAACCGCTGAATGAAAAGAAAAGTTAAACTCTGAGAGTTGAACGCACACATCACGCAGCAGTTTATGAGAATGATTCTGTCTAGTTTTTATAGGAAGATATTCCCTTTTCTACCTTTGACTTCAAAGCGGCTGAAATCTCCACTTGCAAATTCCACAAAAAGAGTGTTACAAGTCTACTCTGTGTAAAGGATCGGTCAACTCTGTGAGTTGAATACACACAACACAAGGAAGTTACTGAGAATTCTTCTGTCTAGCAGAATATGAAGAAATCCCGTTTCCAACGAAAGCCTCAAAGAGGTCTGAATATCCACTTGCAGACTTTACAGAGTGTTTCCCAACTGCTCTATGAAAAGAAAGCTTAAACTCTGTGAGTTGAACGCACACATCACAAAGGAGTTTGTGAGAATCATTCTGTCTAGTTTTTATACGAAGATATTTCCTTTTCTACCATTGACCTCAAAGCGGCTGAAATCTCCACTTCCAAACTCCACAAAAAGAGTGTTTCAAATCTGCTCTGTGTAAACCATCGTTCAACTGTGTGAGTTGAATACACACAACACAAGGAAGATTCTGAGAATTCTTCTGTCTAGCAGAATATGAAGAAATCCCGTTTCCAACGAAGGCCACAAGATGTCAGAATATCCACTTACAGAATTGACAAACAGACTTGTTTCCTAACTGCTCTATGAAAAGAAAGGTTAAACTCTGTGAGTTGAACGAACACATCACAACGCAGTTTGTGGGAATGATTCTGTCTAGTTTTTATACGAAGATATGTCCTTTTCTACCATTGACCTCAAAGCGGCTGAAATCACCACTTGCCAATTGCACAAAAAGAGTGTTTCAAATCTGCTCTGTCTAAGGGAACGTTCAACTCTGTGAGTTGAATGTACACAACACAAGGAAGTTACTGGGAATTCTTCTGTCTAGCCTTACAGGAAAAAAACCCGTTTCCAACGAAGGCCTCTAAGTGGTCAAAATATCCACATGCAGAGTTTACAGAGTGTTTCCAAACTGCTGAATGAAAAGAAAAGTTAAACTCTGAGAGTTGAACGCACACATCGCAGAACAGTTTCTGAGAATGATTCTGTCTAGTTTTGAAACGAAGATATTTCTTTTTCTGCCTTTGGCCTCAAAGCGCTTGAAATCTCCACTTGCAAATTCCACAAAAAGAGTGTTTCAAATCTGCTCTGTGTAAATGAAAGTTCAACTCTGTGAGTCGAACACACACAACACAAGGAAGTTACTGGGAATTCTTCTGTCTAGCATAGTATGAAGAAATCCCGTTTCCAACGAAGGCCTCAAAGACGTCTGAATATCCACTTGCAGACTTTACAAACAGAGTGTTTCCTAACTGCTCTATGAAAAAAAAGGTTAAACTCTGTGAGTTGAACGCACACATCACAAAGGAGTTTCTGAGAATCATTCTGTCTAGTTTCTATAGGAAGATATTTCCTATTCTACCATTGACCTCAAAGCGGCTGAAATCACCAGTTGCAAATTCCACGAAAAGAATGTTTCAAGTCTGCTCTGTGTAAAGGATCGTTCAACTCTGTGAGTTGAATACACACAACACAAGGAAGTTACTGAGAGTTCTTCTGTCTAGCAGAATAGGAAGAAATCCCGTTTCCAACGAAGGCCACAAGATGTCAGAATATCCACTTACAGACTTTACAAACAGAGTGTTTCCTAACTGCTCTATGAACAGAAAAGTTAAACTCTGTGAGTTGAACGAACACATCACAACGCAGTTTGTGGGAATGATTCTGTCTAGTTTTGAAACGAAGATATTTCCTTTTCTGCCATTGACCTTAAAGCGCTTGAAATCTCCACTTGCCAATTGCACAAAAAGAGTGTTTCAAATATGCTCTGTCTAAGGGAACGTTCAACTCTGTGAGTTGAATGTACACAACACAAGGAAGTTACTGAGAATTCTTCTGTCTAGCCTTACAGGAAAAAAACCCGTTTCCAACGAAGGCCTATAAGTGGTCAAAATATCCACGTGCAGACTTTACAAACAGAGTGTTTCCAAACTGCTGAATGAAAAGAAAAGTTAAACTCTGAGAGTTGAACGCACACATCGCAGAGCAGTTTCTGAGAATGATTCTGTCTAGTTTTGAAACGAAGATATTTCCTTTTCTGCCTTTGGCCTCAAAGTGCTTGAAATCTCCACTTGCAAATTCCACAAAAAGAGGGTTTCAAATCTGCTCTGGGTAAATGAAAGTTCAACTCTGTGAGTTGAACACACACAACACAAGGAAGTTACTGGGAATTCTTCTGTCTAGCAGAATATGAAGAAATCCCTCTTCCAACGGAGGCCTCAAAGAAGTCTGAATATCCACTTGCAGACTTTACAAACAGAGTGTTTCCCAACTGCTCTATGAAAAGAAAGGTTGAACTCTGTGAGTTGAACGCACACATCACAAAGGAGTTTCTGAGAATCATTCTGTCTAGTTTTTATAGGAAGATATTTCCTTTTCTACCATTGACCTCAAAGCGGCTGAAATCTCCACTTGCAAATTCCACAAAAAGAGTGTTTCAAGTCTGCTCTGTACACGCGGAAGTTACTGAGAATTCTTCTGTCTAGCATAGTATGAAGAAATCCCGTTTCCAACGAAAGCCTCAAAGAGGTCTGAATATCCACTTGCAGAGTTTACAAACAGAGTGTTTCCTAACTGCTCTATGAAAAGAAAGGTTAAACTCTGTGAGTTGAACGCACACATCTCAAAGGAGTTTCTGAGAATCATTCTGTCTAGTTTTGAAACGAAGATATTTCCTTTTCTGCCATTGAACTTAAAGCGCTTGAAATCTCCATTTGCCAATTGCACAAAAAGAGTGTTTCAAATCTGCTCTGTCTAAGGGAACGTTCAACTCTGTGAGTTGAATGTACACAACACAAGGAAAGTTACTGGGAATTCTTCTGTCTAGCCTTACAAGAAAAAAACCCGTTTCCAACGAAGGCCTCTAAATGGTCAAAATATCCACGTGCAGACTTTACAAACAGAGTGTTTCCAAACTGCTGAATGAAAAGAAAAGTTAAACTCTGAGAGTTGAACGCACACATCGCAGAGCAGTTTCTGAGAATGATTCTGTCTAGTTTTTATACGAAGATATTTCCTTTTCTGCCTTTGGCCCCAAAGCGCTTGAAATCTCCACTTGCAAATTCCACAAAAACAGAGTTTCAAATCTGCTCTCTCTAAATGAAAGTTCAACTCTGTCAGTTGAATACACACAACACAAGGAAGTTACTGAGAATTCTTCTGTCTAGCATAATATGAAGAAATCCCGTTTCCAACGAGGGCCTCAAAGAGGTATGAATATCCACTTGAAGACTTTACAAACAGAGTGTTTCTTAACTGCTCTATGAAAAGAAAGGTTGAACCCTGTGAGTTGAACGCACACATCACAAAGAACTTACTGAGAATCATTCTGTCTAGTTTCTATAGGAAGATATTTCCTATTCTACCATTGACCTCAAAGCGGCTGAAATCTCCACTTGCAAATTCCACAAAAAGAGTGTTTCAAGTCTGCTCTGTGTAAAGGATCGTTCAACTCTGTGAGTTGAATACACACAACACAAGGCAGTTACTGAGAATTCTCTGTCTAGCAGAATACGAAGAAATCCCATTTCCAATTAAGGCCACAAGACGTCAGAATATCCACTTACAGACTTTACAAGCAGAGTGGTTCCTAACTGGTCTATGAACAGAAAGGTTAAACTCTGTGAGTTGAACGAACACATCACAACGCAGTTTGTGGGAATGATTCTGTCTAGTTTTGAAACGAAGATATTTCCTTTTCTGCCATTGACCTTAAAGCGCTTGAAATCTACACTTGCAAATTGCACAAATAGAGTGTTTCAAATCTGCTCTGTCTAAGGGAACGTTCATCTGTGTGAGTTGAATGCACACAACACAAGGGAAGTTACTGGGAATTCTTCTGTATTGCCTTACATGAAAAAAACTCGTTTCCAACGAAGGCCTCTAAGTGGTCAAAATATCCACGTGCAGATTTTACAAACAGAGTGTTGCCAAACTGCTGAAAGAAAAGAAAAGTTAAACCCTGTGAGATGAACGCACACATCACAGAGCAGTTTCTGAGAATGATTCTGTCTAGTTTTGAAACGGAGATATTTCCTTTTCTGCCTTTGGCCTCAAAGCGCTTGAAATCTCCACTTGCAAATTCCACAAAAAGAGTGTTTCAAATCTGCTCTGTGTAAATGAAAGTTCAACTTTGTGAGTTGAACACACACAACACAAGGAAGTTACTGGGAATTCTTCTGTCTAGCCTTATATGAAAAAAACCCGTTTCCAACGAAGGCCTCAAAGAGGTCTGAATATCCACTTGCAGACTTTACAAACAGAGTGTTTCCTAACTGCTCTATGAAAAGGAAGGTTAAACTCTGTGAGTTGAACGCACACATCACAAAGGAGTTTCTGAGAATCATTCTGTCTAGTTTCTATAGGAAGATATTTCCTATTCTACCATTGACCTCAAAGCGGCTGAAATCTCCACTTGCAAATTCCACAAAAAGAGTGTTTCAAGTCTGCTCTCTGTAAAGGATCGTTCACCTCTGTGAGTTGAATACACACAACACAAGGAAGTTACTGAGAATTCTTCTGTCTAGCAGAATATGAAGAAATCCCGCTTCCAACGAAGGCCACAAGATGTCAGAATATCCACTTACAGAATTTACAAACAGACTGTTTCCTAACTGCTCTATGAAAAGAAAGGTTAAACTCTGTGATTTGAACGAACACATCACAACGCAGTTTGTGGGAATGATTCTGTCTAGTTTTGAAACGAAGATATTTCCTTTTCTGCCATTGACCTTAAAACTCTTGAAATCTCCACTTGCCAATTGCACAAAAAGAGTGTTTCAAATCTGCTCTGTCTAAGGGAACGTTCAACTCTGTGAGTTGAATGTACACAACACAAGGAAGTTACTGGGAATTCTTCTGTCTAGCCTTGCATGAAAAAAACCCGTTTCCAACGAAGGCCTCTAAGTGGTCAAATTATCCACGTGCAGACTTTACAAACAGAGTGTTTCCAAACTGCTGAATGAAAAGAAAAGTTAAACTCTGAGAGTTGAACGCACACATCGCAGAGCAGTTTCTGAGAATGATTCTGGCTAGTTTTGAAACGAAGATATTACCTTTTCTGCCTTTGGCCTCAAAGCGCTTGAAATCTCCACTTGCAAATTCCACAAAAAGAGTGCTTCAAATCTGCTCTGTCTAAATGAAAGTTCAACTCTGTGAGTTGAACACACACAACACAAGGAAGTTACTGGGAATTCTTCTGTCTAGCATAATATGAAGAAATCCCGTTTCCAACGAAGGCCTCAAAGAGGTCTGAATATCCACTTGCAGACTTTACAAACAGAGTGTTTCCTAACTGCTCTATGAAAAGAAAAGTTAAACTCTGTGAGTTGAATGCACACATCACAAAGGAGTTTCTGGGAATCATTCTGCCTAGTTTTTCTACGAAGATATTTCCTTTTCTACTATTGACCTCAAAGCGGCTGAAATCTCCACTTGCAAATTCCACAAAAAGAGTGTTTGAAGTCTGCTCTGTGTAAAGGATCGTTCAACTCTGTGAGTTGAATACACACAACACAAGGAAGTTACTGAGAATTCTTCTGTCTAGCAGAATATGAAGAAATCCCTTTTCCAACGAAGGCCTCAAGGAGGTCTGAATATCCACTTGCAGACTTTACAAACAGAGTGTTTCCTAACTGCTCTATGAACAGAAAGGTTAAACTCTGTGAGTTGAACGCACACATCACAAAGGAGTTTATGAGAATCATTCTGTCTAGTTTTGAAACGAAGATATTTCCTTTTCTGCCATTGACCTTAAAGCCCTTGAAATCTCCATTTGCCAATTGCACAAAAATAGTGTTTCAAATCTGCTCTGTCTAAGGGAACGTTCAACTCTGTGAGTTGAATGTACACAACACAAGGAAGTTACTGGGAATTCTTCTGTCTAGCCTTACATGAAAAAAACCCGTTTCCAACGAAGGCCTCTAAGTGGTCAAATTATCCACGTGCAGACTTTACAAACAGAGTGTTTCCAAACTGCTGAATGAAAAGCAAAGTAAAACTCTGAGAGTTGAACGCACACATCGCAGAGCAGTTTCTGAGAATGATTCTGTCTAGTTTTTATACGAAGATATTTCCTTTTCTGCCTTTGGCCTCAAAGCGCTTGAAATCTCCACTTGCAAATTCCACAAAAAGAGTGTTTCCAATCTGCTCTGTGTAAATGAAAGTTCAACTCTGTGAGTTGAACACACACAACACAAGGGAAGTTACTGAGAATTCTTCTGTCTAGCAGAATATGAAGAAATCCCGTTTCCAACGAAGGCCTCAAGAGGGTCTGAATATCCACTTGCAGACTTTACAAACAGAGTGTTTCCTAACTGCTCTATGAAAAGAAAGGTTAAACTCTGTGAGTTGAACGCACACATCACAAAGGAGTTTATGAGAATCATTCTGTCTAGTTTCTATAGGAAGATATTTCCTATTCTACCATTGACCTCAAAGCGGCTGAAATCTCCATTTGCAAATTCCACAAAAAGAGTGTTTCAAGTCTGCTCTGTGTAAAGGATCGTTCAACTCTGTGAGTTGAATACACACAACACAAGGAAGTTACTGAGAATTCTTCTGTCTAGCAGAATAAGAAGAAATCCTGTTTCCAACAAAGGCCACAATATGTCAGATTATCCACTTACAGAATTTACAAACAGACTGTTTCCTAACTGCTCTATGAAAAGAAAGGTTAAACTCTGTTAGTTGAACGAACACATCACAACGCAGTTTGTGGGAATGATTCTATCTAGTTTTGAAACGAAGATATTTCCTTTTCTGCCATTGACCTTAAAGCGCTTGAAATCTCCACTTGCAAATTCCACAAAAAGAGTGTTACAAATCTGCTCTTTGTAAAGGATCGTTCAACTCTGTGAGTTGAATACACACAACACAAGGAAGTTACTGAGAATTCTTCTGTCTAGCCTTACATGAAAAAAACCCGTTTCCAACGAAGGCCTCTAAGTGGTCAAATTATCCACGTGCAGACTTTAGAAACAGAGTGTTTCCAAACTGCTGAATGAAAAGAAAAGTTAAACTCTGAGAGTTGAACGCACACATCGCAGAGCAGTTTCTGAGAACGATTCTGTCTAGTTTTTATACGAAGATATTTCCTTTTCTGCCTTTGGCCCCAAAGCGCTTGAAATCTCCACTTACAAATTCCACAAAAACAGTGTTTCAAATCTGCTCTCTCTAAATGAAAGTTCAACTCTGTCAGTTGAATACACACAACACAAGGAAGTTACTGAGAATTCTTCTGTCTAGCAGAATATGAAGAAATCCCGTTTCCAACGAAGGCCTCAAAGAGGTCTGAATATCCACTTGCAGACTTTACAAACAGAGTGTTTCCTAACTGCTCTATGGAAAGAAAGGTTAAACTCTGTGAGTTGAACGCACACTTCACAAAGGAGTTTCTGAGAATCATTCTGTCCAGTTTCTATAGGAAGATATTTCCTATTCTACCATTGAACCCAAAGCGGCTGAAATCTCCACTTGCAAATTCCACAAAAAGAGTGTTTCAAGTCTGCTCTGTGTAAAGGATCGTTCAACTCTGTGAGTTGAATACACACAACACAAGGAAGTTACTGAGAATTCTTCTGTCTAGCAGAATATGAAGAAATCCCGTTTCCAACTAAGGCCACAAGATGTCAGAATATCCACTTACAGAATTGACAAACAGACTGTTTCCTAACTGCTCTATGAAAAGAAAGGTTAAACTCTGTGAGTTGAACGAACACATCACAACGCAGTTTGTGGGAATGATTCTGTCTAGTTTTTATACGAAGATATTTCCTTTTCTACCATTGACCTCAAAGCTGCTGAAATCACCACTTGCCAATTGCACAAAAAGAGTGTTTCAAATCTGCTCTGTCTAAGGGAACGTTCAACTCTGTGAGTTGAATGTACACAACACAAGGAAGTTCCTGGGAATTCTTCTGTCTAGCCTAACATGAAAAAAACCCGTTTCCAACGAAGGCCTCTAAGTGGTCAAAATATCCACGTGCAGACTTTACAAACAGAGTGTTTCCAAACCGCTGAATGAAAAGAAAAGTTAAACTCTGAGAGTTGAACGCACACATCACGCAGCAGTTTCTGAGAATGATTCTGTCTAGTTTTTATACGAAGATATTTCCTTTTCTGCCTTTGGCCTCAAAGCGCTTGAAATCTCCACTTGCAAATTCCACAAAATTAGTGTTTCAAATCTGCTCTGTGTAAATGAAAGTTCAACTCTGTGAGTTGAACACACACAACACAAGGCAAGTTACTGGGAATTCTTCTGTCTAGCATAATATGAAGAAATCCCGTTTCCAACGAAGGCCTCAAAGAGGTCTGAATATCCACTTGCAGACTTTACAAACAGAGTGTTCCCTAACTGCTCTATGAAAAGAAAGGTTAAACTCTGTGAGTTGAACGCACACATCACAAAGGAGTTTCTGAGAATCATTCTGTCTAGTTTTTATAGGAAGATATTTCCTTTTCTACATTTGACTTCAAAGCGGCTGAAATCTCCACTTGCAAATTCCACAAAAAGAGTGTTTCAAATCTGCTCTGTGTAAATGAAAGTTCAACTCTGTGAGTTGAACACACACAACACAAGGAAGTTACTGGGAATTCTTCTGTCTAGCCTTATATGAAAAAAACCCGTTTCCAACGAAGGCCTCAAAGAGGTCTGTATATCCACTTGCAGACTTTACAAACAGAGTGATTCCTAACTGCTCTATGAAAAGAAAGGTTAAACTGTGAGTTGAACACACACATCTCAAAGGAGTTTCTGAGAATCATTCTGTCTAGTTTTTATACGAAGATATTTCCTTTTCTACCATTGACCTCAACGCGGCAGAAATCTCCACTTGCAAATTCCACAAAAAGAGTGTTCCAAGTCTGCTCTGTGTAAAGGATCGTTCAACTCTGTGAGTTGAATACACACAACACAAGGAAGTTACTGAGAATTCTTCTGTCTAGCATAATATGAAGAAATCCCGTTTCCAATGAAGGCCTCAAAGAGGTCTGAATATCCACTTGCAGACATTACAAACAGAGTGTTTCCTAACTGCTCTATGAAATGAAAAGTTAAACTCTGTGAGTTGAACGCACACATCACAAAGGAGTTTATGAGAATCATTCTGTCTAGTCTTTATACGAAGATATTTCCTTTTCTACCATTGACCTCAAAGCGGCTGAAATCTCCACTTGCAAATTCCACAAAAAGAGTGTTTCAAGTCCGCTCTGTGTAAAGGATCGTTAAACTCTGTGAGTTGAATACACACAACACAAGGAAGTTACTGCGAATTCTTCTGTCTAGCAGAATATGAAGAAATCCCGTTTCCAACGAAGGCCTCAAAGGGGTCTGAATATCCACTTGCAGACTTTACAAACAGAGTGTTTCCTAACTGCTCTATGAACAGAAAGGTTAAACTCTGTGAGTTGAACGCACACATCACAAAGGAGTTTCTGAGAATCATTCTGTCTAGTTTCTATAGGAAGATATTTCCTATTCTACCATTGACCTCAAAGCGGCTGAAATCTCCACTTGCAAATTCCACAAAAAGAGTGTTTCAAGTCTGCTCTGTGTAAAGGATCGTTCAACTCTGTGAGTTGAATACACACAACACGAGGAAGTTACTGAGAATTCTTCTTTCTAGCAGAATATGAAGAAATCCCGTTTCCAACGAAAGCCTCAAGGATGTCTGCATATCCACTTGCAGACTTTACAAACAGAGTGTTTCCTAACTGCTCTATGAAAAGAAAGGTTAAACTCTGTGAGTTGAACGCACACATCACAAAGGAGTTTCTGAGAATCATTCTGTCTAGTTTTGAAAGGAAGATATTTCCTTTTCTGCCATTGACCTTAAAGCGCTTGAAATCTCCACTTGCCAATTGCACAAAAAGAGTGTTTCAAATCTGCTCTGTCTAAGGGAACGTTCAACTCTGTGAGTTGAATGTACACAACACAAGGAAGTTACTGTGAATTCTTCTGTCTAGCCTTACATGAAAAAAACCCGTTTCCAACGAAGACCTCTAAGTGGTCAAAATATCCACGTGCAGACTTTACAAACTGAGTGTTTCCAAACTGCTGAATGAAAAGAAAAGTTAAACTCTGAGAGTTGAACGCACACATCACAGAGCAGTTTCTGAGAATGATTCTGTCTAGTTTTGAAACGAAGATATTTCCTTTTCTGCCTTTGGTCTCAAAGCGCTTGAAATCTCCACTTGCAAATTCCACAAAAAGAGTGTTTCAAATCTGCTCTGTGTAAATGAAAGTTCAACTCTGTGAGTTGAACACACACAACACAAGGAAGTTACTGGGAATTCTTCTGTCTAGCAGAATATGAAGAAATCCCGTTTCCAACGAAGGCCTCAAAGAGGTCAGAATATCCACTTGCAGACTTTACAAACAGAGTGTTTCCTAACTGCTCTATGAAAAGAAAGGTTAAACTCTGTGAGTTGAACGCACACATCACAAAGGAGTTTCTGAGAATCGTTCTGTCTAGTTTCTATAGGAACATATTTCCTATTCTACCATTGACCTCAAAGCGGCTGTAATCTCCACTTGCAAATTCCAGAAAAAGAGTGTTTCAACTCTGCTCTGTGTAAGAAATCGTTCAACTCTGTAAGTTGAATACACACAACACAAGGAAGTTACTGAGAATTCCTTCCGTCTAGCAGAATATGAAGAAATCCCGTTTCCAACGAAGGCCACAAGATGTCAGAATATCCACTTACAGACTTTACAAACAGTGTGTTTCCTAACTGCTCTATGAACGGAAAGGTTAAACTCTGTGAGTTGAACGAACACATCACAACGCAGTTTGTGGGAATGATTCTGTCTAGTTTTGAAACGAAGATATTTCCTTTTCTGCCATTGAACTTAAAGCGCTTGAAATCTCCATTTGCCAATTGCACAAAAAGAGTGTTTCAAATCTGCTCTGTCTAAGGGAACGTTCAACTCTGTGAGTTGAATGTACACAACACAAGGAAGTTACTGGGAATTCTTCTGTCTAGCAGAATATGAAGAAAACCCGTTTCCAACGAAGGCCACAAGATGTCAGAATATCCACTTACAGAATTTACAAACAGACTGTTTCCTAACTGCTCTATGAAAACAAAGGTTAAACTCTGTGAGTTGAACGAACACAGCACAACGCAGTTTGTGGGAATGATTCTGTCTAGTTTTGAAACGAAGATATTTCCTTTTCTGCCATTGACCTTAAAGCGCTTGAAATCTCCACTTGCCAATTGCACAAAAAGAGTGTTTCAAATCTGCTCTGTCTAAGGGAACGTTCAAATCTGTGAGTTGAATGTACACAACACAAGGAAGTTACTGGGAATTCTTCTGTCTAGCCTTACAGGAAAAAAACCCGTTTCCAACGAAGGCCTCAAAGAGGTCTGAATATCCACTTGCAGACTTTACAAACAGAGTGTTTCCTAACTGCTCTATGAAAAGAAAGGTTAAACTCTGTGAGTTGAACGCACACATCACAAAGGAGTTTCTGAGAATCATTCTGTCTAGTTTTTATACGAAGATATTTCCTTTTCTACCATGGACCTCAAAGCGGCTGAAATCTCCACTTGCAAATTCCACAAAAAGAGTGTTTCAAGTCTGCTCTGTGTAAAGGATCGTTCAACTCTGTGAGTTGAATACACACAACACAAGGAAGATTCTGAGAATTCCTCTGTCTAGCAGAATATGAAGAAATCCCGTTTCCAACGAAGGCCACAAGATGTCAGAATATCCACTTACAGAATTTACAAACAGACTGTTTCCTAACTGCTCTACGAAAAGAAAGGTTAAACTCTGTGAGATGAACGAACACATCACAACGCAGTTTGTGGGAATGATTCTGTCTAGTTTTTATACGAAGATATTTCCTTTTCTACCATTGACCTCAAAGCGGCTGAAATCACCACTTGCCAATTGCACAAAAAGAGTGTTTCAAATCTGCTCTCTCTAAGGAAACGTTCAACTCTGTGTGTTGAATGTACACAACACAAGGAAGTTACTGGGAATTCTTCTGTCTAGCCTTACATGAAAAAAAACCGTTTCCAACGAAGGCCTCTAAGTGGTCAAGTTATCCACGTGCAGACTTTACAAACAGAGTGTTTCCAAACTTCTGAATGAAAAGAAAAGTTAAACTCTGAGAGTTGAACGCACACATCGCAGAGCAGTTTCTGAGAATGATTCTGTCTAGTTTTTATACGAAGATATTTCCTTTTCTGCCTTTGGCCTCAAAGCGCTTGAAATCTCCTCTTGCAAATTCCACAAAAAGAGTGTTTCAAATCTGCTCTGTGTAAATGAAAGTTCAACTCTGTGAGTTGAACACACACAACACAAGGAAGTTACTGGGAATTCTTCTGTCTAGCATAATATGAAGAAATCCCTTTTCCAACGAAGGCCTCAAAGGGGTCTGAATATCCACTTTCAGACTTTATAAACAGAGTGTTTACTAACTGCTCTATGAAAAGAAAGGTTAAACTCTGTGAGTTGAACACACACATCACAAAGGAGTTTCTGAGAATCATTCTGTCTAGTTTCTATAGGAAGATATTTCCTATTCTACCATTGACCTCAAAGCGGCTGAAATCTCCACTTGCAAATTCCACAACAAGAGTGTTTCAAGTCTACTCTGTGTAAAGCATCGTTCAACTCTGTGAGTTGAAAACACACAACACAAGGAAGTTTCTGAGAATTCTTCTGTATAGCAGAATATGAAGAAATCCCGTTTCCAACGAAAGCCTCAAGGAGGTCTGAATATCCACTTGCAGACTTTACAAACAGAGTGTTTCCTAACTGCTCTATGAAAAGAAAGGTTAAACTCTGTGAGTTGAACGCACACATCACAAAGGAGTTTCTGAGAATCATTCTGTCTAGTTTTTATACGAAGATATTTCCTTTTCTACCATTGACCTCAAAGCGGCTGAAATCTCCACTTTCAAATTCCACAAAAAGAGTGTTTCAAGTCTGCTCTGTGTAAAGGATCGTTCAACTCTGTGAGTTGAATACACACAACACAAGGAAGTTACTGAGAATTCTTCTGTCTAGCAGAATATGAAGAAATCCCGTTTCCAACGAAGGCCTCAAAGAGGTCTGAATATCCACTTGCAGACTTTACAAACAGAGTGTTTCCTAACTGCTCTATGAAAGGAATGGTTAAACTCTGTGAGTTGAATGCACACATCACAAAGGAGTTTCTGAGAATCATTCTGTCTAGTTTTTATACGAAGATATTTCCTTTTCTGCCTTTGGCCCAAAAGCGCTTGAAATCTCCACTTGCAAATTCCAAAAAAACAGTGTTTCAAATCTGCTCTCTCTAAATGAAAGTTCAACTCTGTCAGTTGAATACACACAACACAAGGAAGTTACTGAGAATTCTTCTGTCTAGCAGAATATGAAGAAATCCCGTTTCCAACGAAGGCCTCAAGGAGGTCTGAATATCCACTTGCAGACTTTACAAACAGAGTGTTTCCTAACTGCTCTATGAAAAGAAAGGTGAAACTCTGTGAGTTGAATGCACACATCACAAATGAGTTTATGAGAATCATTCTGTCTAGTTTTTATAGGAAGATATTTCCTTTTCTACCTTTGACTTCAAAGCGGCTGAAATCTCCACTTGCAAATTGCACAAAAAGAGTGTTACAAGTCTGCTCTGTCTAAGGGAACGTTCAACTCTGTGAGTTGAATGTACACAACACAAGGAAGTTACTGGGAATTCTTCTGTCTAGCAGAATATGAAGAAATCCCGTTTCCAACGAAGGCCACAAGATTTCAGAATATCCACTTACAGAATTTACAAACAGAGTGTTTCCTAACTGCTCTATGAAAAGAAAGGTTAAACTCTGTGAGTTGAACGAACACATCACAACGCAGTTTGTGGGAATCATTCTGTCTACTTTTGAAACGAAGATATTTCCTTTTCTGCCAGTGACCTTAAAGCGCTTGAAATCTCCACTTGTCAATTGCACAAAAAGAGTGTTTCAAATCTGCTCTGTCTAAGGGAACGTTCAACTCTGTGAGTTGAATGTACTCAACACAAGGAAGTTACTGGGAATTATTCTGTCTAGCCTTACAGGAAAAAAACCCGTTTCCAACGAAGGCCTCCAAGTGGTCAAAATATCCACGTGCAGACTTTACAAACAGAGTGTTTCCAAACTGCTGAATGAAAAGAAAAGTTAAACTCTGAGAGTTGAACGCACACATCGCAGAGCAGTTTCTGAGAATCATTCTGTCTAGTTTTTATACGAAGATATTTCCTTTTCTGCCTTTGGCCCCAAAGCGCTTGAAATCTCCACTTGCAAATTCCACAAAAACAGTGTTTCAAATCTGCTCTCTCTAAATGAAAGTTCAACTCTGTCAGTTGAATACACACAACACAAGGAAGTTACTGAGAATTCCTCTGTCTAGCATAATATGAAGAAATCCCGTTTCCAACGAAGGTCTCAAGGAGGTCTGAATATCCACTTGCAGACTTTACAAACAGAGTGTTTCCTAACTGCTCTATGAAAAGAAAGGTTAAACTCTGTGAGTTGAACGCACACATCACAAAGGAGTTTATGAGAATCATTCTGTCTAGTTTCTATAGGAAGATATTTCCTATTCTACCATTGACCTCAAAGCGGCTGAAATCTCCACTTGCAAATTCCACAAAAAGAGTGTTTCAAGTCTGCTCTGTGTAAAGGATCGTTCAACTCTGTGAGTTGCATACACACAACACAAGGAAGTTACTGAGAATTCTTCTGTCTAGCATAATATGAAGAAATGCCGTTTCCAAAGAAGGCCTCAAAGAGGTCTGAATATCCACTTGCAGACTTTACAAACAGAGTGTTTCCTAACTGCTCTATGAAAAGAAAGGTTAAACTCTGTGAGTTGAACGCACACATCACAAAGGAGTTTCTGAGAATCATTCTGTCTAGTTTTTATACGAAGATATTTCCTTTTCTACCATTGACCCCAAAGCGGCTGAAATCACCACTTGCCAATTGCACAAAAAGAGTGTTTCAAATCTGTTCTGTCTAAGGGAACGTTCAACTCTGTGAGTTGAATGTACACAACACAAGGAAGTTACTGGGAATTCTTCTGTCTAGCCTTACATGAAAAAAACCCGTTTCCAACGAAGGCCTCTGAGTGGTCAAAATATCCACGTGCAGACTTTACAAACAGAGTGTTTCCAAACCGCTGAATGAAAAGAAAAGTTAAACTCTGAGAGTTGAACGCACACATCACGCAGCAGTTTCTGAGAATGATTCTGTCTAGTTTTTATACGAAGATATTTCCTTTTCTGCCTTTGGCCTCAAAGCGCTTGAAATCTCCACTTGCAAATTCCACAAAAAGACTGTTTCAAATCTGCTCTGTGTAAATGAAAGTTCAACTCTGTGAGTTGAACACACACAACACAAGGAAGTTACTGGGAATTCTTCTGTCTAGCAGAATATGAAGAAATCCCGTTTCCAACGAAGGCCTCAAAGGGGTCTGAATATCCACTTGCAGACTTTATAAACAGAGTGTTTACTAACTGCTCTATGAAAAGAAAGGTTAAACTCTGTGAGTTGAACACACACATCACAAAGGAGTTTCTGAGAGTCATTCTGTCTAGTTTCTATTGGAAGATATTTCCTATTCTACCATTGACCTCAAAGCGGCTGAAATCTCCACTTGCAAATTCCACAAAAAGAGTCTTTCAAGACTGTTCTGTGTAAAGGATCATTCAAGTCTGTGAGTTGAATACACACAACACAAGGAAGTTACTGAGAATTCTTCTTTCTAGCAGAATATGAAGAAATCCCGTTTCCAACGAAAGCCTCAAAGATGTCTGAATATCCACTTGCAGACTTTACAAACAGAGTGTTTCCTAACTGCTCTATGAAAAGAAAGGTTAAACTCTGTGAGTTGAATGCACACATCACAAAGGAGTTTCTGAGAATCATTCTGTGTAGTTTTGAAACGAAGATATTTCCTTTTCTGCCATTGACCTTAAAGCGCTTGAAATCTCCACTTGCCAATTGCACAAAAAGAGTGTTTCAAATCTGCTCTGTCTAAGGGAACGTTCAACTCTGTGAGTTGAATGTACACAACACAAGGAAGTTACTGGGAATTCTTCTGTCTAGCCTTACATGAAAAAAACCCGTTTCCAACGAAGGCCTCTAAGTGGTCAAAATTTCCACGTACAGACTTTACAAACAGAGTGTTTCCAAACAGCTGAATGAAAAGAAAAGTTAAACTTTGAGAGTTGAACGCACACATCACGCAGCAGTTTCAGAGAATGATTCTGTCTAGTTTTGAAACGAAGATATTTCCTTTTCTGCCTTTGGCCTCAAAGCGCTTGAAATCTCCACTTTCAAATTCCACAAAAAGAGTGTTTCAAATCTGCTCTGTGTAAATGAAAGTTCAACTCCTGTGAGTTGAACACACACAACACAAGGAAGTTAGTGGGAATTGCTTCTGTCTAGCAGAATATGAAGAAATCCCGTTTCCAACGAAGGCCTCAAGGAGGTCTGAATATCCACTTGCAGACTTTACAAACAGAGTGTTTCCTAACTGCTCTATGAAAAGAAAGGTGAAACTCTGTGAGTTGAATTCACACATCACAAAGGAGTTTATGAGAATCATTCTGTCTAGTTTTTATACGAAGATATTTCCTTTTCTACCATTGACCTCAACGCGGCTGAAATCTCCACTTGCAAATTCCACAAAAAGAGTGTTTCAAGCCCGCTCTGTGTAAAGGATCGTTCAACTCTGTGAGTTGAATACACGCAACACAAGGAAGTTACTGAGAATTCTTCTGTCTAGCACAGTATGAAGAAATCCCGTTTCCAACGAAGGCCTCAAAGAGGTCTGAATATCCACTTGCAGAGTTTATAAACAGAGTGTTTCCTAACTGCTCTATGAAAAGAAAGGTTAAACTCTGTGAGTTGAACGCACACATCACAAAGAAGTTTCTGAGAATCATTCTGTCTAGTTTTGAAAGTAAGATATTTCCTTTTCTGCCATTGACCTTAAAGCGCTTGAAATCTCCACTTGCTAATTGCACAAAAAGAGTGTTTCAAATCTGCTCTGTCTAAGGGAACGTTCAACTCTGTGAGTTGAATGTACACAACACAAGGAAGTTACTGGGAATTCTTCTGTCTAGCCTTATATGAAAAAAACCCGTTTCCAAAGAAGGCCTCTAAGTGGTCAAATTATCCACGTGCAGACTTTACAAACAGAGTGTTTCCAAACTGCTGAATGAAAAGAAAAGTTAAACTCTGAGAGTTGAACGCACACATCGCAGAGCAGTTTCTGAGAATGATTCTGTCTAGTTTTGAAACGAAGATATTTCCTTTTCTGCCTTTGGCCTCAAAGCGCTTGAAATCTCCACTTGCAAATTCCACAAAAAGAGTGTTTCAAATCTGCTCTGTGTAAATGGAAGTTCAACTCTGTGGGTTGAACACACACAACACAAGGAAGTTACTGGGAATTCTTCTCTCTAGCCTTATATGAAAAAAACCCGTTTCCAACGAAGGCCTCAAAGAGGTCTGAATATCCACTTGCAGACTTTACAAACAGAGTGATTCCTAACTGCTCTATGAAAAGAAAGGTTAAACTCTGTGAGTTGAACACACACATCTCAAAGGAGTTTCTGAGAATCATTCTGTCTAGTTTTTATACCGAAGATATTTCCTTTTCTACCATGGACCTCAAAGCGGCTGAAATCTCCACTTGCAAATTCCACAAAAAGAGTGTTTCAAGTCTGCTCTGTGTAAAGGATCGTTCAACTCTGTGAGTTGAATACACACAACACAAGGAAGATTCTGAGAATTCTTCTGTCTAGCAGAATATGAAGAAATCCCGTTTCCAACGAAGGCCACAAGATGTCAGAATATCCACTTACAGACTTTACAAACAGAGTGTTTCCTAACTGCTCTATGAACAGAAAGGTTAAACTCTGTGAGTTGAACGAACACATCACAACGCAGTTTGTGGGTATGATTCTGTCTAGTTTTGAAACGAAGATATTTCCTTTTCTGCCGTTGACCTTAAAGCGCTTGAAATCTACACTTGCAAATTGCACAAATAGAGTGTTTCAAATCTGCTCTGTCTAAGGGAACGTTCAACTCTGTGAGTTGAATGCACACAACACAAGGAAGTTACTGGGAATTCTTCTGTCTAGCCTTACATGAAAAAAAACCCGTATCCAACGAAGGCCTCTAAGTGGTCAAAATATCCACGTGCAGACTTTACAAACAGAGTGTTTCCAAACCGCTGAATGAAAAGAAAAGTTAAACTCTGAGAGTTGAACGCACACATCACGCAGCAGTTTCTGAGAATGATATCTGTCTAGTTTTCAAACGAAGATATTTCCTTTTCTGCCTTTGGCCTCAAAGCGCTTGAAATCTCCACTTGCATATTCCACAAAAAGAGTGTTTCAAATCTGCTCTGTGTAAATGAAAGTTCAACTCTGTGAGTTGAACACACACAACACAAGGAAGTTACTGGGAATTCTTCTGTCTAGCATAATATGAAGAAATCCCGTTTCCAACGAACCCTCAAGGAGGTCTGAATATCCACTTGCAGACTTTACAAACAGAGTGTTTCCTAACTGCTCTATGAAAAGAAAGGTTAAACTCTGTGAGTTGAACGCACACATCACAAAGGAGTTTCTGAGAATCATTCTGTCTAGTTTCTATAGGAAGATATTTCCTATTCTACCATTGACCTCAAAGCAGCTGAAATCTCCACTTGCAATTTCCACAAAAAGAGTGTTTCAAGTCTGCTCTCTGTAAAGGATCGTTCAACTCTGTGAGTTGAATACACACAACACAAGGAAGTTACTGAGAATTCTTCTGTCTAGCAGAATATGAAGAAATCCCGTTTCCAACGAAGGCCTCAAGGAGGTCTGAATATCCACTGGCAGACTTTACAAACAGAGTGTTTCCTAACTGCTCTATGAACAGAAAGGTTAAACTCTGTGAGTTGAACGAACACATCACAACGCAGTTTGTGGGAATGAATCTGTCTAGTTTTGAAACGAAGATATTTCCTTTTCTGCCATTGACCTCAAAGCGCTTGAAATCTCCACTTGCCAATTGCACAAAAAGAGTGTTTCAAATCTGCTCTGTCTAAGGGAACGTTCAACTCTGTGAGTTGAATGTACACAACACAAGGAAGTTACTGGGAATTCTTCTGTCTAGCCTTACATGAAAAAAACCCGTTTCCAACTAAGGCCTCTAAGTGGTCAAAATGTCCACGTGCAGACTTTACAAACAGAGTGTTTCCAAACCGCTGAATGAAAAGAAAAGTTAAACTCTGAGAGTTGAACGCACACATCACGCAGCAGTTTCTGAGAATGATTCTGTCTAGTTTTTATACGAAGATATTTCGTTTTCTGCCTTTGGCCACAAAGCGCTTGAAATCTCCACTTGCAAATTCCACAAAAACAGTGTTTCAAATCTGCTCTCTCTAAATGAAAGTTCAACTCTGTCAGTTGAATACACACAACACAAGGAAGTTACTGAGAATTCTTCTGTCTAGCCTTATATGAAAAAAACCCGTTTCCAACGAAGGCCTCAAAGAGGTCTGAATATCCACTTGCAGACTTTACAAACAGAGTGATTCCTAACTGCTCTATGAAAAGAAAGGTTAAACTCTGTGAGTTGAACACACACATCTCAAAGGAGTTTCTGAGAATCATTCTGTCTAGTTTTTATACGAAGATATTTCCTTTTCTACCATTGATCTCAACGCGGCTGAAATCTCCACTTGCAAATTCCACAAAAAGAGTGTTCCAAGTCTGCTCTGTGTAAAGGATCGTTCAACTCTGTGAGTTGAATACACACAACACAAGGAAGTTACTGAGAATTCTTCTCTCAGGCATAATATGAAGAAATCCCGTTTCCAACGAAGGCCTCAAAGAGGTCTGAATATCCACTTGCAGAGTTTACAAACAGAGTGTTTCCTAACTGCTCTATGAAAAGAAAGGTTAAACTCTGTGAGTTGAGCGCACACATCACAAAGAAGTTTCTGAGAATCATTCTGTCTAGTTTCTATAGGAAGATATTTCCTATTCTACCATTGACCTCAAAGCGGCTGAAATCTCCACTTGCAAATTCCACAAAAAGAGTGTTTCAAGTCTGCTCTGTGTAAAGGATCGTTCAACTCTGTGAGTTGAATACACACAACACAAAGGAGTTACTGAGAATTCTTCTGTCTAGTAGAATATGAAGAAATCCCGTTTCCAACGAAGGCCAAAAGATGTCGGAATATCCACTTACAGACTTTACAAACAGAGTGTTTCCTAACTGCTCTATGAACAGAAAGTTTAAACTCTGTGAGTTGAACGAACACATCACAACGCAGTTTGTGGGAATGATTCTGTCTAGTTTTGAAACGAAGATATTTCCTTTTCTGCCATTGAACTTAAAGCGCTTGAAATCTCCATTTGCCAATTGCACAAAAAGAGTGTTTCAAATCTGCTCTGTCTAAGGGAACGTTCAACTCTGTGAGTTGAATGTACACAACACAAGGAAGTTACTGGGAATTCTTCTGTCTAGCCTTACATGAAAAAAACCCTTTTCCAACGAAGGCCTCTAAGTGGTCAAAATTTCCACGTGCAGACTTTACAAACAGAGTGTTTCCAAACCGCTGAATGAAAAGAAAAGTTAAACTCTGAGAGTTGAACGCAAACATCACGCAGCAGTTTCTGAGAATGATTCTGTCTAGTTTTTATACGAAGATATTTCCTTTTCTGCCTTTGGTCCCAAAGCGCTTGAAATCTCCACTTGCAAATTCCACAACAACAGTGTTTCAAATCTGCTCTCTCTAAATGAAAGTTCAACTCTGTCAGTTGAATACACACAACACAAGGAAGTTACTGAGAATTCTTCTGTCTAGCATAATATGAAGAAATCCCGTTTCCAACGAAGGCCTCAAAGGGGTCTGAATATCCACTTGCAGACATTATAAACAGAGTGTTTCCTAACTGCTCTAAGAAAAGAAAGGTTAAACTCTGTGAGTTGAACGCACACATCACAAAGGAGTTTCTGAGAATCATCTGTCTAGTTTCTATAGGAAGATATTTCCTATTCTACCATTGACCTAAAAGCGGCTGAAATCTCCACTTGCAAATTCCACAAAAAGAGTGTTTCAAGTCTGCTCTGTGTAAAGGATCGTTGAACTCTGTGAGTTGAATTCACACAACACAAGGAAGTTCCTGAGAATTCTTCTGTCTAGCAGAATATGAAGAAATCCCGTTTCCAACGAAGGCCACAAGATGTCAGAATATCCACTTACAGAATTTACAAACAGACTGTTTCCTAACTGCTCTATGAAAAGAAAGGTTAAACTCTGTGAGATGAACGAACACATCACAACGCAGTTTTTGGGAATGATTCTGTCTAATTTTTATACGAAGTTATTTCCTTTTCTACCATTGACCTCAAAGCGGCTGAAATCACCACTTGCCAATTGCATAAAAAGAGTTTTTCAAATCTGCTCTGTATAAGGGAACGTTCAACTCTGTGAGTTGAATGTACACAACACAAGGAAGTTACTGGGAATTCTTCTGTCTAGCCTTACAGGAAAAAAACCCGTTTCCAACGGAGGCCTCTAAGTGGTCAAGTTATCCAGGTGCAGACTTTACAAACAGAGTGTTTCCAAACTGCTGAATGAAAAGAAAAGTTAAACTCTGAGAGTTGAACGCACACATCGCAGAGCAGTTTCTGAGAATGATTCTGTCTAGTTTTTATACGAAGATATTTCCTTTTCTGCCTTTGGCCCCAAAGCGCTTGAAATATACACTTGCAAATTCCACAAAAACAGTGTTTCAAATCTGCTCTCTCTAAATGAAAGTTCAACTCTGTCAGTTGAATACACACAACACAAGGAAGTTACTGAGAATTCTTCTGTCTAGCAGAATATGAAGAAATCCCGTTTCCAACGAAGGCCTCAAAGAGGTCTGAATATCCACTTGCAGACTTTACAAACAGAGTGTTTCCTAACTGCTCTATGAAAAGAAAGGTTAAACTCTGTGAGTTGAACGCACACATCACAAAGGAGTTTCTCAGAATCATTCTGTCTAGTTTCTATAGAAAGATATTTCCTATTCTACCATTGACCTCAAAGCGGCTGAAATCTCCACTTGCAAATTCCACAAAAAGAATGTTTCAAGTCTGCTCTGTGTAAAGGATCGTTCAACTCTGTGAGTTCAATACACACAACACAAGGAAGTTACTGAGAATTCTTCTGTCTAGCAGAATATGAAGAAATCCCGTTTCCAACGAAGGTCACAAGATGTCAGAATATCCACTTACAGAATTTACAAACAGACTGGTTCCTAACTGCTCTATGAAAAGAAAGGTTAAACTCTGTGAGTTGAACGAACACATCACAACGCAGTTTGTGGGAATGATTCTGTCTAGTTTTGAAACGAAGATATTTCCTTTTCTGCCATTGACCTTAAAGCGCTTGAAATCTCCACTTGCCAATTGCACAAAAAGAGTGTTTCAAATCTGCTCTGTCTAAGGGAACGTTCAACTCTGTGAGTTGAATGTACACAACGCAAGGAAGTTACTGGGAATTCTTCTGTCTAGCCTTACATGAAAAAATCCCGTTTCCAACGAAGGCCTCTAAGTGGTCAAAATATCCACGTGCAGACTTTACAAACATAGTGTTTCCAAACCGCTGAATGAAAAGAAAAGGTAAACTCTGAGAGTTGAACGCACACATCACGCAGCAGTTGCTGAGAATGATTCTGTCTAGTTTTTATACGAAGATATTTCCTTTTCTGCCTTTGACCTCAAAGCGCTTGAAATCTCCACTTGCAAATTCCACAAAAAGAGTGTTTCAAATCTGCTCTGTGTAAATGAGAGTTCAACTCTGTGAGTTGAACACACACAACACAAGGAAGTTACTGGGAATTCTTCTGTCTAGCATAATATGAAGAAATCCCGTTTCCAACGAAGGCCTCAAAGAGGTCGGAATATCCACTTGCAGACTTTACAAACAGAGTGTTTCCTAACTGCTCTATGAAAAGAAAAGTTAAACTCTCTGAGTTGAACGCACACATCACAAAGGAGTTTCTGAGAATCATTCTGTCTAGTTTCTATAGGAAGATATTTCCTATTCTACCATGGACCTCAAAGCGGCTGAAATCTCCACTTGCAAATTCCACAAAAAGAGTGTTTCAAGACTGTTCTGTGTAAAGGATCATTCAACTCTGTGAGTTGAATACACACAACACAAGGAAGTTACTGAGAATTGTTCTGTCTAGCAGAAGATGAAGAAATCCCGTTTCCAACGAAGGCCACAAGATGTCAGAATATCCACTTACAGAATTTACCAACAGAGTGTTTCCTAACTGCTCTATGAAAAGAAAGGTTAAACTCTGTGAGTTGAACGAACACATCACAACGCAGTTTGTGGGAATGATTCTGTCTAGTTTTGAAACGAAGATATTTCCTTTTCTGCCTTTGCCCTCAAAGCGCTTGAAATCTCCACTTGCAAATTCCACAAAAAGAGTGTTTCAAATCTGCTCTGTGTAAATGAAAGTTCAACTCTGTGAGTTGAACACACGCAAAACAAGGAAGTTACTGGGAATTCTTCTGTCTAGCCTTACATGAAAAAAACCCGTTTCCAACGAAGGCCTCTAAGTGGTCAAATTATCCAGGTGCAGACTTTACAAACAGAGTGTTTCCAAACTGCTGAATGAAAAGCAAAGTTAAACTCTGAGAGTTGAACGCACACATCGCAGAGCAGTTTCTGAGAATGATTCTGTCTAGTTTTTATACGAAGATATTTCCTTTCCTGCCTTTGGCCTCAAAGCGCTTGAAATCTCCATTTGCAAATTCCACAAAAAGAGTGTTTCAAATCTGCTCTGTGTAAATGAAAGTTCAACTCTGTGAGTTGAACACACACAACACAAGGAAGTTACTGGGAATTCTTCTGTCTAGCAGAATATGAAGAAATCCCGTTTCCAACGAAGGCCTCAAGGAGGTCTGAATATCCACTTGCAGACGTTACAAACAGAGTGTTTCCTAACTGCTCTATGAAAAGAAAGGTTAAACTCTGTGAGTTGAACGCACACATCACAAAGGAGTTTCTGAGAATCGTTCTGTCTAGTTTCTATAGGAAGATATTTCCTATTCTAACATTGACCTCAAAGCGGCTGAAATCTCCACTTGCAAATTCCACAAAAAGAGTGTTTCAAGTCTGCTCTGTGTAAAGGATTGTTCAACTCTGTGAGTTGAATACACACAACACAAGGAAGTTACTGAGAATTCTTCTGTCTAGCATAATATGAAGAAATCCCGTTTCCAAAGAAGGCCTCAGGGAGGTCTGAATATCCACTTGCAGACTTTACAAACAGAGTGTTTCCGAACTGCTCTATGAAAAGAAAGGTTAAACTCTGTGAGTTGAACGCACACATCACAAAGGAGTTTCTGAGAATTATTCTGTCTAGTTTTGAAACGAAGATATTTCCTTTTCTGCCATTGACCTTAAAGCGCTTGAAATCTCCACTTGCCAATTGCACAAAAAGAGTGTTTCAAATCTGCTCTGTCTAAGGGAACCTTCAACTCTGTGAGTTGAATGTACACAACACAAGGAAGTTACTGGGAATTCTTCTGTCTAGCCTTACATGAAAAAAACCCGTTTCCAACGAAGGTCTCTAAGTGGTCAAATTATCCACGTGCAGACTTTACAAACAGAGTGTTTCCAAACTGCTGAATGAAAAGAAAAGTTAAGCTCTGAGAGTTGTACGCACACATCGCAGAGCAGTTTCTGAGAATGATTCTGTGTAGTTTTTATACGAAGATATATCCTTTTCTGCCTTTGGCCTCAAAGCGCTTGAAATCTCCACTTGCAAATTCCACAAAAAGAGTGTTTCCAATCTGCTCTGTGTAAATGAAAGTTCAACTCTGTGAGTTGAACACACACATCACAAGGAAGTTACTGGGAATTCTTCTGTGTAGCATAATATGAAGAAATCCCGTTTCCAACGAAGGCCTCAAAGGGGTCTGAATATCCACTTGCAGACTTTATAAACTGAGTGTTTACTAACTGCTCTATGAAAAGAAACGTTAAACTCTGTGAGTTGAACACACACATCACAAAGGAGTTTCTGAGAATCATTCTGTCTAGTTTTTATAGGAAGATATTTCCTTTTCTACATTTGACTTCAAAGCGGCTGAAATCTCCACTTGCAAATTCCACAAAAAGAGTGTTACAAGTCTGCTCTGTCTAAGGGAACGTTCAACTCTGTGAGTTGAATGTACACAACACAAGGAAGTTACTGGGAATTCTTCTGTCTAGCAGAATATGAGGAAATCCCGTTTCCAACGAAGGCCACAAGATGTCAGAATATCCACTTACAGAATTGACAAACAGACTGTTTCCTAACTGCTCTATGAAAAGAAAGGTTAAACTCTGTGAGTTGAACGAACACATCACAACGCAGTTTGTGGGAATGATTCTGTCTAGTTTTGAAACGAAGATATTTCCTTTTCTGCCATTGACCTTAAAGCGCTTGAAATCTCCATTTGCCAATTGCACAAAAAGAGTGTTTCAAATCTGCTCTGTCTAAGGGAACGTTCAACTCTGTGAGGTGAATGTACACAACACAAGGAAGTTACTGGGAATTCTTCTGTTTAGCCTTACATGAAAAAAACCCGTTTCCAACGAAGGCCTCTAAGTGGTCAAAATATCCACGTGCAGACTTTACAAACAGAGTGTTTCCAAACCGCTGAATGAAAAGAAAAGTAAAACTCTGAGAGGTAATCCCACACATCACGCAGCAGTTTCTGAGAATGATTCTGTCTAGTTTTTATACGAAGATATTTCCTTTTCTGCCTTTGGCCCCGAAGCGCTTGAAATCTCCACTTGCAAATTCCACAAAAACAGTGTTTCAAATCTGCTCTCTCTAAATGAAAGTTCAACTCTGTCAGTTGAATACATACAACAGAAGGAAGTTACTGAGAATTCTTCTGTCTAGCCTTATATGAAAAAAACCCGTTTCCAACGAAGGCCTCAAAGAGGTCTGAATATCCACTTGGAGACTTTACAAACAGAGTGTTTCCTAACTGCTCTATGAAAAGAAAGGTTAAACTCTGTGAGTTGAACGCACACATCTCAAAGGAGTTTCTGAGAATCATTCTGTCTAGTTTCTACAGGAAGATATTTCCTATTCTACCATTGACCTCAAAGCGGCTGAAATCTCCACTTGCAAATTCCACAAAAAGAGTGTTTCAAGTCTGCTCTGTGTAAAGGATCGTTCAACTCTGTGAGTTGAAAACACACAACACAAGGAAGTTACTGAGAATTCTTCTGTCTAGCAGAATATGAAGAAATCCCGTTTCCAACGAAGGCCTCAAGGAGGTCTGAATATCCACTTGCAAACTTTACAAACAGAGTGTTTCCTACCAGCTCTATGAACAGAAAGGTTAAACTCTGTGAGTTGAACGCACACATCACAAAAGAGTTTCTGAGAATCATTCTGTCTAGTTTTGAAACTAAGATATTTCCTTTTCTGCCATTGACCTTAAAGCGCTTGAAATCTACACTTGCAAATTGCACAAATAGAGTGTTTCAAATCTGCTCTGTCTAAGGGAAGGTTCAACTCTGTGAGTTGAATGCACACAACACAAGGAAGTTACTGGGAATTCTTCTGTCTAGCCTTACAAGAAAAAAACCCGTTTCCAACGAAGGCCTCTAAGTGGTCAAAATATCCACGTGCAGACTTTACAAAGAGAGTGTTTTCAAACTGTTGAATGAAAAGAAAAGTTAAACTCTGAGAGTTGAACGCACACATCGCAGAGCAGTTTCTGAGAATGATTCTGTCTAGTTTTTATACGAAGATATTTCCTTTTCTGCCTTTGGCCTCAAAGCGCTTGAAATCTCCACCTGCAAATTCCACAAAAAGAGTGTTTCAAATCTGCTCTGTGTAAATGAAAGTTCAACTCTGTGAGTTGAACACACACAACACAAGGGAAGTTACTGGGGAATTCTTCTGTCTAGCCTTATATGAAAAAAACCCGTTTCCAACGGAGGCCTCAAAGAGGTCTGAATATCCACTTGCAGACTTTACAAACAGAGTGTTTCCTAACTGCTCTATGAAAAGAAAGGTTAAACTCTGTGAGTTGAACGCACACATCACAAAGGAGTTTCTGAGAATCATTCTGTCTAGTTTTTATAGGAAGATATTTCCTTTTCTACCTTTGACTTCAAAGCGGCTGAAATCTCCACTTGCAAATTCCACAAAAAGAGTGTTACAAGTCTGCTCTGTGTAAAGGATCGTTCAACTCTGTGAGTTGAATACACACAACACAAGGAAGTTACTGAGAACTCTTCTGTCTAGCAGAATATGAAGAAATCCCGTTTCCAACGAAGGCCACAAGATGTCAGAATATCCACTTACAGAATTTACAAACAGACTGTTTCCTAACTGCACTATGAAAAGAAAGGTTAAACTCTGTGAGTTGAACGAACACATCACAACGCAGTTTGTGGGAATGATTCTGTCTAGTTTTGAAACGAAGATATTTCCTTTTCTGCCGTTGACCTTAAAGCGCTTGAAATCTACACTTGCAAATTGCACAAATAGAGTGTTTCAAATCTGCTCTGTCTAAGGGAACGTTCAACTCTGTGAGTTGAATGCACGCAACACAAGGAAGTTACTGGGAATTCTTCTGTCTAGCCTTACATGAAAAAAACCCGTTTCCAACGAAGGCCTCTAAGTGGTCAAAATATCCACGTGCAGACTTTACAAACAGAGTGTTTCCAAACCGCTGAATGAAAAGAAAAGTTAAACTCTGAGAGTTGAACGCACACATCACGCAGCAGTTTCTGAGAATGATTCTGTCTAGTTTTTATACGAAGATATTTCCTTTTCTACCATTGACCTCAACGCGGCTGAAATCTCCACTTGCAAATTCCACAAAATGAGTGTTTCAAGTCCGCTCTGTGTAAAGGATCGTTCAACTCTGTGAGTTGAATACACACAACACAAGGAAGTTAGTGAGATTTCTTCTGTCTAGCACAGTATGAAGAAATCCCGTTTCCAACGAAGGCCTCAAAGAGGTCTGAATATCCACTTGCAGAGTTGACAAACAGAGTGCTTCCTAACTGCTCTATGAAAAGAAAGGTTAAACTCTGTGAGTTGAACGCACACATCACAATGAAGTTTCTGAGAATCATTCTGTCTAGTTTTTATACGAAGATATTTCCTTTTCTACCATGGACCTCAAAGCGGCTGAAATCTCCACTTGCAAATTCCACAAAAAGAGTGTTTCAAGTCTGCTCTGTGTAAAGGATCGTTCAACTCTGTGAGTTGAATACACAGAACACAAGGAAGATTCTGAGAATTCTTCTGTCTAGCAGAATATGAAGAAATCCCGTTTCCAACGAAGGCCACAAGATGTCAGAATATCCACTTACAGAATTTACACACAGACTGTTTCCTAACTGGTCTATGAAAAGAAAGGTTAAACTCTGTGAGTTGAACGAACACATCACAACGCAGTTTGTGGGAATGATTCTGTCTAGTTTTGAAACCAAGATATTTCCTTTTCTGCCGTTGACCTTAAAGAGCTTGAAAACTACACTTGCAAATTGCACAAATAGAGTGTTTCAAATCTGCTCTGTCTAAAGGAACGTTCAACTCTGTGAGTTGAATGCACACAACACAAGGAAGTTACTGGGAATTCTTCTTTCTACCCTTACATGAAAAAAACCCGTTTCCAACGAAGGCCTCTAAGTGGTCAAAATATCCACGTGCAGACTTTACAAACAGAGTGTTTCCAAACTGCTGAATGAAAAGAAAAGTTAAACTCTGAGAGTTGAACGCACACATCACAGAGCATTTTCTGAGAATGATTCTGTCTAGTTTTTATACGAAGATATTTCCTTTTCTGCCTTTGGCCCCAAAGCGCTTGAAATCTCCACTTGCAACTTCCACAAAAACAGTGTTTCAAATCTGCTGTCTCTAAATGAAAGTTCAACTCTGTCAGTTGAATACACACAACACAAGGAAGTTACTGAGAATTCTTCTGTCTAGCAGAATATGAAGAAATCCCGTTTCCAACGAAGGCCTCAAAGAAGTCTGAATATCCACTTGCAGACTTTACAAACAGAGTGTTTCCTAACTGCTCTATGAAAAGAAAGGTTAAACTCTGTGAGTTGAACGCACACATCACAAGGGAGTTTCTGAGAATCATTCTGTCTAGTTTTTATACGAAGATATTTCCTTTTCTACTATTGACCACAAAGCGGCTGAGATCTCCACTTGCAAATTCCACAAAAAGAGTGTTTCAAGTCTGCCCTGTAGAAAGGATCGTTGAACTCTTTGAGTTGAATACACACAACACAAGGAAGTAACTGAGAATTCTTCTGTCTAGCAGAATATGAAGAAATCCCGTTTCCAACGAAGGCCACAAGATGTCAGAATATCCACTTACAGAATTTACAAACAGACTGTTTCCTAACTCCTCTATGAAAACAAAGGTTAAACTCTGTGAGTTGAACGAACACATCACAACGCAGTTTGTGGGAATGATTCTGTCTAGTTTTGAAACGAAGATATTTCCTTTTCTGCCGTTGACCTTAAAGAGCTTGAAAACTACACTTGCAAATTGCACAAATAGAGTGTTTCAAATCTGCTCTGTCTAAGGGAACGTTCAACTCTGTGAGTTGAATGCACACAACACAAGGAAGTTACTGGGAATTCTTCTGTCTAGCCTTACATGAAAAAAACCCGTTTCCAACGAAGACCTCTAAGGGGTCAAAATATCCACGTGCAGTCTTTACAAACAGAGTGTTTCCAAACCGCTGAATGAAAAGAAAAGTTAAACTCTGAGAGTTGAACGCACACATCACGCAGCAGTTTCTGAGAATGATTCTGTCTAGTTTTGAAACGAAGATATTTCCTTTTCTGCTTTGGCCTCAAAGCGCTTGAAATCTCCACTTGCAAATTCCACAAAAAGAGTGTTTCAAATCTGCTCTGTGTAAATGAAAGTTCAACTCTGTGAGTTGAACACACACAACACAAGGAAGTTACTGGGAATTCTTCTGTCTAGCAGAATATGATGAAATCCCGTTTCCAACGAAAGCCTCAAAGATGTCTGAATATCCACTTGCAGACTTTACAAACAGAGTGTTTCCTAACTGCTCTATGAAAAGAAAGGTTAAACTCTGTGAGTTGAACGCACACATCACAAAGGAGTTTCTGAGAATCATTCTGTCTAGTTTTTATACGAAGATATTTCCTTTTCTACCATTGACCTCAAAGCGGCTGAAATCTCCACTGGCCAATTCAACAAAAAGAGTTTTTCAAGTCTACTCTGTGTAAAGGATCGTAGAACTCTGTGAGTTGAAAACACGCAACACCAGGAAGTTTCTGAGAATTCTTCTGTCTAGCAGAATATGAAGAAATCCCTTTTCCAACGAAGGCCACAAGATGTCAGGATATCCACTTACAGACTTTACAAACAGAGTGTTTCCTAACTGCTCTATGAACAGAAAGGTTAAACTCTGTGAGTTGAACGAACACATCACAACGCAGTTTGTGGGAATGATTCTGTCTAGTTTTGAAACGAAGATATTCCCTTTTCTGCCATTGACCTTAAAGCGCTTGAAATCTCCATTTGCCAATTGCACAAAAAGAGTGTTTCAAATCTGCTCTGTCTAAGGGAACGTTCAACTCTGTGAGTTGAATGTACACAACACAAGGAAGTTACTGGGAATTCTTCTGTCTAGCCTTACATGAAAAAAACCCGTTTCCAACGAAGGCCTCTAAGTGGGCAAAATATCCACGTGCAGACTTTACAAACAGAGTGTTTCCAAACCGCTGAATGAAAAGAAAAGTTAAACTCTGAGAGTTGAACGCACACATCACGCAGCAGTTTCTGAGAATGATTCTGTCTAATTTTTATACGAAGATATTTCCTTTTCTGCCTTTGGCCCCAAAGCGCTTGAAATCTCCACTTGCAAATTCCACAAAAACAGTGTTTCAAATCTGCTCTCTCTAAATGAAAGTTCAACTCTGTCAGTTGAATACACACAACACAAGGAAGTTACTGAGAATTCTTCTGTCTAGCACAGTATGAAGAAACCCGTTTCCAAGGAAAGGCCTCAAAGAGGTCTGAATATCCACTTGCAGAGTTTAAAAACACAGTGTTTCCTAACTGCTCTATGAAAAGAAAGGTTAAACTCTGTGAGTTGAACACACACATCACAAAGAAGTTTCTGAGAATCATTCTGTCTAGTTTTTATACGAAGATATTTCCTTTTCTGCCTTTGGCCTCAAAGCGCTTGAAATCTCCACTTGCAAATTCCACAAAAAGAGTGTTTCAAGTCTGCTCTGTGTAAAGGATCGTTCAACTCTGTGAGTTGAATACACACAACACAAGGAAGTTACTGAGAATTCTTCTGTCTAGCATAGTATGAAGAAATCCCGTTTCCAACGAAGGCCCCAAAGAGGTCTGAATATCCACTTGCAGAGTTTACAAACAGAGTGTTTCCTAACTGCTCTATGAAAAATAAGGTTAAACTCTGTGAGTTGAACGCACACATCACAAAGAAGTTTCTGAGAATCATTCTGTCTAGTTTTGAAACGAAGATATTTTCTTTTCTGCAATTGACCTTAAAGCGCTTGACATCTCCATTTGCCAATTGCACAAAAAGAGTGTTACAAGTCTGCTCTGTGTAAAGGATCGTTCAACTCTGTGAGATGAATACACACAACAGAAGGAAGTTACTGAGAATTCTTCTGTCTAGCCTTACATGAAAAAAACCCGTTTCCAACGAAGGCCTCTAAGTGGTCAAGTTATCCACGTGCAGACTTTACAAACAGAGTGTTTCCAAACTGCTGAATGAAAAGAGAAGTTAAACTCTGAGAGTTGAACGCACACATCGCAGAGCAGTTTCGGAGAATGATTCTGTGTAGTTTTTATACGAAGATATTTCCTTTTCTGCCTTTGGCCCCAAAGCGCTTGAAATCTCCAATTGCAAATTCCACAAAAACAGTGTTTCAAATCTGCTCTCTCTAAATGAAAGTTCAACTGCTGTCAGTTGAATACACACAACACAAGGAAGTTACTGAGAATTCTTCTGTCTAGCATAATATGAAGAAATCCCGTTTCCAACGAAGGCCTCAAGGAGGTCTGAATATCCACTTGCAGAGTTTACAAACGGAGTGTTTCCCAACTGCTCTATGAAAAGAAAGGTTAAACTCTGTGAGTTGTACGCACACATCACAAAGGAGTTTCTCAGAATCATTCTGTCTAGTTTCTATAGAAAGATATTTCCTATTCTACCATTGACCTCAAAGCGGCTGAAATCTCCACTTGCAAATTCCAGAAAAAGAGTGTTTCAAGTCTGCTCTGTGTAAAGGATCGTTCAACTCTGTGAGTTGAATACACACAACACAAGGAAGTTACTGAGAATTCTTCTGTCTAGGAGAATATGAAGAAATCCCGTTTCCAACGAAGGCCACAAGATGTCAGAATATCCACTTACAGAATTGACAAACAGACTGTTTCCTAACTGCTCTATGAAAAGAAAGGTTAAACTCTGTGAGTTGAACGCACACATCACAACGCAGTTTGTGGGAATGATTCTGTCTAGTTTTGAAACGAAGATATTTCCTTTTCTGCCATTGACCTTAAAGCGCTTGAAATCTACACTTGCAAATTGCACAAATAGAGTGTTTCAAATCTGCTCTGTCTAAGGGAACGTTCAACTCTGTGAGTTGAATGCACACAATACAAGGAAATTACTGGGAATTCTTCTGTCTAGCCTTACATGAAAAAAACCCGTTTCCAACGAAGGCCTCTAAGTGGTCAAAATATCCACGTGCAGACTTTACAAACAGAGTGTTTCCAAACTGCTGAATGAAAAGAAAAGTTAAACTCTGAGAGTTGAACGCACACATCACAGAGCAGTTTCTGAGAATGATTCTGTCTAGTTTTTATACGAAGATATTTCCTTTTCTGCCTTTGGCCTCAAAGCGCTTGAAATCTCCACTTGCAAATTCCGGAAAAAGAGTGTTTCAAATCTGCTCTGTCTAAATGAAAGTTCAACTCTGTCAGTTGAATACACACAACACAAGGAAGTTACTGAGAATTCTTCTGTCTAGCATAATATGAAGAAATCCCGTTTCCAACGAAGACCTCAAAGAGGTCTGAATATCCACTTGCAGACTTTACAAACAGAGTGTTTCCTAACTGCTCTATGAGAAGAAAAGTTAAACTCTGTGAGTTGAACGCACACATCACAAAGGAGTTTCTGAGAATCATTCTGTCTAGTTTTTATACGAAGATATTTCCTTTTCTACCATTGACCTCAAAGCGGCTGAAATCTCCACTTGCAAATTCCAGAAAAAGAGTGTTTCAAGTCTACTCTGTGTAAAGCATCGTTTAACTCTGTGAGTTGAAGACACACAACACAAGGAAGTTTCTGACAATTCTTCTGTCTAGCAGAATATGAAGAAATCCCGTTTCCAACGAAGGCCACAAGATGTCTGAATATCCACTTACAGACTTTACAAACAGAGTGTTTCCTAACTGCTCTATGAACAGAAAGGTTAAACTCTGTGAGTTGAACGAACACATCACAACGCAGTTTGTGGGAATGATTCTGTCTAGTTTTGAAACGAAGATATTTCCTTTTCTGCCGTTGACCTTAAAGCGCTTGAAATCTACACTTGCAAATTGCACAAATAGAGTGTTTCAAATCTGCTCTGTCTAAGGGAACGTTCAACTCTGTGAGTTGAATGCACACAACACAAGGAAGTTACTGGGAATTCTCCTGTCTACCCTTATATGAAAAAAACCCGTTTCCAACGAAGGCCTCTAAGTGGTCAAAATATCCACGTGCAGACTTTACAAACAGAGTGTTTCTGAACTGCTGAATGAAAAGAAAAGTTAAACTCTGAGAGTTGAACGCACACATCACAGAGGATTTTCTGAGAATGATTCTGTCTAGTTTTTATAGGAAGATATTTCCTTTTCTACATTTGACTTCAAAGCGGCTGAAATCTCCACTTGCAAATTCCACAAAAAGAGTGTTCCAAGTCTGCTCTGTGTAAAGGATCGTTCAACTGTGTGAGTTGAATACACACAACACAAGGAAGATTCTGAGAATTCTTCTGTCTAGCACAGTATGAAGAAATCCCGTTTCCAACGAAGGCCTCAAAGAGGTCTGAATGTCCACTTGCAGAGTTTACAAACAGAGTGTTTCCTAACTGCTCTATGAAAAGAAAGGTTAAACTCTGTGAGTTGAACGCACACATCACAAAGAAGTTTCTGAGAATCATTCTGTCTAGTTTCTATAGGAAGATATTTCCTATTCTACCATTGACCACAAAGCGGCTGAAATCTCCACTTGCAAATTCCACAAAAAGAATGTTTCAAGTCTGCTCTGTGTAAAGGATCGTTCAACTCTGTGAGTTGAATACACACAACACAAGGAAGTTACTGAGAATTCTTCTGTCTAGCAGAATATGAAGAAATCCCGTTTCCAACGAATGCCACAAGATGTCAGAATATCCACTTACAGAATTGACAAACAGACTCTTTCCTAACTGCTCTATGAAAAGAAAGGTTAAACTCTGTGAGTTGAACGAACACATCACAACGCTGTTTGTGGGAATGATTCTGTCTAGTTTTGAAACGAAGATATTTCCTTTTCTGCCATTGACCTTAAAGCGCTTGAAATCTACACTTGCAAATTGCACAAATAGAGTGTTTCAAATCTGCTCTGTCTAAGGGAACGTTCAACTCTGTGAGTTGAAAGCACACAACACAAGGAAGTTACTGGGAATTCTTCTGTCTAGCCTTACAGGAAAAAAACCCGTTTCCAACGAAGGCCTGTAAGTGGTCAAAATATCCACGTGCAGACTTTACAAACAGAGTGTTTCCAAACTGCTGAATGAAAAGAAAAGTTAAACTCTGAGAGTTGAACGCACACATCGCAGAGCAGTTTCTGAGAATGATTCTGTCTAGTTTTTATACGAAGATATTTCCTTTTCTGCCTTTGGCCTCAAAGCGCTTGAAATCTCCACTTGCAAATTCCACAAAAAGAGTGTTTCAAATATGCTCTTTGTAAATGAAAGTTCAACTCTGTGAGTTGAACACACACAACACAAGGAAGTTACTGGGAATTCTTCTGTCTAGCAGAATATGAAGAAATCCCGTTTCCAACGAAGGCCTCAAAGAGGTCTGAATATCCACTTGCAGACTTTACAAATAGAGTGTTTCCTAACTGCTCTATGAACAGAAAGGTTAAACTCTGTGAGTTGAACGCACACATCACAAAGGAGTTTCTGAGAATCGTTTGTCTAGTTTCTATAGGAAGATATTTCCTATTCTACCATTGACCTCAAAGCGGCTGAAATCTCCACTTGCAAATTCCACAAAAAGAGTGTTTCAAGTCTGCTCTGTGTAAAGGATCGTTCAACTCTGTGAGTTGAATACACACAACACAAGGAAGTTACTGAGAATTCTTCTGTCTAGCAGAATATGAAGAAATCCCGTTTCCAACGAAGGGCCACAAGATGTCAGAATATCCACTTACAGACTTTACAAACAGAGTGTTTCCTAACTGCTCTATGAACAGAAAGGTTAAACTCTGTGAGTTGAACGAATACATCACAACGCAGTTTGTGGGAATGATTCTGTCTAGTTTTGAAACCAAGATATTTCCTTTTCTGCCGTTGACCTTAAAGAGCTTGAAAACTACACTTGCAAATTGCACAAATAGAGTGTTTCAAATCTGCTCTGTCTAAGGGAACGTTCAACTCTGTGAGTTGAATGCACACAACACAAGGAAGTTACTGGGAATTCTTCTGTCTAGCCTTACATGAAAAAAACCCGTTTCCAACGAAGGCCTCTAAGTGGGCAAAATATCCATGTGCAGACTTTACAAACAGAGTGTTTCCAAACCGCTGAATGAAAAGAAAAGTTAAACTCTGAGAGTTGAACGCACACATCACGCAGCAGTTTCTGAGAATGATTCTGTCTAGTTGTTATACGAAGATATTTTCCTTTTCTGCCTTTAGCCTCAAAGCGCTTGAAATCTCCACTTGCAAATTCCACAAAAAGAGTGTTTCAAATCTGCTCTGTGTAAAGGATCGTTCAACTCTGTGAGTTGAATACACACAACACAAGGAAGATTCTGAGAATTTTTCTGTCTAGCAGAATATGAAGAAATCCCGTTTCCAAAGAAGGCCTCAAGGAGGTCTGAATATCCACTTGCAGACTTTACAAACAGAGTGTTTCCTAATTGCTCTATGAAAAGAAAGGTTAAAGTGTGTGAGTTGAACGCACACATCACAAAGGAGTTTCTCAGAATCATTCTCTCTAGTTTTTATACGAAGATATTTCCTTTTCTACCATTGACCTCAAAGCGGCTGAAATCTCCACTTGCAAATTCCACAAAAAGAGTGTTTCAAATCTGCTCTGTGTAAACCATCGTTCAACTGTGTGAGTTGAATACACACAACACAAGGAAGATTCTGAGAATTCTTCTGTCTAGCAGAATATGAAGAAATCCCGTTTCCAACGAAGGCCACAAGATGTCAGAATATCCACTTACAGAATTTACAAACAGAATGTTTCCTAACTGCTCTATGAAAAGAAAGGTTAAACTCTGTGAGATGAACGAACACATCACAACGCAGTTTGTGGGAATGATTCTGTCTAGTTTTGAAACGAAGGTATTTCCTTTTCTGCCATTGACCTTAAAGCGCTTGAAATCTACACTTGCAAATTGCACAAATAGAGTGTTTCAAATCTGCTCTGTCTAAGGGAACGTTCAACTCTGTGAGTTGAATGCACACAACACAAGGAAGTTACTGGGAATTCTTCTGTCTAGCCTTACATGAAAAAAACCCGTTTCCAACGAAGGCCTCTAAGTGGTCAAAATTTCCACGTGCAGACTTTACAAACAGAGTGTTTCCAAACCGCTGAATGAAAAGAAAAGTTAAACTCTGAGAGTTGAACACACACATCACGCTGCAGTTTCTGAGAATGATTCTGTCTAGTTTTGAAACGAAGATATTTCCTTTTCTGCCTTTGGCCTCAAAGCGCTTGAAATCTCCACTTGCAAATTCCACAAAAAGAGTGTTTCAAATCTGCTCTGTGTAAATGAAAGTTCAACTCTGTGAGTTGAACACACACAACACAAGGAAGGTACTGGGAATTCTTCTTTCTAGCAGAATATGAAGAAATCCTGTTTCCAACGAAAGCCTCAAGGATGTCTGAATATCCACTTGCAGACTTTACAAACAGAGTGTTTCCCAACTGCTCTATGAAAAGAAAGGTTAAACTCTGTGAGTTGAACGCACACATCACAAAGGAGTTTCTGAGAATCATTCTGTCTAGTCTTTATACGAAGATATTTCCTTTTCTACCATTGACCTCAAAAGGGCTGAAATCTCCACTTGCAAATTCCACAAAAAGAGTGTTTCAAGTCTGCTCTGTGTAAAAGATCGTTCAACTCTGTGAGTTGAATACACACAACACAAGGAAGTTACTGAGAATTCTTCTTTCTAGCAGAATATGAAGAAATCCCGTTTCCAACGAAGGCCACAAGATGTCAGAATATCCACTTACAGAATTGACAAACAGACTGTTTCCTAACTGCTCTATGAAAAGAAAGGTTAAACTCTGTGAGTTGAACGAACACATCACAACGCAGTTTGTGGGAATGATTCTGTCTAGTTTTGAAACGAAGATATTTCCTTTTCTGCCATTGACCTTAAAGCGCTTGAAATCTACACTTGCAAATTGCACAAATAGAGTGTTTCAAATCTGCTCTGTCTAAGGTAACGTTCAACTCTGTGAGTTGAATGCACACAACACAAGGAAGTTACTGGGAATTCTTCTGTCTAGCCTTACATGAAAAAAACCCGTTTCCAACGAAGGCCTCTAAGTGGTCAAAATATCCACGTGCAGACTTTACAAACAGAGTGTTTCCAAACCGCTGAATGAAAAGAAAAGTTAAACTCTGAGAGTTGAACGCACACATCACGCAGCAGTTTCTGAGAATGATTCTGTCTACTTTTTATACGAAGATATTTCCTTTTCTGCCTTTGGCCCCAAAGCGCTTGAAATCTCCACTTGCAATTTCCACAAAAACAGTGTTTCAAATCTGCTCTCTCTAAATGAAAGTTCAATTCTGTCAGTTGAATACACACAACACAAGGAAGTTACTGAGAATTCTTCTTTCTAGCAGAATATGAAGAAATCCCGTTTCCAACAAAAGCCTCAAGGATGTCTGAATATCCACTTGCAGACTGTACAAACAGAGTGTTTCCTAACTGCTCTATGAAAAGAAAGGTTAAACTCTGTGAGTTGAACGCACACATCACAAAGGAGTTTCTGAGAATCATTCTGTCTAGTTTCTATAGGAAGATATTTCCTATTCTACCATTGACCTCAAAGCGGCTGAAATCTCCACTTGCAAATTCCACAAAAACAGTGTTTCAAGTCTGCTCTGTGTAAAGGATCGTTCAACTCTGTGAGTTGAATACACACAACACAAGGAAGTTACTGAGAATTCTTTTGTCTAGCATAATATGAAGAAATCCCGTTTCCACCGAAGGCCTCAAGGAGGTCTGAATATCCACTTGCAGACTTTACAAACAGAGTGTTTCCTAACTGCTCTATGAACAGAAAGGTTAAACTCTGTGAGTTGAACGCACACATCACAAAGGAGTTTCTGAGAATCATTCTGTCTATTCTTTATGCGAAGATATTTCCTTTTCTACCATTGACCTCAAAGCGGCTGAAATCTCCACTTGCAAATTCCACAAAAAGAGTGTTTCAAGTCTGCTTTGTGTAAAGGATCGTACACCTCTGTGAGTTGAATACACACCACACAAGGAAGTTACTGAGAATTCTTCTGTCTAACCTTACATGAAAAAAACCCGTTTCCAACGAAGGCCTCTAAGTGGTCAAAATATCCACGTGCAGACTTTACAAACAGAGTGTTTCCAAACCGCTGAATGAAAAGAAAAGTTAAACTCTGAGAGTTGAACGCACACATCACGCAGCAGTTTCTGAGAATGATTCTGTCTAGTTTTTATACGAAGATATTTCGTTTTCTGCCTTTGGCCACAAAGCGCTTGAAATCTCCACTTGCAAATTCCACAAAAACAGTGTTTCAATCTGCTCTCTCTAAATGAAAGTTCAACTCTGTCAGTTGAATACACACAACACAAGGAAGTTACTGAGAATTCTTCTGTCTAGCAGAATATGAAGAAATCCCGTTTCCAACGAAGGCCTCAAAGAGGTCTGAATATCCACTTGCAGACTTTACAAACAGAGTGTTTCCTAACTGCTCTATGAAAAGAAAAGTTAAACTCTGTGAGTTGAACGCACACATCACAAAGGATTTTCTGAGAATCATTCTGTCTAGTTTTTATAGGAAGATATTTCCTTTTCTACCTTTGACTTCAAAGCGGCTGAAATCTCCACTTGCAAATTCCACAAAAAGAGTGTTACAAGTCTGCTCTGTGTAAAGGGATCGTTCAACTCTGTGAGTTGAATACACACAACACAAGGAAGTTACTGAGAATTCTTCTGTCTAGCAGAATATGGAGAAATCCCGTTTCCAACGAAGGCCTCTAGGAGGTCTGAATATCCACTTGCAGACTTTACAAACAGAGTGTTTCCTAACTGCTCTATGAACAGAAAGGTTAAACTCTGTGAGTTGAACGAACACATCACAACGCAGTTTGTGGGAATGATTCTGTCTAGTTTTGAAACGAAGATATTTCCTTTTCTGCCATTGACCTTAAAGCGCTTGAAATCTCCATTTGCCAATTGCACAAAAAGAGTGTTTCAAATCTGCTCTGTCTAAGGGAACGTTCAACTCTGTGAGTTGAATGTACACAATACAAGGAAGTTACTGGGAATTCTTCTGTCTAGCCTTACAGGAAAAAAAACCGTTTCCAACGAAGGCCTCTAAGTGGTCAAAATATCCACGTGCAGACTTTACAAACAGAGTGTTTCCAAACTGCTGAATGAAAGAAAAGTTAAACTCTGAGAGTTTAACGCACACATCGCAGAGCAGTTTCTGAGAATGATTCTGTCTAGTTTTTATGCGAAGATATTTCCTTTTCTGCCTTTGGCCTCAAAGCGCTTGAAATCTCCACTTGCAAATTCCACAAAAAGAGTGTTTCAAATCTGCTCTGTGTAAATGAAAGTTCAACTCTGTGAGTTGAACACACACAACACAAGGAAGTTACTGGGAATTCTTCTGTCTAGCCTTATATGAAAAAAACCCGTTTCCAACGAAGGCCTCAAAGAGGGCTGAATATCCACTTGCAGACTTTACAAGCAGAGTGTTTCCTAACTGCTCTATGAAAAGAAAGGTTAAACTCTGTGAGTTGAATGCACACATCATAAAGGAGTTTCTGAGAATCATTCTGTCTAGTCTTTATAGGAAGATATTTACTTTTCTACCATTGACCTCAAAGCGGCTGAAATCTCCACTTGCAAATTCCACAAAAAGAGTGTTTCAAGTCTGCTCTGTGTAAAGGACCATTCAACTCTGTGAGTTGAATAAACACAACACAAGGAAGTTACTGAGAATTCTTCTGTCTAGCAGAATATGAAGAAATCCCGTTTCCAACGAAGGCCACAGGATGTCAGAATATCCACTTACAGAATTTACAAACAGACTGTTTCCTAACTGCTCTATGAAAAGAAAGGTTAAACTCTGTGAGTTGAACGAACACATCACAACGCAGTTTGTGGGAATGATTCTGTCTAGTTTTGAAACGAAGATATTTCCTTTTCTGCCGTTGACCTTAAAGCACTTGAAATCTACACTTGCAAATTGCACAAATAGAGTGTTTCAAATCTGCTCTGTCTAAGGGAACGTTCAACTCTGTGAGTTGAATGCACACAACACAAGGAAGTTACTGGGAATTCTTCTGTCTAGCCTTACATGAAAAAAAACCCGTTTCCAACGAAGGCCTCTAAGTGGTCAAAATATCCACGTGCAGACTTTACAAACAGAGTGTTTCCAAACCGCTGAATGAAAAGAAAAGTTAAACTCTGAGAGTTGAACGCACACATCACGCAGCAGTTTCTGAGAATGATTCTGTCTAGTTTTTATACGAAGATATTTCCTTTTCTGCCTTTGGCCCCAATGCGCTTGAAATCTCCACTGGCAAATTCCACAAAAACAGTGTTTCAAATCTGCTCTCTCTAAATGAAAGTTCAACTCTGTCAGTTGAATACACACAACACAAGGAAGTTACTGAGAATTCTTCTGTCTAGCAGAATATGAAGAAATCCCGTTTCCAACGAAAGCCTCAAAGGTGTCTGAATATCCACTTGCAGACTTTACAAACAGAGTGTTTACTAACTGTTCTATGAAAAGAAAGGTTAAACTCTGTGAGTTGAACGCACACAGCACAAAGGAGTTTCTGAGAATCATTCTGTCTAGTGTTTATAGGAAGATATTTCCTTTTCTACCTTTGACTTCAAAGCGGCTGAAATCTCCACTTGCAAATTCCACAAAAAGAGTGTTACAAGTCTGCTCTGTGTAAAGGATCGTTCAACTCTGTGAGTTGAATACACACAACACAAGGAAGTTACTGAGAATTCTTCTGTCTATCCTTACATGAAAAAAACCCGTTTCCAACGAAGACCTCTAAGTGGTCAAATTATCCACGTGCAGACTTTACAAACAGAGTGTTTCCAAACTGCTGAATGAAAAGAAAAGTTAAACTCTGAGAGTTGAACGCACACATCGCAGAGCAGTTTCTGAGAATGATTCTGTCTAGTTTTGAAACGAAGATATTTCCTTTTCTGCCATTGACCTTAAAACGCTTGAAATCTACAATTGCAAATTGCACAAATAGAGTGTTTCAAATCTGCTCTGTCTAAGGGAACGTTCAACTCTGTGAGTTGAATGCACACAACACAAGGAAAGTTACTGGGAATTCTTCTGTCTAGCCTTACATGAAAAAAACCCGTTTCCAACGAAGGCGTCTAAGTGGTCAAAATATCCACGTGCAGACTTTACAAACAGAGTGTTTCCAAACCGCTGAATGAAAAGAAAAGTTAAACTCTGAGAGTTGAACGCACACATCACGCAGCAGTTTCTGAGAATGATTCTGTCTACTTTCTATAGGAAGATATTTCCTATTCTACCATTGACCTCAAAGCGGCTGAAATCTCCACTTGCAAATTCCACAAAAGGAGTGTTTCAAGTCTGCTCTGTGTAAAGGATCGTTCAACTCTGTGAGTTGAAAACACACAACACAAGAAAGTTTCTGAGAATTCTTCTGTCTAGCAGAACATGAAGAAATCCCGCTTCCAACGAAGGCCTCAAGGAGGTCTGAATATCCACTTGCAGACTTTACAAACAGAGTGTTTCCTAACTGCTCTATGAAAAGAAAGGTTAAACTCTGTGAGTTGAACGCACACATCACAAAGAAGTTTCTGAGAATCATTCTGTCTAGTTTCTATAGGAAGATATTTCCTATTCTACCATTGACCTCAAAGCGGCTGAAATCTCCACTTGCAAATTCCACAAAAAGAGTGTTTCAAGTCTGCTCTGTGTAAAGGATCGTGCAACTCTGTGAGTTGAATACACACAACACAAGGCAGTTACTGAGAATTCTTCTGTCTAGCAGAATATGAAGAAATCCCGCTTCCAACGAAGGCCTCAAAGTCTGAATATCCACTTGCAGACTTTACAAACAGAGTGTTTCCCAACTGCTCTATGAAAGGAAAGGTTGAACTCTGTGAGTTGAACGCACACATCACAAAGGAGTTTCTGAGAATCATTCTGTCTAGTTTTTATACGAAGATATTTCCTTTTCTACCATTGACCTCAAAGCTGCTGAAATCACCACTTGCCAATTGCACAAAAAGAGTGTTTCAAATCTGCTCTGTCTAAGGGAACGTTCAACTCTGTGAGTTGAATGTACACAACACAAGGAAGTTCCTGGGAATTCTTCTCTCTAGCCTTACAGGAAAAAAACCCGTTTCCAACGAAGGCCTCTAAGTGGTCAAAATATCCACGTGCAGACTTTACAAACAGAGTGTTTCCAAACTGCTGAATGAAAAGAAAAGTTAAACTCTGAGAGTTGAACGCACACATCGCAGAGCAGTTTCTGAGAATGATTCTGTCTAGTTTTTATACGAAGATATTTCCTTTTCTACCATTGACCTCAAAGCGGCTGAAATCTCCTCTTGCAGTTCCACAAAAAGAGTGTTTCCAATCTGCTCTGTGTAAAGGATCGTTCAACTCTGTGAGTTGAATGCACACAACACAAGGAAGTTACTGAGAATTCTTCTGTCTAGCAAAATATGAAGAAATCCCGTTTCCAACGAAGGCCGCTAAGAGGTCTGAATATCCACTTGCAGACTTTAGAAACAGAGTGTTTCCTAATTGCTCTATTAAAAGAAAGGTTAAACTCTGTGAGTTGAACGCACACATCAAAAAGGAGTTTCTGAGAATCATTCTGTCTAGTCTTTATACGAAGATATTTCCTTTTCTACCATTGACCTCAAAGCGGCTGAAATCTCCACTTGCAAATTCCACAAAAAGAGTGTTTCAAGTCTGCTCTGTGTAAAGGATCGTTCAACTCTGTGAGTTGAATACACACAACACAAGGAAGTTACTGAGAATTATTCTGTCTAGCAGAATATGAAGAAATCCCGTTTCCAAAGAAGGCCTCAAGGAGGTCTGAATATCCACTTGCAGACTTTACAAACAGTGTGTTTCCTAACTGCTCCATGAAAAGAAAGGTTAAACTCTGTGAGTTGAACGCACACATCACAAAGGAGTTTCTGAGAATCATTCTGTCTAGTTTTTATAGGAAGATATTTCCTTTTCTACTTTAACTTCAAAGCGGCTGAAATCTCCACTTGCAAATTCCACAAAAAGAGTGTTACAAGTCTGCTCTCTGTAAAGGATCGTTCAACTGTGTGAGTTGAATACACACAACACAAGGAAGTTACTGAGAACTCTTCTGTCTAGCCTTACATGAAAAAAACCCGTTTCCAACGAAGGCCTCTAAGTGGTCAAATTATCCACGTGCAGACTTTACAAACAGAGTGTTTCCAAACTGCTGAATGAAAAGCAAAGTTAAACTCTGAGAGTTGAACGCACACATCGCAGAGCACTTTCTGAGAATGATTCTGTCTAGTTTTGAAACGAAGATATTTCCTTTTCTGCCTTTGGCCTCAAAGCGCTTGAAATCTCCACTTTCAAATTCCACAAAAAGAGTGTTTCAAATCTGCTCTGGGTAAATGAAAGTTTAACTCTGTGAGTTGAACACACACAACACAAGGAAGTTACTGGGAATTCTTCTGTCTAGCAGAATATGAAGAAATCCCGTTTCCAACGAAGGCCTCAAGGAGGTCTGAATATCCACTTGCAGACTTTACAAACAGAGTGTTTCCCAACTGCTCTATGAAAAGAAAGGTTGAACTCTGTGAGTTGAACGCACACATCACAAAGGAGTTTCTGAGAATCATTCTGTCTAGTCTGTATAAGAAGATATTTCCTTTTCTACCATTGACCTCAAAGCGGCTGAAATCTCCACTTGCAAATTCCACAAAAAGAGTGTTTCAAGTCCGCTCTGGGTAAAGGATCGTTCAACTCTGTGAGTTGAATACACGCAACACAAGGAAGTTACTGAGAATTCTTCTGTCTAGCAGAATATGAAGAAATCCCGTTTCCAACGAAGGCCACAAGATGTCAGAATATCCACTTACAAAATTTACAAACAGACTGTTTCCTAACTGCTCTATGAAAAGAAAGGTTAAACTCTGTGAGTTGAACGAACACATCACAACGCAGTTTGTGGGAATGATTCTGTCTAGTTTTGAAAGGAAGATATTTCCTTTTCTGCCGTTGACCTTAAAGCGCTTGAAATCTACACTTGCAAATTGCACAAATAGGATGTTTCAAATCTGCTCTGTCTAAGGGAACGTTCAACTCTGTGAGTTGAATGCACACAACACAAGGAAGTTACTGGGAATTCTTCTGTCTAGCCTTACAGGAAAAAAACCCGTTTCCAACGAAGGCCTCTAAGTGGTCAAAGTATCCACGTGCAGACTTTACAAACAGAGTGTTTCCAAACTGCTGAATGAAAAGAAAAGTTAAACTCTGAGAGTTGAACGCACACATCGCAGAGCAGTTTCTGAGAATGATTCTGTCTAGTTTCTATAGGAAGATATTTCCTATTCTACCATTGAACCCAAAGCGGCTGAAATCTCCACTTGCAAATTCCACAAAAAGTGTGTTTCAAGTCTGCTCTGTGTAAAGGATCGTTCAACTCTGTGAGTTGAATACACACAACACAAGGAAGTTACTGAGAATTCTTCTGTCTAGCATAATAGGAAGAAATCCCGTTTCCAACGAAGGCCTCAAGGAGGTCTGAATATCCACTTACAGACTTTACAAACAGAGTGTTTCCTAACTGCTCTATGAAAAGAAAGGTTAAACTCTGTGAGTTGAACGCACACATCACAAAGGAGTTTCTGAGAATCATTCTGTCTAGTTTCTATAGGAAGATATTTCCTATTCTACCATTGACCTCAAAGCGGCTGAAATCTCCACTTACAAATTCCACAAAAAGAGTGTTTCAAGTCTGCTCTGTGTAAAGGATCGTTCAACTCTGTGAGTTGAATACACACAACACAAGGGAAGTTACTGAGAATTATTCTGTCTAGCAGAATATGAAGAAATCCCGTTTCCAACGAAGGCCACAAGATGTCAGAATATCCACTTACAGAATTGACAAACAGACTGTTTCCTAACTGCTCTAAGAAAAGAAAGGTTAAACTCTGTGAGTTGAACGAACACATCACAACGCAGTTTGTGGGAATGATTCTGTCTAGTTTTGAAACGAAGATATTTCCTTTTCTGCCATTGACCTTAAAGCGATTGAAATCTCCATTTGCCAATTGCACAAAAAGAGTGTTTCAAATCTGCTCTGTCTAAGGGAACGTTCAACTCTGTGAGTTGAATGTACACAACACAAGGAAGTTACTGGGAATTCTTCTGTCTAGCCTTACAGGAAAAAAACCCGTTTCCAACGAAGTCCTCTAAGTGGTCAAGTTATCCACGTGCAGACTTTACAAACAGAGTGTTTCCAAACTGCTGAATGAAAAGAAAAGTTAAACTCTGAGAGTTGAACGCACCCATCGCAGAGCAGTTTCTGAGAATGATTCTGTCTAGTTTTGAAACGAAGATATTTCCTTTTCTGCCTTTGGCCTCAAAGCGCTTGAAATCTCCACTTGCAAATTCCACAAAAAGAGTGTTACAAATCTGCTCTGTGTAAAGGATCGTTCAACTCTGTGAGTTGAATACACACAACACAAGGAAGTTACTGAGAATTACTCTGTCTAGCAGAATATGAAGAAATCCCGTTTCCAACGAAGGCCTCAAGGAGGTCTGAATATCCACTTGCAGACTTTACAAACAGAGTGTTTCCTAACAGCTCTATGAACAGAAACGTTAAACTCTGTGAGTTGAACGCACACATCACAAAGGAGTTTCTGAGAATCATTCTGTCTAGTCTTTATACGAAGATATTTCCTTTTCTACCATTGACCTCAAAGCGGCTGAAATCTCCACTTGCAAATTCCACAAAAAGAGTGTTTCAAGTCTGCTCTGTGTAAAGGATCGTTCAACTCTGTGAGTTGAATAGACACAACACAAGGAAGTTACTGAGAATTCTTCTGTCTAGCAGAATATGAAGAAATCCCGTTTCCAACGAAGGCCACAAGATGTCAGAATATCCACTTACAGACTTTACAAACAGAGTTTTTCCTAACTGCTCTATGAACAGAAAGGTTAAACTCTGTGAGTTGAACGAACACGTCACAACGCAGTTTGTGGGAATGATTCTGTCTAGTTTTGAAACGAAGATATTTTCTTTTCTGCCTTTGACCTTAAAGCGCTTGAAATCTCCACTTGCCAATTGTACAAAAAGAGTGTTTCAAATCTGCTCTGTCTAAGGGAACGTTCAACTCTGTGAGTTGAATGTACACAACACAAGGAAGTTACTGGGAATTCTTCTGTCTAGCCTTACATGAAAAAAACCCGTTTCCAACGAAGGCCTCTAAGTGGTCAAAATTTCCACGTGCAGACTTTACAAACAGAGTGTTTCCAAACTGCTGAATGAAAAGAAAAGTTAAACTCTGAGAGTTGAACGCACACATCACGCAGCAGTTTCTGAGAATGATTCTGTGTAGTTTTTATACGAAGATATTTCCTTTTCTGCCTTTGGCCTCAAAGCGCTTGAAATCTCCACTTGCAAATTCCACAAAAAGAGTGTTTCAAATCTGCTCTATGTAAATGAAAGTTCAACTCTGTGAGTTGAACACACACATCACAAGGAAGTTACTGGGAATTCTTCTGTCTAGCCTTATATGAAAAAAACCCGTTTCCAACGAAGGCCTCAAAAAGGTCTGAATATCCTCTTGCAGACTTTACAAACAGAGTGTTTGCTAACTGCTCTATGAAAAGAAAGGTTAAACCCTGTGAGTTGGACACACACATCACTAAGGAGTTTCTGAGAATCATTCTGTCTAGTTTCTATAGGAAGATGTTTCCTATTCTACCATTGACCTCAAAGCGGCTGAAATCTCCACTTGCAAATTCCACAACAAGAGTGTTTCAAGTATGCTCTGTGTAAAGGATCGTTCAACTCTGTGAGTTGAATACACACAACACAATGAAGTTACTGAGAATTCTTCTGTATAGCACAGTATGAAGAAATCCCGTTTCCAACGAAGGCCTCAAAGAGGTCTGAATATCCACTTGCAGACTTTACAAACAGAGTGTTTCCTAACTGCTCTATGAAAAGAAAGGTTAAACTCTGTGAGTTGAACGCACACTTCACAATGAAGTTTCTGAGAATCATTCTGTCTAGTTTTTATACGAAGATATTTCCTTTTCTACCATTGACCCCAAAGCGGCTGAAATCACCACTTGCCAATTGCACAAAAAGAGTGTTTCAAATCTGCTCTGTCTAAGGGAACGTTCAACTCTGTGAGTTGAATGTAGACAACACAAGGAAGTTACTGGGAATTCTTCTGTCTAGCTTTACAGGAAAAAAACCCGTTTCCAACGAAGGCCTCTAAGTGGTCAAAATATCCACGTGCAGACTTTACAAACAGAGTGTTTCCAAACTGCTGAATGAAAAGAAAAGTTAAACTCTGAGAGTTGAACGCACACATCGCAGAGCAGTTTCTGAGAATGATTCTGTCTAGTTTTTATACGAAGATATTTCCTTTTCTGCCTTTGGCCTCAAAGCGCTTGAAATCTCCATTTGCAAATTCCACAAAAAGAGTGTTTCCAATCTGCTCTGTGTAAATGAAAGTTCAACTCTGTGAGTTGAACACACACAACACAAGGAAGTTACTGGGAATTCTTCTGTCTAGCCTTATATGAAAAAAACCCGTTTCCAACGATGGCCTCAAAGAGGTCTGAATATCCACTTGCAGACTTTACAAACAGAGTGTTTCCTAACTGCTCTATGAAAAGAAAGGTTAAACTCTGTGAGTTGAACGCACACATCACAAAGGAGTTTCTGAGAATCTATCTGTCTAGTCTTTATACGAAGATATTTCCTTTTCTACCATTGACCTCAAAGCGGCTGAAATCTCCACTTGCAAATTCCACAAAAAGAGTGTTTCAAGTCTGCTCTGTGTAAAGGATCGTTCAACTCTGTGAGTTGAATACACAAAACACAAGGAAGTTAGTGAGAATTCTTCTGTCTAGCATAGCATGAAGAAATCCCGTTTGCAACGAAGGCCTCAAAGAGGTCTGAATATCCACTTGCAGAGTTTACAAACAGAGTGTTTCCTAACTGCTCTATGAAAAGAAAGGTTAAACTCTGTGAGTTGAACGCACACATCACAAAGAAGTTTCTGAGAATCATTCTGTCTAGTTTTTATAGGAAGTTATTTCCTTTTCTACCTTTGACTTCAAAGCGGCTGAAATCTCCACTTGCAAATTCCAGAAAAAGAGTGTTACAAGTCTGCTCTGTGTAAAGGATCGTTCAACTCTGTGAGTTGAATACACACAACACAAGGAAGTTACTGAGAATTCTTCTGTCTAGCCTTACAGGAAAAAAACCCGTTTCCAACGAAGGCCTCTAAGTGGTCAAAATATCCACGTGCAGACTTTACAAACAGAGTGTTTCCAAATTGCTGAATGAAAAGAAAAGTTAAACTCTGAGAGTTCAACGCACACATCGCAGAGCAGTTTCTGAGAATGATTCTGTCTAGTTTTTATACGAAGATATTTCCTTTCCTGCCTTTGGCCTCAAAGCGCTTGAAATCTCCACTTGCAAATTCCACAAAAAGAGTGTTTCAAATCTGCTCTGTGTAAATGAAAGTTCAACTCTGTGAGTTGAACACACACAACACAAGGAAGTTACTGGGAATTCTTCTGTCTAGCAGAATATGAAGAAATCCCGCTTCCAACGAAGGCCTCTAAGAAGTCTGAATATCCACTTGCAGACTTTACAAACAGAGTGTTTCCCAACTGCTCTATGAAAAGAAAGGTTGAACTCTGTGAGTTGAACGCACACATCACAAAGGAGTTTCTGAGAATCATTCTGTCTAGTTTCTATAGGAAGATATTTCCTATTCTACAATTGACCTCAAAGCGGCTGAAATCTCCACTTGCAAATTCCACAAAAAGAGTGTTTCAAGTCTGCTCTGTGTAAAGGATCGTTCAACTCTGTGAGTTGAATACACACAACACAAGGAAGTTACTGAGAATTCTTCTGTCTAGCATAATATGAAGAAATCCCGTTTCCAACGAAGGACTCAAGGAGGTCTGAATATCCACTTGCAGACTTTACAAACAGAGTGTTTCCTAACTGCTCTATGAAAAGAAAGGTTAAACTCTGTGAGTTGAACGCACACATCACAAAGGAGTTTCTGAGAATCATTCTGTCTAGTTTTGAAACGAAGATATTTCCTTTTCTGCCATTGACCTTAAAGCGCTTGAAATCTCCACTTGCCAATTGCACAAAAAGAGTGTTTCAAATCTGCTCTGTCTAAGGGAACGTTCAACTCTGTGAGTTGAATGTACACAACACAAGGAAGTTACTGGGAATTCTTCTGTCTAGCCTTACATGAAAAAAACCCGTTTCCAATGAAGGTCTCTAAGTGGTCAAAATTTCCACGTGCAGACTTTACAAACAGAGTGTTTCCAAACCGCTGAATGAAAAGAAAAGTTAAACTCTGAGAGTTGAACGCACACATCACGCAGCAGTTTCTGAGAATGATTCTGTCTAGTTTTGAAACGAAGATATTTCCTTTTCTGCCTTTGGGCTCAAAGCGCTTGAAATCTCCACTTGCAAATTCCACAAAAAGAGTGTTTCAAATCTGCTCTGGGTAAATGAAAGTTCAACTCTGTGAGTTGAACACACACAACACAAGGAAGTTACTGGGAATTCTTCTGTCTAGCAGAATATGAAGAAATCCCGCTTCCAACGAAGGCCTCAAAGAAGTCTGAATATCCACTTGCAGACATTACAAACAGAGTGTTTCCCAACTGCTCTATGAAAAGAAAGGTTGAACTCTGTGAGTTGAACGCACACATCACAAAGGAGTTTCTGAGAATCATTCTGTCTAGTCCTTATACGAAGATATTTACTTTTCTACCATTGACCTCAAAGCGGCTGAAATCTCCACTTGCAAATTCCACAAAAAGAGTGTTTCAAGTCTGCTCTGTGTAAAGGATCATTCAACTCTGTGAGTTGAATAAACACAACGCAAGGAAGTTACTGAGAATTCTTCTGTCTAGCAGAATATGAAGAAATCCCGTTTCCAACGAAGGCCACAAGATGTCAGAATATCCACTTACAGACATTACAAACAGAGTGTTTCCTAACTGCTCTATGAACAGAAAGGTTAAACTGCTGTGAGTTGAACGAACACATCACAACGCAGTTTGTGGGAATGATTCTGTCTAGTTCTGAAACGAAGATATTTCCTTTTCTGCCGTTGACCTTAAAGCGCTTGAAATCTACACTTGCAAATTGCACAAATAGAGTGTTTCAAATCTGCTCTGTCTCAGGGAACGTTCAACTCTGTGAGTTGAATGCACACAACACAAGGAAGTTACTGGGAATTCTTCTGTCTAGCCTTACATGAAAAAAACCCGTTTCCAACGAAGGCCTCTAAGTGGTCAAAATATCCACGTGCAGACTTTACAAACAGAGTGTTTCCAAACCGCTGAATGAAAAGAAAAGTTAAACTCTGAGAGTTGAACGCACACATCACGCAGCAGTTTCTGAGAATGATTCTGCCTAGTTTCTATAGGAAGATATTTCCTATTCTACCATTGACTTCAAAGCGGCTGAAATCTCCACTTGCAAATTCCACAAAAAGAGTGTTTCAAGTCTGCTCTGTGTAAAGGATCGTTCAACTCCGTGAGTTGAATACACACAACACAAGGAAGTTACTGAGAATTATTCTGTCTAGCATAATATGAAGAAATCCCGTTTCCAACGAAGGCCGCAAGGAGGTCTGAATATCCACTTGCAGATTTTACAAACAGAGTGTTTCCCAACTGCTCTATGAAAAGAAAGGTTAAACTGTGTGAGTTGAACGCACACATCACAAAGGAGTTTCTGAGAATCATTCTGTCTAGTTTTTATACGAAGATATTTCCTTTTCTACCATGGACCTCAAAGCGGCTGAAATCTCCACTTGCAAATTCCACAAAAAGAGTGTTTCAAGTCTGCTCTGTGTAAAGGATCGTTAAACTCTGTGAGTTGAATACACACAACACAAGGAAGATTCTGAGAATTCTTCTGTCTAGCAGAATATGAAGAAATCCCGTTTCCAACAAAGGCCACAAGATGTCAGAATATCCACTTACAGAATTGACAAACAGACTGTTTCCTAACTGCTCTATGAAAAGAAAGGTTAAACTCTGTGAGTTGAACGAACACATCACAACGCAGTTTGTGGGAATGATTCTGTCTAGTTTTGAAACGAAGATATTTCCTTTTCTGCCGTTGACCTTAAAGCGCTTGAAATCTACACTTGCAAATTGCACAAATAGAGTGTTTCAAATCTGCTCTGTCTAAGGGAACGTTCAACTCTGTGAGTTGAATGCACACAACACAAGGAAGTTACTGGGAATTCTTCTGTCTAGCCTTACTTGAAAAAAACCCGTTTCCAACGAAGGCCTCTAAGTGGTCAAATTATCCACGTGCAGACTTTACAAACAGAGTGTTTCCAAACTGCTGAATGAAAAGAAAAGTTAAACTCTGAGAGTTGAACGCACACATCACAGAGCAGTTTCTGAGAATCATTCTGTCTAGTTTTTATACTAAGATATTTCCTTTTCTGCCTTTGGCCTCAAAGCGCTTGAAATCTCCATTTGCAAATTCCACAAAAAGAGTGTTTCAAATCTGCTCTGTGTAAATGAAAGTTCAACTCTGTGAGTTGAACACACACAACACAAGGAAGTTACTGGGAATTCTTCTGTCTAGCAGAATATGAAGAAATCCAGTTTCCAACGAAGGCCTCAAAGAGGTCTGAATATCCACTTGCAGACTTTACAAACAGAGTGTTTCCTAACTGCTCTATGAAAAGAAAGGTTAAACTCTGTGAGTTGAACGCACACATCACAAAGGAGTTTATGAGAATCATTCTATCTAGTTTTTATACGAAGATATTTCCTTTTCTACCTTTGACTTCAAAGCGGCTGAAATCTCCACTTGCAAATTCCACAAAAAGAGTGTTTCAAGTCTGCTCTGTGTAAAGGGTCTTTCAACTCTGTGAGTTGAATACACACAACACAAGGAAGTTACTGAGAATTCTTCTGTCTAGCCTTACATGAAAAAAACCCGTTTCCAACGAAGGCCTCTAAGTGGTCAAATTATCCACGTGCAGACTTTACAAACAGAGTGTTTCCAAACTGCTGAATGAGAAGAAAATTTAAACTCTGAGAGTTGAACGCACACATCACAGAGCAGTTTCTGAGAATGATTCTGTCTAGTTTGAAACGAAGATATTTCCTTTTCTGCCATTGACCTTAAAGCGCTTGAAATCTCCACTTGCCAATTGCACAAAAAGAGTGTTTCAAATCTGCTCTGTCTAAGGGAACGTTCAACTCTGTGAGTTGAATGTACACAACACAAGGAAGTTACTGGGAATTCTTCTGTCTAGCCTTACAGGAAAAAAACACGTTTCCAACGAAGGCCTCTAAGTGGTCAAAATATCCACGTGCAGACTTTACAAACAGAGTGTTTCCAAACTGCTGAATGAAAAGCAAAGTTAAACTCTGAGAGTTGAACGCACACATCGCAGAGCAGTTTCTGAGAATGATTCTGTCTAGTTTTTATACGAAGATATTTCGTTTTCTGCCTTTGGCCCCAAAGCGCTTGAAATCTCCACTTGCAAATTCCACAAAAACAGTGTTTCAAATCTGCTCTCTCTAAATGAAAGTTCAACTCTGTCAGTTGAATACACACAACACAAGGAAGTTACTGAGAATTCTTCTCTCTAGCCTTATATGAAAAAAACCCATTTCCAACGAAGGCCTCAAAGAGGTCTGAATATCCACTTGCAGACTTTACAAACAGAGTGTTTCCTAACTGCTCTATGAAAAGAAAGGTTAAACTCTGTGAGTTGAACGCACACATCACAAAGGAGTTTCTGAGAATCATTCTGTCTAGTTTTTATAGGAAGATATTTCCTTTTCTACCTTTGACTTCAAAGCGGCTGAAATCTCCAATTGCAAATTCCACAAAAAGAGTGTTACAAGTCTGCTCTGTGTAAAGGATCGTTCAACTCTGTGAGTTGAATACACACAACACAAGGAAGTTACTGAGAATTCTTCTGTCTAGCAGAATATGAAGAAATCCCGTTTCCAACGAAGGCCACAAGATGTCAGAATATCCACTTACAGACTTTACAAACAGTGTGTTTCCTAACTGCTCTATGAACGGAAAGGTTAAACTCTGTGAGTTGAACGAACACATCACAACGCAGTTTGTGGGAATGATTCTGTCTAGTTTTGAAACGGAGATATTTCCTTTTCTGCCATTGACCTTAAAGCGCTTGAAATCTACACTTGCAAATTACACAAATAGAGTGTTTCAAATCTGCTCTGTCTAAGGGAACGTTCATCTCTGTGAGTTGAATGCACACAACACAAGGAAGTTACTGGGAATTCTTCTGTCTAGCCTTACAGGTAAAAAAACCCGTTTCCAACGAAGGCCTCTAAGTGGTCAAAATATCCACGTGCAGACTTTACAAACAGAGTGTTTCCAAACTGCTGAATGAAAAGAAAAGTTAAACTCTGAGAGTTGAACGCACACATCACAAAGGAGTTTCTGAGAATCATTCTGTCTAGTTTTTATACGAAGATATCTCCTTTTCTGCCTTTGGCCCCAAAGCGCTTGAAATCTCCACTTGCAAATTCCACAAAAACAGTGTTTCAAATCTGCTCTCTCTAAATGAAAGTTCAACTCTGTCAGTTGAATACACACAACACAAGGAAGTTACTGAGAATTCTTCTGTCTAGCATAATATGATGAAATCCCGTTTCCAACGAAGGCCTCAAAGGGGTCTGAATATCCACTTGCAGACTTTATAAACAGAGTGTTTACTAACTGCTCTATGAAAAGAAACGTTAAACTCTGTGAGTTGAACACACACATCACAAAGGAGTTTCTGAGAATCATTCTGTCTAGTTTTTATACGAAGATATTTCCTTTTCTACCATTGACCTCAAAGCGGATGAAATCTCCACTTGCAAATTACACAAAAAGAGTGTTTCAAGTCTACTCTGTGTAAAGCATCGTTCAACTCTGTGAGTTGAAAACACACAACACAAGGAAGTTTCTGAGAATTCTTCTGTCTAGCAGAACATGAAGAAATCCCGCTTCCAACGAAGGCCTCAAAGAGGTCTGAATATCCACTTGCAGACTTTACCAACAGAGTGTTTCCTAACTGCTCTATGAAAAGAAAGGTTAAACTCTGTGAGTTGAACGCACACATCACAAAGGAGTTTCTGAGAATCATTCTCTCTAGTTTTGAAACGAAGATATTTCCTTTTCTGCCATTGACCTTAAAGCGCTTGAAATCTACACTTGCAAATTGCACAAATAGAGTGTTTCAAATCTGCTCTGTCTAAGGGAACGTTCAACTCTGTGAGTTGAATGCACACAACACAAGGAAGTTACTGGGAATTCTTCTGTCTAGCCTTACATGAAAAAAACCCGTTTCCAACGAAGGCCTCTAAGTGGTCAAAATTTCCACGTGCAGACTTTACAAACAGAGTGTTTCCAAACCGCTGAATGAAAAGAAAAGTTAAATTCTGAGAGTTGAACGCACACATCACGCAGCAGTTTCTGAGAATGATTCTGTCTAGTTTTTATACGAAGATATTTCCTTTTCTGCCTTTGGCCTCAAAGCGCTTGAAATCTCCATTTGCAAATTCCACAAAAAGAGTGTTTCAAATCTGCTCTGTGTAAACGAAAGTTCAACTCTGTGAGTTGAACACACACAACACAAGGAAGTTACTGGGAATTCTTCTGTCTAGCCTTATATGAAAAAAACCCGTTTCCAACGAAGGCCTCAAAGAGGTCTGAATATCCACTTGGAGACTTTACAAACAGAGTGTTTCCTAACTGCTCTATGAAAAGAAAGGTTAAACTCTGTGAGTTGAACGCACACATCACAAAGGAGTTTCTGAGAATCATTCTGTCTAGTTTTTATAGGAAGATATTTCCTTTTCTACCTTAGACTTCAAAGCGGCTGAAATCTCCACTTGCAAATTCCACAAAAAGAGTGTTACAAGTCTGCTCTGTGTAAAGGATCGTTCAACTCTGTGAGTTGAATACACACAACACAAGGAAGTTACTGAGAATTCTTCTGTCTAGCCTTACATGAAAAAAACCCGTTTCCAACGAAGGCCTCTAAGTGGTCAAATTATCCACGTGCAGACTTTACAAACAGAGTGTTTCCAAACTGCTGAATGAGAAGAAAAGTTAAACTCTGAGAGTTGAACGCACACATCGCAGAGCAGTTTATGAGAATGATTTCTGTCTAGTTTTGAAACGAAGATATTTCCTTTTCTGCCGTTGACCTTAAAGCGCTTCAAATCTACACTTGGAAATTGCACAAATAGAGTGTTTCAAATCTGCTCTGTCTAAGGGAACGTTCAACTCTGTGAGTTGAATGCACACAACACAAGGAAGTTACTGGGATTTCTTCTGTCTAGCCTTACAGGAAAAAAACCCGTTTCCAACGAAGGCCTCTAAGTGGTCAAAATATCCACGTGCAGAATTTACAAACAGAGTGTTTCCAAACTGCTGAATGAAAAGAAAAGTTAAACTCTGAGAGTTGAACGCACACATCGCAGAGCAGTTTCTGAGAATGATTCTGTCTAGTTTTGAAACGAAGATATTTCCTTTTCTACCTTTGGCCTCAAACCGCTTGAAATCTCCACTTGCAAATTCCACAAAAAGAGTGTTTCAAATCTGCTCTGTGTAAATGAAAGTTCAACTCTGTGAGTTGAACACACACAACACAAGGAAGTTACTGGGAATTCTTCTGTCTAGCACAGTATGGAGAAATCCCGTTTCCATCGAAGGCCTCAAAGAGGTCTGAATATCCACTTGCAGAGTTTACAAACAGAGTGTTTCCTAACTGCACTATGAACAGAAAGGTTAAACTCTGTGAGTTGAACGCACACATCACAAAGAAGTTTCTGAGAATCATTCTGTCTCGTTTTTATACGAAGATATTTCCTTTTCTACCATTGACCTCAAAGCGGCTGAAATCTCCACTTGCAAATTCCACAAAAAGAGTGTTTCAAGTCTGCTCTGTGTAAAGGATCGTTCAACTCTGTGAGTTGAATACACACAACACAAGGAAGTTACTGAGAATTCTTCTGTCTAGCATAATATGAAGAAATCCCGTTTCCAACGAAGGCCTCAAGGAGGTCTGAATATCAACTTGCAGACTTTACAAACAGAGTGTTTCCTAACTGCTCTATGAAAAGAAAGGTTAAACTCTGTGAGTTGAACGCACACATCACAAAGGAGTTTCTGAGAATCATTCTGTCTAGTTTTTATACGAAGATATTTCCTTTTCTACCATTGACCTCAAAGCGGCTGAAATCTCCACTTGCAAATTCCACAAAAAGAGTGTTTGAAGTCTGCTCTGTGTAAAGGATCGTTCAATTCTGTGAGTTGAATACACACAACACAAGGAAGTTACTGAGAATTCTTTTGTCTAGCAGAATATGAAGAAATCCCGCTTCCAACGAAGGCCTCAAAGAGGTCTGAATATCCACTAGCAGACTTTACTAACAGAGTGTTTCCCAACTGCTCTATGAAAAGAAAGGTTGAACTCTGTGAGTTGAACGCACACATCACAAAGGAGTTTCTGAGAATCATTCTGTCTAGTTTTTATACAAAGATATTTCCTTTTCTGCCTTTGGCCTCAAAGCGCTTGAAATCTCCATTTGCAAATTCCACAAAAAGAGTGTTTCAAATCTGCTCTGTGTAAATCAAAGTTCAACTCTGTGAGTTGAACACACACAACACAAGGAAGTTACTGGGAATTCTTCTGTCTAGCCTTACATGAAAAAAACCCGTTTCCAACGAAGGCCTCAAAGAAGTCCAAATATCCACATGCAGATTTTACAAACAGAGTGTTTCCTAACTGCTCTATGAAAAGAAAGGTTAAACTCTGTGAGTTGAACGCACATATCACAAAGGAGTTTCTGAGAATCATTCTGTCAAGTCTTTATATGAAGATAGTTTCCTTTTCTACCATTGACCTCAAAGCGGCTGAAATCTCCACTTGCAAATTCCACAAAAAGAGTGTTTCAAGTCTGCTCTGTGTAAAGGATTGTTCAACTCTGTGAGTTGAATACACACAACACAAGGAAGTTACTGAGAATTCTTCTGTCTAGCAGAATATGAAGAAATCCCGTTTCCAACGAAGGCCACAAGATGTCAGAATATCCACTTACAGACTTTACAAACAGAGTGTTTCCTAACTGCTCTATGAACAGAAAGGTTAAACTCTGTGAGTTCAACGCACACATCACAAAGGAGTTTCTGAGAATCATTCTGTCTAGTTTTGAAACGAAGATATTTCCTTTTCTGCCATTGACCTTAAAGCGCTTGAAATCTCCACTTGCCAATTGCACAAAAAGAGTGTTTCAAATCTGCTCTGTCTAAGGGAACGTTCAACTCTGTGAGTTGAATGTACACAACACAAGGAAGTTACTGGGAATTCTTCTGTCTAGCCTTACAGGAAAAAAACCCGTTTCCAACGAAAGCCTCAAAGAGGTCAAAATATCCACTTGCAGACTTTACAAACAGAGTGTTTCCTAACTACTCGATGAAAAGAAAGGTTAAACTCTGTGAGTTGAACGCACTCATCACAAAGAAGTTTCTGAGAATCATTCTGTCTAGTTTTTATACGAAGATATTTCCTTTTCTGCCTTTGGCCTCAAAGCGCTTGAAATCTCCACCTGCAAATTCCACAAAAAGAGTGTTTCAAATCTGCTCTGTGTAAATGAAAGTTCAACTGTGTGAGTTGAATACACACAACACAAGGAAGTTACTGAGAACTCTTCTGTCTAGCATAATATGAACAAAACCCGTTTCCAACGAAGGCCTCAAGGAGGTCTGAATATCCACTTGCAGACTTTACAAACAGAGTGTTTCCTAACTGCTCTATGAAAAGAAAGGTTAAACTCTGTGAGTTGAACGCACACATCACAAAGGAGTTTCTGAGAATCATTCTGTCTAGTTTTTATACGAAGATATTTCCTTTTCTACCATGGACCTCAAAGCGGCTGAAATCTCCACTTGCAAATTCCACAAAAAGAGTGTTACAAGTCTGCTCTGTGTAAAGGATCGTTCAACTCTGTGAGTTGAATACACACAACACAAGGAAGATTCTGAGAATTCTTCTGTCTAGCAGAATATGAAGAAATCCCGTTTCCAACGAAAGCCTCAAAGAGGTCTGAATATCCACTTGCAGACTTTACAAACAGAGTGTTTCCTAACTGCTCTATGAAAAGAAAAGTTAAACTCTGTGAGTTGAACGCACACATCACAAAGGAGTTTCTGAGAATCATTCTGTCTAGTTTTGAAACGAAGATATTTCCTTTTCTGCCATTGACCTTAAAGCGCTTGAAATCTCCACTTGCCAATTGCACAAAAAGAGTGTTTCAAATCTGCTCTGTCTAAGGGAACGTTCAACTCTGTGAGTTGAATGTACACAACACAAGGAAGTTACTGGGAATTCTTCTGTCTAGCCTTACAGGATAAAAACCCGTTTCCAACGAAGGCCTCTAAGTGCTCAAAATATCCACGTGCAGACTTTACAAACAGAGTGTTTCCAAACTGCTGAATGAAAACAAAAGTTAAACTCTGAGAGTTGAACGCACACATCGCAGAGCAGTTTCTGAGAATGATTCTGTCTAGTTTTTATACGAAGATATTTCCTTTTCTGCCTTTGGCCTCAAAGCGCTTGAAATCTCCACTTGCAAATTCCACAAAAAGAGTGTTTCCAATCTGCTCTGTGTAAATGAAAGTTCAACTCACAGAGTTGAACACACACAACACAAGGGAAGTTACTGGGAATTCTTCTGTCTAGCCTTATATGAAAAAAACCCGTTTCCAACGAAGACCTCAAAGAGGTCTGAATATCCACTTGCAGACTTTACAAACAGAGTGTTTCCTAACTGCTCTATGAAAAGAAAGGTTAAACTCTGTGAGTTGAACGCACACATCACAAAGGAGTTTCTGAGAATCATTCTGTCTAGTTTCTATAGGATGATATTTCCTATTCTACCATTGAACTCAAAGCGGCTGAAATCTCCACTTGCAAATTCCACAAAAAGAGTGTTTCAAGTCTGCTCTGTGTAAAGGATCGTTCAACTCTGTGAGTTGAATACACACAACACAAGGAAGTTACTGAGAATTCTTCTGTCTAGCAGAATATGAAGAAATCCCGTTTCCAACGAAGGCCTCAAGGAGGTCTGAATATCCACTTGCAGACTTTACAAACAGAGTGTTTCCTAACTGCTCTATGAACAGAAAGGTTAAACCCTGTGAGTTGAACGAACACATCACAACGCAGTTTGTGGGAATGATTCTGTCTAGTTTTGAAAGGAAGATATTTCCTTTTCTGCCGTTGACCTTAAAGCGCTTGAAATCTACACTTGCAAATTGCACAAATAGGCTGTTTCAAATCTGCTCTGTCTAAGGGAACGTTCAACTCTGTGAGTTGAATGCACACAACACAAGGAAGTTACTGGGAATTCTTCTGTCTAGCCTTACATGAAGAAAACCCGTTTCCAACGAAGGCCTCTAAGTGGTCAAAATATCCACGTGCAGACTTTACAAACAGAGTGTTTCCAAACTGCTGAATGAAAAGAAAAGTTAAACTCTGAGAGTTGAACGCACACATCACAGAGCAGTTTCTGAGAATGATTCTGTCTAGATTTTATACGAAGATATTTCCTTTTCTGCCTTTGGCCTCAAAGCGCTTGAAATCTCCACTTGCAAATTCCACAAAAAGAGTGTTTCAAATCTGCTCTGTGTAAATGAAAGCTCAACTCCGTGAGTTGAACACAGACAACACAAGGAAGTTACTGGGAATTCTTCTGTCTAGCATAATATGAAGAAATCCCGTTTCCAACGAAGGCCTCAAAGGGGTCTGAATATCCACTTGCAGACTTTATAAACAGACTGTTTACTAACTGCTCTATGAAAAGAAAGGTTAAACTCTGTGAGTTGAACACACACATCAGAAAGGAGTTTCTGAGAATCATTCTGTCTAGTCTTTATACGAAGATATTTCCTTTTCTACCATTGACCTCAAAGCGGCTGAAATCTCCACTTGCAAATTCCACAAAAAGAGTGTTTCAAGTCTGCTCTCTGTAAAGGATCGTTCATCTCTGTGAGTTGAATACACACAACACAAGGAAGTTACTGAGAATTATTCTGTCTAGCATAATATGAAGAATCCCGTTTCCAACGAAGGCCTCAAAGAGGTCTGAATATCCACTTGCAGACTTTACAAACAGAGTGTTTCCTAACTGCTCTATGAAAAGAAAAGTTAAACTCTGTGAGATGAACGCACACATCACAAAGGAGTTTCTGAGAATCATTCTGTCTAGTTTTGAAACGAAGATATTTCCTTTTCTGCCATTGACCTCAAAGCGCTTGAAATCTCCACTTGCCAATTGCACAAAAAGAGTGTTTCAAATCTGCTCTGTCTAAGGGAACGTTCAACTCTGTGAGTTGAATGTACACAACACAAGGAAGTTACTGGGAATTCTTCTGTCTAGCCTTACATGAAAAAAAACCCGTTTCCAACGAAGGCCTCTAAGTGGTCAAAATATCCACGTGCAGACTTTACAAACAGAGTGTTTCCAAACCGCTGAATGAAAAGAAAAGTTAAACTCTGAGAGTTGAACGCACACATCATGCAGCAGTTTCTGAGAATGATTCTGTCTAGTTTTTATACGAAGATATTTCCTTTTCTGCCTTTGGCCCCAAAGCGCTTGAAATCTCCACTTGCAAATTCCACAAAAACAGTGTTTCAAATCAGCTCTCTCTAAATGAAAGTTCAACTCTGTCAGTTGAATACACACAACACAAGGAAGTTACTGAGAATTCTTCTCTCTAGCCTTATATGAAAAAAACCCGTTTCCAACGAAGGCCTCAAAGAGGTCTGAATATCCACTTGCATACTTTAGAAACAGAGTGTTTCCTAACTGCTCTATGAAAAGAAACGTTAAACTACTGTGAGTTGAACGCACACATCACAAAGGAGTTTCTGAGAATCATTCTGTCTAGTTTCTATAGGAAGATATTTCCTATTCTACCATTGAACTCAAAGCGGCTGAAATCTCCACTTGCAAATTCCACAAAAAGAGAGTTTCAAGTCTGCTCTGTGTAAAGGATCGTTCAACTCTGTGAGTTGAATACACACAACACAAGGAAGTTACTGAGAATTCTTCTGTCAGGCATAATATGAAGAAATCCCGTTTGCAACGAAGGCCTCAAAGAGGTCTGAATATCCACTTGCAGAATTTACAAACAGAGTGTTTCCTAACTGCTCTATGAAAAGAAAGGTTAAACTCTGTGAGTTGAACGAACACATCACAACGCAGTTTGTGGGAATCATTCTGTCTACATTTGAAACGAAGATATTTCCTTTTCTGCCAGTGACCTTAAAGCGCTTGAAATCTCCACTTGTCAATTGCACAAAAAGAGTGTTTCAAATCTGCTCTGTCTAAGGGAACGTTCATCTCTGTGAGTTGAATGTACACAACACAAGGAAGTTACTGGGAATTATTCTGTCTAGCCTTACATGAAAAAAACCCGTTTCCAACGAAGGCCTCTAAGTGGTCAAATTATCCACGTGCAGACTTTACAAACAGAGTGTTTCCAAACTGCTGAATGAAAAGCAAAGTTAAACTCTGAGAGTTGAACGCACACATCGCAGAGCACTTTCTGAGAATGATTGTGTCTAGTTTCTATAGGAAGATATTTCCTATACTACCATTGACCTCTAAGCGGCTGAAATCTCCAGTTGCAAATTCCACAAAAAGAATGTTTCAAGTCTGCTCTGTGTAAAGGATCGTTCAACTCTGTGAGTTGAATACACACAACACAAGGAAGTTACTGAGAATTCTTCTGTCTAGCATAATATGAAGAAATCCCGTTTCCAACGAAGGCCTCAAAGAGGTCTGAATATCCACTTGCAGACTTTACAAACAGAGTGTTTCCTAACTGCTCTATGAAAAGAAAAGTTAAACTTTGTGAGTTGAACGCACACATCACAAAGGAGTTTATGAGAATCATTCTGTCTAGTTTCTATAGGAAGATATTTCCTATTCTACCATTGACCTCAAAGCGGCTGAAATCTCCACTTGCAAATTCCACAAAAAGAGTGTTTCAAGTCTGCTCTCTGTAAAGGATCGTTCAACTCTAAGAGTTGAATACACGCAACACAAGGAAGTTATTGAGAATTATTCTGTCTAGCAGAATATGAAGAAATCCCGTTTCCAACGAAGGCCTCAAAGAGGTCTGAATATCCACTTGCAGACTTTACAAACAGAGTGTTTCCTAACTGCTATATGAAAAGAAAGGTTAAACTCTGTGAGTTGAACGCACACATCAGAAAGGAGTTTCTGAGAATCGTTCTGTCTAGTTTCTATAGGAAGATATTTCCTATTCTACCATTGACCTCAAAGCGGTTGAAATCTCCACTTGCAAATTCCACAAAAAGAATGTTTCAAGTCTGCTCTGTGTAAAGGATCGTTCTGCTCTGTGTAAAGGATCGTTCAACTCTGTGAGTTGAATACACACAACACAAGGAAGTTACTGAGAATTCTTCTGTCTAGCCTTACATGAAAAAAACCCGTTTCCAACGAAGGCCTCTAAGTGGTCAAAATATCCACGTGCAGACTTTACAAACAGAGTGTTTCCAAACCGCTGAATGAAAAGGAAAAGTTAAACTCTGAGAGTTGAACGCACACATCACGCAGCAGTTTCTGAGAATGATTCTGTCTAGTTTTGAAACGAAGATATTTCCTTTTCTGCCTTTGGCCTCAAAGCGCTTGAAATCTCCACTTGCAAATTCCACAAAAAGAGTGTTTCAAATCTGCTCTGTGTAAATGAAAGTTCAACTCTGTGAGTTGAACACACACAACACAAGGAAGTTACTGGGGATTCTTCTCTCTAGCAGAATATGAACAAATCCCGTTTCCAACGATGGCCTCAAAGAGGTCTGAATATCCACTTGCAGACTTTACAAACAGAGTGTTTCCTAACTGCTCTATGAAAAGAAAGGTTAAACTCTGTGAGTTGAACGCACACATCACAAAGGAGTTTCTGAGAATCATTCTGTCTAGTCTTTATACGAAGATAGTTTCCTTTTCTACCATTGACCTCAAAGCGGCTGAAATCTCCACTTTCAAATTCCAAAAAAAGAGTGTTTCAAGTCTGCTCTGTGTAAAGGATCGTTCAACTCTGTGAGTTGAAAACACACAACACAAGGAAGTTACTGAGAATTCTTCTGACTAGCAGAATATGAAGAAATCCCGTTTCCAACGAAGGCCACAAGATGTCAGAATATCCACTTACAGAATTTACAAACAGACTGTTTCCTAACTGCTCTATGAAAAGAAAGGTTAAACTCTGTGAGTTGAACGAACACATCACAATACAGTTTGTGGGAATGATTCTGTCTAGTTTTGAAACGAAGATATTTCCTTTTCTGCCATTGACCTTAAAGCGCTTGAAATCTCCACTTGCCAATTGCACAAAAAGAGTGTTTCAAATCTGCTCTGTCTAAGGGAACGTTCAACTCTGTGAGTTCAATGTACACAACACAAGGGAAGTTACTGGGAATTCTTCTGTCTAGCCTTACAGGAAAAAAACCCGTTTCCAACGAAGGCCTCTAAGTGGTCAAAATATCCACGTGCAGACTTTACAAACAGAGTGTTTCCAAACTGCTGAATGAAAAGAAAAGTTAAACTCTGAGAGTTGAACGCACACATCGCAGAGCAGTTTGTGAGAATGATTCTGTCTAGTTTTTATACGAAGATATTTCCTTTTCTGCCTTTGGCCCCAAAGCGCTTGAAATCTCCACTTGCAAATTCCACAAAAACAGTGTTTCAAATCTGCTCTCTCTAAATGAAAGTTCAACTCTGTTAGTTGAATACACACAACACAAGGAAGTTACTGAGAATTCTTCTGTCTAGCATAATATGAAGAAATCCCGCTTCCAACGAAGGCCTCAAAGAGGTCTGAATATCCACTTGCAGACTTTACAAACAGAGTGTTTCCTAACTGCTCTATGAAAAGAAAAGTTGAACTCTGTGAGTTGAACGCACACATCACAAAGGAGTTTCTGAGAATCATTCTGTCTAGTTTCTATAGGAAGATATTTCCTATTCTACCATTGACCTCAAAGCGGCTGAAATATCCACTTGCGAATTCCACAAAAAGAGTGTTTCAAGTCTGCTCTGTGTAAAGGATCGTTCAACTCTGTGAGTTGAATACACACAACACAAGGAAGTTACTGAGAATTCTTCTGTCTAGCAGAATATTAAGAAATACCGTTTCCAACGAAGGCCTCAAGGAGGTCTGAATATCCACTTGCAGACTTTACAAACAGAGTGTTTCCTAACTGCTCTATGAACAGAAAGGTTAAACTCTGTGAGTTGAACGAACACATCACAACGCAGTTTGTGGGAATGATTCTGTCTAGTTTTTATACGAAGATATTTCCTTTTCTGCCTTTGGCCTCAAAGCGCTTGAAATCTCCATTTGCAAATTCCACAAAAAGAGTGTTTCAAATCTGCTCTGTCTAAGGGATCGTTCAACTCTGTGAGTTGAATGTACACAACACAAGGAAGTTACTGGGAATTCTTCTGTCTAGCCTTACATGAAAAAAACCCGTTTCCAACGAAGGCCTCTAGGTGGTCAAAATATCCACGTGCAGACTTTACAAACAAAGTGTTTCCAAACCGCTGAATGAAAAGAAAAGTTAAACTCTGAGAGTTGAACGCACACATCACGCAGTAGTTTCTGAGAATGATTCTGTCTAGTTTTTATACGAAGATATTTCCTTTTCTGCCTTTGGCCGCAAAGCGCTTGAAATCTCCACTTGCAAATTCCACAAAAACAGTGTTTCAAATCTGCTCTCTCTAAATGAAAGTTCAACTCTGTCAGTTGAATACACACAACACAAGGTAAGTTACTGAGAATTCTTCTGTCTAGCCTTATATGAAAAAAACCCGTTTCCAACGAAGGCCTAAAGGAGGTATGAATATCCACTTGCAGACATTACAAACAGAGTGTTTCCTAACTGCTCTAAGAAAAGAAAGGTTAAACTCTGTGAGTTGAACGCACACATCACAAAGGAGTTTCTGAGAATCATTCTGTCTAGTTTTTATACGAAGATATTTCCTTTTCTACCTTTGACTTCAAAGCGGCTGAAATCTCCACTTGCAAATTCCACAAAAAGAGTGTTTCAAGTCCTCTCTGTGTAAAGGATCATTCAACTCTGTGAGTTGAATACACACAACACAAGGAAGTTACTGGGAATTCTTCTGTCTAGCAGAATAAGAAGAAATCCCGTTTCCAACGAAGGCCTCAAGGAGGTCTGAATATCCACTTGCAGACTTTACAAACAGAGTGTTTCCTAACTGCTCTATGAACAGAAATGTTAAACTCTGTGAGTTGAACGAACACATCACAACGCAGTTTGTGGGAATGATTCTGTCTAGTTTTGAAACGAAGATATTTCCTTTTCTGCCATTGAACTTAAAGCGCTTGAAATCTCCATTTGCCAATTGCACAAAAAGTGTGTTTCAAATCTGCTCTGTCTAAGGGAACGTTCAACTCTGTGAGTTGAATGTACACAACACAGGGAAGTTACTGGGAATTCTTCTGTCTAGCCTTACAGGAAAAAAACCCGTTTCCAACGAAGGCCTCTAAGTGGTCAGAATATCCACGTGCAGACTTTACAAACAGAGTTTTTCCACACTGCTGAATGAAAAGAAAAGTTAAACTCTGAGAGTTGAACGCACACATCACAGAGCAGTTTCTGAGAATGATTCTGTCTATTTTCTATAGGAAGATATTTCCTATTCTACCATTGACCTCAGAGCGGCTGAAATCTCCACTTGCAAATTCCACAAAAAGAGTGTTTCAAGTCTGCTCTGTGTAAAGGATCGTTCAACTCTGTGAGTTGAATACACACAACACAAGGAAGTTACTGAGAATTCTTCTGTCTAGCAGAATATGAAGAAATCCCGTTTCCAACGAAGGCCTCAAGGAGGTCTGAATATCCACTTGCAGACTTTACAATCAGAGTGTTTCCTAACTGCTCTATGAAAAGAAAGGTTAAACTCTGTGAGTTGAACGCACACATCACAAAGGAGTTTCTGAGAATCATTCTGTCTAGTCTTTATACGAAGATATTTCCTTTTCTACCTTTGACCTCAAAGCGGCTGAAATCTCCACTTGCAAATTCCACAAAAAGAGTGTTTCAAGTCTGCTCTGTGTAAAGGATCGTTCAACTCTGTGAGTTGAATACACACAACACAACGAAGTTACTGAGAATTCTTCTGTGTAGCAGAATATGAAGAAATCCCGTTTCCAACGAAGGCCTCAGGGAGGTCTGAATATCCACTTGCAGACTTTACAAACAGAGTGTTTCCTAACTGCTCTATGAAAAGAAAGGTTAAACTCTGTGAGTTGAACGCACACATCACAAAGGAGTTTCTGAGAATCGTTCTGTCTAGTTTTTATAGGAAGATATTTCCTTTTCTACCTTTGACTTCAAAGAGGCTGAAATCTCCACTTGCAAATTCCAGAAAAAGAGTGTTACAAGTCTGCTCTGTGTAAAGGATCGTTCAACTCTGTGAGTTGAATACACACAACACAAGGAAGTTACTGGGAATTCTTCTGTCTAGCCTTATATGAAAAAAACCCGTTTCCAACGAAGGCCTCTAAGTGGTCAAATTATCAACGTGCAGACTTTACAAACAGAGTGTTTCCAAACTGCTGAATGAAAAGAAAAGTTAAACTCTGAGAGTTGAACGCACACATCGCAGAGCAGTTTCTGAGAATGATTCTGTCTACTTTCTATAGGAAGATATTTCCTATTCTACCATTGACCTCAAAGCGGCTGAAATCTCCACTTGCAAATTCCACAAAAGGAGTGTTTCAAGTCTGCTCTGTGTAAAGGATCGTTCATCTCTGTGAGTTGAAAACACACAACACAAGGAAGTTTCTGAGAATTCTTCTTTCTAGCAGAATATGAAGAAATCCCGTTTCCAAAGAAAGCCTCAAGGATGTCTGAATATCCACTTGCAGACTTTACAAACAGAGTGTTTCCTAACTGCTCTATGAAAAGAAAGGTTAAACTCTTTGAGTTGAACGCACACATCACAAAGGAGTTTCTGAGAATCATTCTGTCTAGTCTTTATACGGAGATGTTTCCTTTTCTACCATTGACCTCAAAGCGGCTGAAATCTCCACTTGCAAATTCCACAAAAAGAGTGTTTCAAGTCTGCTCTGTGTAAAGGATTGTTCAACTCTGTGAGTTGAATACACACAACACAAGGAAGTTACTGAGAATTCTTCTGTCTAGCAGAATATGAAGAAATCCCGTTTCCAACGAAGGCCTCAAGGAGTTCTGAATATCCACTTGCAGACTTTACAAACAGAGTGTTTCCTAACAGCTCTATGAACAGAAAGGTTAAACTCTGTGAGTTGAACGCACACATCACAAAGGAGTTTCTGAGAATCATTCTGTCTAGTTTTTATAGGAAGATATTTCCTTTTCGACCTTTGACTTGAAAGCGGCTGAAATCTCCACTTGCAAATTCCACAAAAAGAGTGTTACAAGTCTGCTCTGTGTAAAGGATCGTTCAACTCTGTGAGTTGAATACACACAACACAAGGAAGTTACTGAGAATTCTTCTGTCTAGCCTTACATGAAAAAAACCCGTTTCCAACGAAGGCCTCTAAGTTGTCAAAATATCCACGTGCAGACTTTACAAACAGAGTGTTTCCAAACCGCTGAATGAAAAGAAAAGTTAAACTCTGAGAGTTGAACGCACACATCACGCAGCAGTTTCTGAGAATGATTCTGTCTAGTTTTTATACGAAGATATTTCCTTTTCTGCCTTTGGCCTCAAAGCGCTTGAAATCTCCATTTGCAAATTCCACTAAAAGAGTGTTTCAAATCTGCTCTGTGTAAATGAAAGTTCAACTCTGTGAGTTGAACACACACAACACAAGGAAGTTACTGGGAATTCTTCTGTCTAACCTTATATGAAAAAAACCCGTTTCCAACGAAGGCCTCAAAGAGGTCTGAATATCCACTTGCAGACTTTACAAACAGAGTGTTTCCTAACTGCTCTATGAAAAGAAAGGTTAAACTCTGTGAGTTGAACGCACACATCACAAAGGAGTTTCTGAGAATCATTCTGTCTAGTTTTTCTACGAAGATATTTCCTATTCTACCATTGACCTCAAAGCGGCTGAAATCTCCACTTGGAAATTCCACAAAAAGAGTGTTTCAAGTCTGCTCTGTGTAAAGGATCGTTCAACTCTGTGAGTTGAATACACACAACAAAAGGAAGTTACTGAGAATTCTTCTGTCTAGCAGAATATGAAGAAATCCCGTTTCCAACGAAGGCCACAAGATGTCAGAATATCCACTTACAGACTTTACAAACAGAGTGTTTCCTAACTGCTCTATGAACAGAAAGGTTAAACTGTGAGTTGAACGAACACATCACAACGCAGTTTGTGGGAATGATTCTGTCTAGTTTTGAAACGAAGATATTTCCTTTTCTGCCATTGACCTCAAAGCGCTTGAAATCTCCACTTGCCAATTGCACAAAAAGAGTGTTTCAAATCTGCTCTGTCTAAGGGAACGTTCAACTCTGTGAGTTGAATGTACACAACACAAGGAAGTTACTGGGAATTCTTCTGTCTAGCCTTACAGGAAAAAAACCCGTTTCCAACGAACGCCTTTAAGTGGTCAAAATATCCACGTGCAGACTTTACAGAGTGTTTCCAAACTGCTGAATGAAAAGAAAAGTTAAACTCTGAGAGTTGAACGCACACATCGCAGAGCAGTTTCTGAGAATGATTCTGTCTAGTTTTTATATGAAGATATTCCCTTTCCTGCCTTTGGCCTCAAAGCGCTTGAAATCTCCACTTGCAAATTCCACAAAAAGAGTGTTTCAAATCTGCTCTGTGTAAATCAAAGTTCAACTCCGTGAGTTGAACACACACAACACAAGGAAGTTACTGGGAATTCTTCTGTCTAGCAGAATATGAAGAAATCCCGTTTCCAACGAAGGCCTCAAAGAGGTCTGAATATCCACTTGCAGACTTTACAAACAGAGTGTTTCCTAACTGCTCTATGAAAAGAAAGGTTAAACTCTGTGAGTTGAACGCACACATCACAAAGTAGTTTCTGAGAATCATTCTGTCTAGTTTCTATAGGAAGATATTTCCTATTCTACCATTGACCTCAAAGCGGCTGAAATCTCCACTTGCAAATTCCACAAAAAGAGTGTTTCAAGTCTGCTCTGTGTAAAGGATCGTTCAACTCTGTGAGTTGAATACACACAACACAAGGAAGTTACTGAGAATTCTCTGTCTAGCAGAATATGAAGAAATCCCGTTTCCAACGAAGGCCACAAGATGTCAGAATATCCACTTACAGACTTTACAAACAGAGTGTTTCCTAACTGCTCTATGAAAACAAAGGTTAAACTCTGTGAGTTGAACGAACACATCACAACGCAGTTTGTGGGAATGATTCTGTCTAGTTTTTATAGGCAGATATTTCCTTTTCTACTTTGACTTCAAAGCGGCTGAAATCTCCACTTGCAAATTCCACAAAAAGAGTGTTACAAGTCTGCTCTCTGTAAAGGATCGTTCAACTGTGTGAGTTGAATACACACAACACAAGGAAGTTACTGAGAACTCTTCTGTCTAGCCTTACATGAAAAAAACCCGTTTCCAATGAAGGCCTCTAAGTGGTCAAATTATCCACGTGCAGACTTTACAAACAGAGTGTTTCCAAACTGCTGAATGAAAAGAAAAGTTAAACTCTGAGAGTTGATCGCACACATCACAGAGCAGTTTCTGAGAATGATTCTGTCTAGTTTTTATACAAAGATATTTCCTTTTCTGCCTTTGGCCCCATAGCGCTTGAAATCTCCACTTGCAAATTCCACAAAAACAGTGTTTCAAATCTGCTCTCTCTAAATAAAAGTTCCACTCTGTCAGTTGAATACACACAACACAAGGAAGTTACTGAGAATTCTTCTGTCTAGCATAATATGAAGAAATCCCGTTTCCAACGAAGGCCTCAAGGAGGTCTGAGTATCCACTTGCAGACTTTTCAAACAGAGTGTTTCCTAACTGCTCTATGAAAAGAAAGGTTAAACTCTGTGAGTTGAACGCACACATCACAAAGGAGTTTCTGAGAATCATTCTGTCTAGTTTTTCTACGAAGATATTTCCTTTTCTACTATTGACCTCAAAGCGGCTGAAATCTCCACTTGCAAATTCCACAAAAAGAGAGTTTCAAGTCTGCTCTGTGTAAAGGATCGTTCAACTCTGTGAGTTGAATACACACAACACAAGGAAGTTACTGAGAATTCTTCTGTCTAGCAGAATATGAGGAAATCCCGTTTCCAACGAAGGCCTCAAAGAGGTCTGAATATCCACTTGCAGACTTTACAAACAGAGTGTTTCCTAACTGCTCTATGAAAAGAAAGGTTAAACTCTGTGAGTTGAACGCACACATCACAAAGGAGTTTCTGAGAATCGTTCTGTCTAGTTTTGAAACGAAGATATTTCCTTTTCTGCCATTGACCTTAAAGCGCTTGAAATCTCCACTTGCCAATTGCACAAAGAGTGTTTCAAATCTGCTCTGTCTAAGGGAACGTTCAACTCTGTGAGTTGAATGTACACAACACAAGGAAGTTACTGGGAATTCTTCTGTCTAGCCTTACAGGAAAAAAAACCGTTTCCAACGAAGGCCTCTAAGTGGTCAAAATATCCACGTGCAGACTTTACAAACAGAGTGTTTCCAAACTGCTGAATGAAAAGAAAAGTTAAACTCTGAGAGTTGAACGCACACATCGCAGAGCAGTTTCTGAGAATGATTCTGTCTAGTTTTTCTACGAAGATATTTCCTTTTCTACTATTGACCTCAAAGCGCCTGAAATCTCCAATTGCAAATTCCACAAAAAGAGTGTTTCAAGTCTGCTCTGTGTAAAGGATCGTTCAACTCTCTGAGTTGAATACACACAACACAAGGGAAGTTACTGAGAATTCTTCTGTGTAGCAGAATATGAAGAAATCCCGTTTCCAACGAAGGCCTCAAAGAGGTCTGAATATCCACTTGCAGACTTTACAAACAGAGTGTTTCCTAACTGCTCTATGAAAAGAAAGGTTAAACACTGTGAGTTGAACGCACACATCACAAAGGAGTTTATGAGAATCATAATGTCTAGTCTTTATACGAAGATATTTCCTTTTCTACCATTGACCTCAAAGCGGCTGAAATCTCCACTTGCAAATTCCACAAAAAGAGTGTTTCAAGTCTGCTCTGTGTAAAGGATCGTTCAACTCTGTGAGTTGAATACACACAACCCAAGGAAGTTACTGAGAATTCTTCTGTCTAGCAGAATATGAAGAAATCCCGTTTCCAACGAAGGCCTCTAGGAGGTCTGAATATCCACTTGCAGACTTTACAAACAGAGTGTTTCTTAACTGCTCTATGAACAGAAAGGTTAAACTCTGTGAGTTGAACGAACACATCACAACGCAGTTTGTGGGAATGATTCTGTCTAGTTTTGAAACGAAGACATTTCCTTTTCTGCCTTTGGCCTCAAAGCGCTTGAAATCTCCATTTGCAAATTCCACAAAAAGAGTGTTTCAAATCTGCTCTGTGTAAATGAAAGTTCAACTCTGTGAGTTGAACGCACACAACACAAGGAAGTTACTGGGAATTCTTCTGTCTAGCCTTACATGAAAAAAACCCGTTTCCAACGAAGGCCTCTAAGTGGTCAAAATATCCACTTGCAGACTTTACAAACAGAGTGTTTCCAAACCGCTGAATGAAAAGAAAAGTTAAACTCTGAGAGTTGAACGCACACATCACGCAGCAGTTTCTGAGAATGATTCTGTCTAGTTTTTATACGAAGATATTTCCTTTTCTGCCTTTGGCCCAAAGCGCTTGAAATCTCCACTTGCAAATTCCACAAAAACAGTGTTTCAAATCTGCTCTCTCTAAATGAAAGTTCAACTCTGTCAGTTGAATACACACAACACAAGGAAGTTACTGAGAATTCTTCTGTCTAGCCTTATATGAAAAAAACCCGTTTCCAACGAAGGCCTCAAAGAGGGCTGAATATCCACTTGCAGACTTTACAAACAGAGTGTTTCCTAACTGCTCTATGAAAAGAAAGGTTAAACTCTGTGAGTTGAACACACACATCACAAAGGAGTTTCTGAGAATCATTCTGTCTAGTCTTTATACGAAGATATTTCCTTTTCTACCATTAACCTCAAAGCGGCTGAAATCTCCACTTGCAAATTCCACAAAAAGAGTGTTTCAAGTCTGCTCTGTGTAAAGGATCGTTCAACTCTGTGAGTTGAATACACACAACACAAGGAAGTTACTGAGAATTATTCTGTCTAGCATAATATGAAGAAATCCCGTTTCCAACGAAGGCCTCAAGGAGGTCTGAATATCCACTTGCAGACTTTACAAACAGAGTGTTTCCTAACTGCTCTATGAAAAGAAAGGTTAAACTCTGTGAGTTGAACGCACACATCACAAAGGAGGTTCTGAGAATCATTCTGTCTAGTTTTGAAACGAAGATATTTCCTTTTCTGCCATTGACCTTAAAGCGCTTGAAATCTACACTTGCAAATTGCACAAATAGAGTGTTTCAAATCTGCTCTGTCTAAGGGAACGTTCAACTCTGTGAGTTGAATGCACACAACACAATGAAGTTACTGGGAATTCTTCTGTCTAGCCTTACATGAAAAAAACCCGTTTCCAACGAAAGCCTCTAAGTGGTCAAAATATCCACGTGCAGACTTTACAAACAGAGTGTTTCCAAACCGCTGAATGAAAAGAAAAGTTAAACTCTGAGAGTTGAACGCACACATCACGCAGCAGTTTCTGAAAATGATTCTGTCTAGTTTTTATACGAAGATATTTCCTTTTCTGCCTTTGGCCTCAAAGCGCTTGAAATCTCCACTTGCAAATTCCACAAAAAGAGTGTTTCAAATCTCCTCTGTGTAAATGAAAGTTCAACTCTGTGAGTTGAACACACACAACACAAGGAAGTTACTCGGAATTCTTCTGTCTAGCATAATATGAAGAAATCCCGTTTCCAACGAAGGCCTCAAAGGGGTCTGAATATCCACTTGCAGACTTTATAAACAGAGTGTTTACTAACGTCTCTATGAAAAGAAAAGTTAAACTCTGTGTGTTGAACGCACACATCACAAAGGAGTTTCTGAGAATCATTCTGTCTAGTCTTTATACGAAGATATTTCCTTTTCTACCATTGACCTCAAAGCGGCTGAAATCTCCACTTGCAAATTCCACAAAAAGAGTGTTTCAACTCTGCTCTGTGTAAAGGATCGTTCAACTCTGTGAGTTAAATACACACAACACAAGGAAGTTACTGAGAATTCTTCTGTCTAGCAGAATATGGAGAAATCCCGTTTCCAACGTAGGCCACAAGATGTCAGAATATCCACTTACAGACTTTACAAACAGAGTGTTTCCTAACTGCTCTATGAACAGAAAGGTTAAACTCTGTGAGTTGAACGAACACATCACAACGCAGTTTGTGGGAATGATTATGTCTAGTTTTTATACGAAGATATTTCCTTTTCTACCATTGACCTCAAAGCGGGTGAAATCACCACTTGCCAATTGCACAAAAAGAGTGTTTCAAATCTGCTCTGTCTAAGGAAACGTTCAACTCTGTGAGTTGAATGTACATAACACAAGGAAGTTCCTGGGAATTCTTCTGTCTAGCCTTACAAGAAAAAAACCCGTTTCCAACGAAGGCCTCTAAATGGTCAAAATATCCACGTGCAGACTTTACAAACAGAGTGTTTCCAAACTGCTGAATGAAAAGAAAAGTTAAACTCTGAGAGTTGAACGCACACATCGCAGAGCAGTTTCTGAGAATGATTCTGTCTAGTTTTTATACGAAGATATTTCCTTTTCTACCATGGACTTCAAAGCGGCTGAAATCTCCACTTGCAAATTCCGCAAAAAGAGTGTTTCAAGTCTGCTCTGTGTAAAGGATCGTTCAACTCTGTGAGTTGAATACACACAACACAAGGAAGTTACTGAGAATTCTTCTGTCTAGCCTTACATGAAAAAAACCCGTTTCCAACGAAGGCCCCAAAGAGGTCTGAATATCCACTTGCAGACTTTACAAACAGAGTGTTTCCTAACTGCTCTATGAAAAGAAAGGTTAAACTCTGTGAGTTGAACACACACATCACAAAGGAGTTTCTGAGAATCATTCTGTCTAGTTTTTATACGAAGATATTTCCTTTTCTACCATTGACCTCAACGCGGCTGAAATCTCCAATTGCAAATTCCACAAAAAGAGTGTTTCAAGTCTGCTCTGTGTAAAGGATCGTTCAACTCTTTGAGTTGAATACACACAACACAAGGAAGTTACTGAGAATTCTTCTGTCTAGCATAGTATGAAGAAATCCCGTTTCCAAAGAAGGCCTCAATGAGGTCTGAATATCCACTTGCAGAGTTTACAAACAAAGTGTTTCCTAACTGCTCTATGAAAAGAAATGTTAAACTCTGTGAGTTGAACGCACACATCACAAAGGAGTTTCTGAGAATCATTCTGTCTAGTTTTGAAACGAAGATATTTCCTTTTCTGCCATTGACCTCAAAGCGCTTGAAATCTCCACTTGCCAATCGCACAAAAAGAGTGTTTCAAATCTGCTCTGTCTAAGGGAACGTTCAACTCTGTGAGTTGAATGTACACAACACAAGGAAGTTACTGGGAATTCTTCTGTCTAGCCTTACATGAAAAAAACCCGTTTCCAACGAAGGCCTCTAAGTGGTCAAAATTTCCACGTGCAGACTTTACAAACAGAGTGTTTCCAAACCGCTGAATGAAAAGAAAAGTTAAACTCTGAGAGTTGAACGCACACATCACACAGCAGTTTCTGAGAATGACTCTGTCTAGTTTTTATACGAAGATATTTCCTTTTCTGCCTTTGGCCCCAAAGCGCTTGAAATCTCCACTTGCAAATTCCACAAAAACAGTGTTTCAAATCTGCTCTCTCTAAACGAAATTACAACTCTGTCAGTTGAATACACACAACACAAGGAAGTTACTGAGAATTCTTCTGTCTAGCACAGTATGAAGAAATCCCTTTTCCAACGAAGGCCTCAAAGAGGTCTGAATATCCACTTGCAGACTTTACAAACAGAGTGTTTCCTAACTGCTCTATGAAAAGAAAGGTTAAACTCTGTGAGTTGAACGCACACGTCACAATGAAGTTTCTGAGAATCCTTCTGTCTAGTTTTTATACGAAGATATTTCCTTTTCTACCATGGACCTCAAAGCGGCTGAAATCTCCACTTGCAAATTCCACAAAAGGAGTGTTTCAAATCTGCTCTGTGTAAACAATCGTTCAACTGTGTGAGTTGAATACACACAACACAAGGAAGATTCTGAGAATTCTTCTGTCTAGCAGAATATGAAGAAATCCCGTTTCCAACGAAGGCCACAAGATGTCAGAATATCCACTTACAGAATTTACAAACAGACTGTTTCTTAACTGCTCTATGAAAAGAAAGGTTAAACTCTGTGAGTTGAACGAACACCTCACAACGCAGTTTGTGGGAATGATTCTGTCTAGTTTTGAAACGAAGATATTTCCTTTTCTGCCGTTGACCTTAAAGCGCTTGAAATCTACACTTGGAAATTGCACAAATAGAGTGTTTCAAATCTGCTCTGTCTAAGGGAACGTTCAACTCTGTGAGTTGAATGCACACAACACAAGGAAGTTACTGGGAATTCTTCTGTCTAGCCTTACATGAAAAAAACCCGTTTCCAACGAAGGCCTCTAAGTGGTCAAAATTTCCACGTGCAGACTTTACAAACAGAGTGTTTCCAAACCGCTGAATGAAAAGAAAAGTTAAACTCTGAGAGTTGAATGCACACATCACGCAGCAGTTTCTGAGAATGATTCTGTCTAGTTTCTATAGGAAGATATTTCCTATTCTAACATTGACCTCAAAGCGGCTGAAATCTCCACTTGCAAATTCCACAAAAGGAGTGTTTCAAGTCTGCTCTGTGTAAAGGATCGTTCAACTCTGTGAGTTGAAAACGCACAACACAAGGAAGTTTCTGAGAATTCTTCTGTCTAGCAGAATATGAAGAAATCCCGTTTCCAACGAAAGCCTCAAAGATGTCTGAATATCCACTTGCAGACTTTACAAACAGAGTGTTTCCTAACTGCTCTATGAAAAGAAAGGTTAAACTCTGTGAGTTGAACGCACACATCACAAAGGAGTTTCTGAGAATCATTCTGTCTAGTTTCTATAGAAAGATATTTCCTATTCTACCATTGAACTCAAAGCGGCTGAAATCTCCACTTGCAAATTCCACAAAAAGAGTGTTTCAAGTCTGCTCTGTGTAAAGGATCGTTCAACTCTGTGAGTTGAATACACACAACAAAAGGAAGTTACTGAGAATTCTTCTGTCTAGCAGAATATGAAGAAATCCCGTTTCCAACGAAGGCCTCAAGGAGGTCTGAATATCCACTTGCAGACTTTACAAACAGGGTGTTTCCTAACTGCTCTATGAACAGAAAAGTTAAACTCTGTGAGTTGAACGAACACATCACAACGCAGTTTGTGGGAATGATTCTGTCTAGTTTTGAAACGAAGATATTTCCTTTTCTGCCGTTGACCTTAAAGCGCTTGAAATCTACACTTGCAAATTGGACAAATAGAGTGTTTCAAATCTGCTCTGTCTAAGGGAACGTTCAACTCTGTGAGTTGAATGCACACAACACAAGGAAGTTACTGGGAATTCTTCTGTCTAGCCTTACAGGAAAAAAACCCGTTTCCAACGAAGGCCTCTAAGTGGTCAAAATATCCACGTGCAGACTTTACAAACAGAGTGTTTCCAAACTGCTGAATGAAAAGAAAAGTTAAACTCTGAGAGTTGAACGCAGACATCGCAGAGCAGTTTCTGAGAATGATTCTGTCTAGTCTTTGTAAGAACATAGTTTCCTTTTCTACCATTGACCTCAAAGCGGCTGAAATCTCCACTTGCAAATTCCACAAAAGGAGTGTTTCAAGTCTGCTCTGTGTAAAGGATCGTTCAACTCTGTGAGTTGAATACACACAACACAAGGAAGTTACTGAGAATTCTTCTGTCTAGCAGAATATGAAGAAATCCCGTTTCCAACGAAGGCCTCAAGGAGGTCTGAATATCCACTTGCACACTTTACAAACAGAGTGTTTCCTAACTGCTCTATGAAAAGAAAGGTTAAACTCTGTGAGTTGAACGCACACATCACAAAGGAGTTTATGAGAATCATTCTGTCTAGTCTTTATATGAAGATAGTTTCCTTTTCTACCATTGACCTCAAAGCGGCTGAAATCTCCACTTGCAAATTCCACAAAAAGAGTGTTTGAAGTCTGCACTGTGTAAAGGATCGTTCAACTCTGTGAGTTGAATACACACAACACAAGGAAGTTACTGAGAATTCTTCTGTCTAGCAGAATATGAAGAAATCCCGTTTCCAGCGAAGGCCACAAGATGTCAGAATATCCACTTACAGACTTTACAACAGAGTGTTTCCTAACTGCTCTATGAACAGAAAGGTTAAACTCTGTGAGTTGAACGAACACATCACAACGCAGTTTGTGGGAATGATTCTGTCTAGTTTTGAAACGAAGATATTTCCTTTTCTGCCGTTGACCTTAAAGAGCTTCAAAACTACACTTGCAAATTGCACAAATAGAGTGTTTCAAATCTCCTCTGTCTAAGGGAACGTTCAACTCTGTGAGTTGAATGCACACAACACAAGGAAGTTACTGGGAATTCTTCTGTCTAGCCTTACATGAAAAAAACCCGTTTCCAACGAAGGCCTCTAAGTGGCCAAAATATCCACGTGCAGACTTTACAAACAGAGTGTTTCCAAACCGCTGAATGAAAAGAAAAGTTAAACTCTGAGAGTTGAACGCACACATCACGCAGCAGTTTCTGAGAATTATTCTGTCTAGTTTTGAAACGAAGATATTTCCTTTTCTGCCTTTGGCCTCAAAGCGCTTGTAATCTCCACTTGCAAATTCCACAAAAAGAGTGTTTCAAATCTGCTCTGTGTAAATGAAAGTTCAACTCTGTGAGTTGAACACACACAACACAAGGAAGTTACTGGGAATTCTTCTGTCTAGCCTTACATGAAAAAAACCCGTTTCCAACGAAGGCCTCAAAGAGGTCTGAATATCCACTTGCAGACTTTACAAACAGAGTGTTTCCTAACTGCTCTATGAAAAGAAAGGTTAAACTCTGTGAGTTGAACGCACACATCACAAAGGAGTTTCTGAGAATCATTCTGTCTAGTTTCTATAGGAAGATATTTCCTATTCTACCATTGACCTCAAAGCGGCTGAAATCTCCACTTGCAAATTCCACAAAAAGAGTGTTTCAAGTCTGCTCTCTGTAAAGGATCGTTCAACTCTGAGAGTTGAATACACACAACACAAGGAAGTTACTGAGAATTATTCTGTCTAGCAGAATATGAAGAAATCCCGTTTCCAACGAAGGCCACAAGTATGTCAGAATATCCACTTACAGAATTTACAAACAGACTGTTTCCTAAGTGCTCTATGAAAAGAAAGGTTAAACTCTGTGAGTTGAACGAACACATCACAACGCAGTTTGTGGGAATGATTCTGTCTAGTTTTGAAACGAAGATATTTCCTTTTCTGCCATTGACTTTAAAGCGCTTGAAATCTACACTTGCAAATTGCACAAATAGAGTGTTTCAAATCTGCTCTGTCTAAGGGAACGTTCAACTCTGTGAGTTGAATGCACACAACACAAGGAAGTTACTGGGAATTCCTTCTGTCTAGCCTTACATGAAAAAAACCCGTTTCCAACGAAGGCCTCTAAGTGGTCAAAATATCCACGTGCAGACTTTACAAACAGAGTGTTTCCAAACCGCTGAATGAAAAGAAAAGTTAAACTCTGAGAGTTGAACGCACACATCACGCAGCAGTTTCTGAGAATGATTCTGTCTAGTTTTTATACGAAGATATTTCCTTTTCTGCCTTTGGCCCCAAAGCGCTTGAAATCTCCACTTGCAAATTCCACAAAAACAGTGTTTCAAATCTGCTCTCTCTAAATGAAAGTCCAACTCTGTCAGTTGAATACACACAACACAAGGAAGTTACTGAGAATTCTTCTGTCTAGCCTTACATGAAAAAAAACCCGTTTCCAACGAAGGCCTCAAAGAGGTGAAAATATCCACTTGCAGACTTTACAAACAGAGTGTTTCCTAACTGCTCTATGAAAAGAAAGGTTAAACCCTGTGAGTTGAACACCCACATCACAAAGGAGTTTCTGAGAATCATTCTGTCTAGTTTTTCTACGAAGATATTTCCTTTTCTACTATTGACCTCAAAGCGGCTGAAATCTCCACTTGCAAATTCCACAAAAAGAGTGTTTCAAGTCTGCTCTGTGTAAAGGATGGTTCAACTCTGTGAGTTGAATACACACAACACAAGGAAGTTACTGAGAATTCTTCTGTCTAGCATAATATGAAGAAATCCCGTTTCCAAAGAAGGCCACATGATGTCATAATATCCACTTACAGACTTTACAAACAGAGTGTTTCCTAACTGCTCTATGAACAGAAAGGTTAAACTCTGTGAGTTGACCGAACACATCACATCGCAGTTTGTGGGAATAATTCTGTCTAGTTTTGAAACGAAGATATTTCCTTTTCTGCCGTTGACCTTAAAGAGCTTGAAATCTACACTTGCAAATTGCACAAATAGGCTGTTTCAAATCTGCTCTGTCTAAGGGAACGTTCAACTCTGTGAGTTGAATGCACACAACACAAGGAAGTTACTGGGAATTCTTCTGTCTAGCCTTACATGAAAAAAACCCGTTTCCAACGAAGGCCTCTAAGTGGTCAAATTATCCACGTGCAGACTTTAGAAACAGAGTGTTTCCAAACTGCTGAATGAAAAGAAAAGTTAAACTCTGAGAGTTGAACGCACACATCACAGAGCAGTTTCTGAGAATGATTCTGTCTAGTTTGGAAACGAAGATATTTCCTTTTCTGCCTTTGGCCTCAAAGCGCTTGAAATCTCCACTTGCAAATTCCACAAAAAGAGTGTTTCAAATCTGCTCTGTGTAAATGAAAGTTCAACTCTGTGAGTTGAACACACACAACACAAGGAAGTTACTGGGAATTCTTCTGTCTAGCCTTATATGAAAAAAACCCGTTTCCAACGAAGGCCTCAAAGAGGTCTGAATATCCACTTGCAGACTTTACAAACAGAGTGTTTCCTAACTGCTCTATGAAAAGAAATGTTAAACTCTGTGGGTTGAACACACAAATCACAAAGGAGTTTCTGAGAATCATTCTGTCTAGTTTTTATACGAAGATATTTCCTTTTTTACCATTGACCTCAAAGCGGCTGAAATCTCCACTTGCAATTTCCACAAAAAGAGTGTTTCAAGTCTGCTCTGTGTAAAGGATCGTTCAACTCTGTGAGTTGAATACACACAACAAAAGGAAGTTACTGAGAATTCTTCTGTCTAGCATAATATGAAGAAATCCCGTTTCCAACGAAGGCCTCAAAGAGGTCTGAATATCCACTTGCAGACTTTACAAACAGAGTGTTTCCTAACTGCTCTATGAAAAGAAAGGTTAAACTCTGTGAGTTGAACGCACACATCACAAAGGAGTGTCTGAGAATCATTCTGTCTAGTTTTTATACGAAGATATTTCCTTTTCTACCATTGACCTCAAAGCGGCTGAAATCACCACTTGCCAATTGCACAAAAAGAGTGTTTCAAATCTGTTCTGTCTAAGGGAACGTTCAACTCTGTGAGTTGAATGTACACAACACAAGGAAGTTACTGGGAATTCTTCTGTATAGCCTTACATGAAAAAAACCCGTTTCCAACGAAGGCCTCTAAGTGGTCAAATTATCCACGTGCAGACTTTACAAACAGAGTGTTTCCAAACTGCTGAATGAAAAGAAAAGTTAAACTCTGAGAGTTGAACGCACACATCACAGAGCAGTTTCTGAGAATGATTCTGTCTAGTTTTTATACGAAGATATTTCCTTTTCTGCCTTTGGCCTCAAAGCGCTTGAAATCTCCACTTGCAAATTCCACAAAAAGAGTGTTTCAAATCTCCTCTGTCTAAGGGAACGTTCAACTCTGTGAGTTGAACACACACAACACAAGGAAGTTACTGGGAATTCTTCTGTCTAGCAGAATATGAAGAAATCACGTTTCCAACGAGGGCCTCAAAGGGGTCTCAATATCCACTTGCAGACTTTACAGAGTGTTTCCTAACTGCTCTATGAAAAGAAAAGTTAAACTCTGTGAGTTGAACGCACGCATCACAAAGGATTTTCTGAGAATCATTCTGTCTAGTTTCTATAGGAAGATATTTCCTATTCTACCATTGACCTCAAAGCGGCTGAAATCTCCACTTGCAAATTCCACAAAAAGAGTGTTTCAAGTCTACTCTTTGTAAAGCATCGTTCAAATCTGTGAGTTGAAAACACACAACACAAGGAAGTTTCTGAGAATTCTTCTGTCTAGCAGAATATGTAGAAATCCCGTTTCCAACGAAGGCCACAAGATGTCAGAATATCCACTTACAGAATTTACCAACAGAGTGTTTCCTAACTGCTCTATGAAAAGAAAGGTTAAACTCTGTGAGTTGAACGAACACATCACAACGCAGTTTGTGGGAATGATTCTGTCTAGTTTTGAAACGAAGATATTTCCTTTTCTGCCATTGACCTTAAAGCGCTTGAAATCTCCACTTGCCAATTGCACAAAAAGAGTGTTTCAAATCTGCTCTGTCTAAGGGAACGTTCAACTCTGTGAGTTGAATGTACACAACACAACGAAGTTACTGGGAATTCTTCTGTCTAGCCTTACATGAAAAAAACCCGTTTCCAACGAAGGCCTCTAAGTGGTCAAAATTTCCACGTGCAGACTTTACAAACAGAGTGTTTCCAAACCGCTGAATGAAAAGAAAAGTTAAACTCTGAGAGTTGAACGCACACATCACGCAGCAGTTTCTGAGAATGATTCTGTCTAGTTTTTATACGAAGATATTTCCTTTTCTGCCTTTGGCCTCAAAGCGCTTGAAATCTCCACTTGCAAATTCCACAAAAAGAGTGTTTCAAATCTGCTCTCTGTAAATGAAAGTTCAACTCTGTGAGTTGAACACACACAACACAAGGAAGTTACTGGGAATTCTTCTGTCTAGCACAGTATGAAGAAATCCCGTTTCCAACGAAGGCCTCAAAGAGGTCTGAATATCCACTTGCAGAGTTTACAAACAGAGTGTTTCCTAACTGCTCCATGAAAAGAAAGGTTAAACTCTGTGAGTTGAACGCACACATCACAAAGAAGTTTCTGAGAATCATTCTGTCTAGTTTCTATAGGAAGATATTTCCTTTTCTGCCATTGACCTCAAAGCGGCTGAAATCTCCACTTGCAAATTCCACAAAAAGAGTCTTTCAAGTCTGCTCTGTGTAAAGGATCGTTCAACTCGGTGAGTTGAATACACACAACACAAGGAAGTTACTGAGAATTCTTCTGTCTAGCATAATATGAAGAAATCCCGTTTCCAACGAAGACCTCAAAGAGGTCTGAATATCCACTTGCAGACTTTACAAACAGAGTGTTTCCTAACTGCTCTATGAGAAGAAAAGTTACACTCTGTGAGTTGAACGCACACATCACAAAAGATTTTCTGAGAATCATTCTGTCTAGTTTTAAAACGAAGAAATTTCCTTTTCTGCCATTGACCTTAAAGCGCTTGAAATCTACACTTGCAAATTGCACAAATAGAGTGTTTCAAATCTGCTCTGTCTAAGGGAACGTTCAACTCTGTGAGTTGAATGCACACAACACAAGGAAGTTACTGGGAATTCTTCTGTCTAGCCTTACAAGAAAAAAACCCGTTTCCAACGAAAGCCTCTAAATGGTCAAAATATCCACGTGCAGACTTTACAGAGTGTTTCCAAACTGCTGAATGAAAAGAAAAGTTAAACTCTGAGAGTTGAACGCACACATCGCAGAGCAGTTTCTGAGAATGATTCTGTCTAGTTTTGAAACGAAGATATTTCCTTTTCTGCCTTTGGCCTCAAAGCGCTTGAAATCTCCACTTGCAAATTCCACAAAAAGAGTGTTTCAAATCTGCTCTGGGTAAATGAAAGTTCAACTCTGTGAGTTGAACAAACACAACACAAGGAAGTTACTGGGAATTCTTCTGTCTAGCCTTATATGAAAAAATCCCGTTTCCAACGAAGGCCTCAAAGAGGTCTGAATATCCACTTGCAGACTTTACAAACACAGTGTTTCCTAACTGCTCTATGAAAAGAAAGGTTAAACTCTGTGAGTTGAACGCACACATCACAAAGGAGTTTCTGAGAATCATTCTGTCTAGTTTTTATACGAAGACATTTCCTTTTCTACCATTGACCTCAAAGCGGCTGAAATCTCCACTTGCAAATTCCACAAAAAGAGTGTTTCAAATCTGCTCTGTGTAAACCAACGTTCAACTCTGTGAGTTGAAGACACACAACACAAGGAAGATTCTGAGAATTCTTCTGTCTAGCAGAATATGAAGAAATCCCGTTTCCAACGAAGGCCAAAAGATGTCAGAATATCCACTTACAGAATTTACAAACAGAGTGTTTCCTAACTGCTCTATGAAAAGAAAGGTTAAACTCTGTGAGTTGAACGAACACATCACAACGCAGTTTGTGGGAATGATTCTGTCTAGTTTTTATACGAAGATATTTCCTTTTCTACCATTGACCTCAAAGCGGCTGAAATCACCACTTGCCAATTGCACAAAAAGAGTGTTTCAAATCTGCTCTGTCTAAGGGAACGTTCAACTCTGTGAGTTGAATGTGCACAACACAAGGAAGTTCCTGGGAATTCTTCTGTCTAGCCTTATATGAAAAAAACCCGTTTCCAACGAAGGCCTCTAAGTGGTCAAAATATCCACGTGCAGACTTTACAAACAGAGTGTTTCCAAACCGCTGAATGAAAAGAAAAGTTAAAGTCTGAGAGTTGAACGCACACATCACGCAGCAGTTTCTGAGAATGATTCTGTCTAGTTTTTATACGAAGATATTTCCTTTTCTGCGTTTGGCCCCAAAGCGCTTGAAGTCACCACTTGCAAATTCCACAAAAACAGTGTTTCAAATCTGCTCTCTCTAAATGAAAGTTCAACTCTGTCAGTTGAATACACACAACACAAGGAAGTTACTGAGAATTCTTCTGTCTAGCAGAATATGAAGAAATCCCGTTTCCAACGAAGGCCTCAAAGAGGTCTGAATATCCACTTGCAGACTTTACAAACAGAGTGTTTCCTAACTGCTCTATGAAAAGAAAAGTTAAACTCTGTGAGTTGAACGCACACATCACAAAGGAGTTTCTGAGAATCGTTCTGTCTAGTTTCTATAGGAAGATATTTCCTATTCTACCATTGACCTCAAAGCGGCTGAAATCTCCACTTGCAAATTCCACAAAAAGAGTGTTTCAAGTCTGCTCTGTGTAAAGGATCGTTCAACTCTGTGAGTAGAATACACACAACACAAGGAAGTTACTGAGAATTCTTCTGTCTAGCAGAATATGAAGAAATCCCGTTTCCAACGAAGGCCACAAGATGTCAGAATATCCACTTACAGAATTGACAAACAGACTGTTTCCTAACTGCTCTATGAAAAGAAAGGTTAAACTCTGTGAGTTGAACGAACACATCACAACGCAGTTTCTGGGAATGATTCTGTCTAGTTTTGAAACGAAGATATTTCCTTTTCTGCCGTTGACCTTAAAGAGCTTGAAAACTACACTTGCAAATTGCACAAATAGAGTGTTTCAAATCTGCTCTGTCTAAGGGAACGTTCAACTCTGTGAGTTGAATGCACACAACACAAGGAAGTTACTGGGAATTCTTCTGTCTAGCCTTACATGAAAAAAAACCCGTTTCCAACGAAGGCCTCTAAGTGGTCAAAATATCCACGTGCAGTCTTTACAAACAGAGTGTTTCCAAACCGCTGAATGAAAAGAAAAGTTAAACTCTGAGAGTTGAACGCACACATCACGCAGCAGTTTCTGAGAATGATTCTGTCTAGTTTTTATACGAAGATATTTCCTTTTCTGCCTTTGGCCCCAAAGCGCTTGATATCTCCACTTGCAAATTCCACAAAAACAGTGTTTCAAATCAGCTCTCTCTAAATGAAAGTTCAACTCTGTCAGTTGAATACACACAACACAAGGAAGTTACTGAGAATTCTCTGTCTAGCCTTATAGGAAAAAAACCCGTTTCCAACGAAGGCCTCAAAGAGGTCTGAATATCCACTTGCAGACTTTACAAACAGAGTGTTTCCTAACTGCTCTATGAAAAGAAAGGTTAAACTCTGTGAGTTGAACGCACACATCACAAAGGAGTTCTGAGAATCATCTCTGTCTAGTTTTTATACGAAGATATTTCCTTTTCTACCATTGACCTCAAAGCGGCTGAAATCTCCACTTGCAAATTCCACAAAAAGAGTGTTTCAACTCTGCTCTGTGTAAAGGATCGTTCAACTCTGTGAGTTGAATACACACAACACGCGGAAGTTACTGAGAATTCTTCTGTCTAGCAGAATATGAAGAAATCCCGTTTCCAACGAAGGCCACAAGATGTCAGAATATCCACTTACAGAATTGACAAACAGACTGTTTCCTAACTGCTCTATGAAAAGAAAGGTTAAACTCTGTGAGTTGAACGAACACATCAGAACGCAGTTTGTGGGAATGATTCTGTCTAGTTTTGAAATGAAGATATATATCTTTTTCTGCCATTGACCTTAAAGCGCTTGAAATCTCCACCTGCAAATTGCACAAAAAGATTGTTTCCGATCTGCTCTGTCTAAAAGAACGTTCAACTCTGTGAGTTGAATGCACACAACACAAGGAAGTTATTGGGAATTCTTCTGTCTAGCCTTACATGAAAAAAACCCGTTTCCAACGAAGGCCTCTAAGTGGTCAAATTATCCACATGCAGACTTTACAAACAGAGTGTTTCCAAACTGCTGAATGAAAAGAAAAGTTAAACTCTGAGAGTTGAACGCACACATCGCAGAGCAGTTTCTGAGAACGATTCTGTCTAGTTTTTATACGAAGATATTTCCTTTTCTGCCTTTGGCCTCAAAGCGCTTGAAATCTCCATTTGCAAATTCCACAAAAAGAGTGTTTCAAATCTGCTCTGTGTAAATGAAAGTTCAACTCTGTGAGTTGAACACACACAACACAAGGGAAGTTACTGGGAATTCTTCTGTCTAGCCTTATATGAAAAAAACCCATTTCCAACGAAGGCCTCAAAGAGGTCTGAATATCCACTTGCAGACTTTACAAACAGAGTGTTTCCTAACTGCTCTATGAAAAGAAAGGTTAAACTCTGTGAGTTGAACGCACACATCACAAAGGAGTTTCTGAGAATCATTCTGTCTAGTTTTTATAGGAAGTTATTTCCTTTTCTACCTTTGACTTCAAAGTGGCTGAAATCTCCACTTGCAAATTCCACAAAAAGAGTGTTACAAGTCTGCTCTGTGTAAAGGGTCGTTCAACTCTGTGAGTTGAATACACACAACACAAGGAAGTTACTGAGAATTCTTCTGTCTAGCAGAATATGAAGAAATCCCGTTTCCAACGAAGGCCACAAGATGTCAGAATATCCACTTACAGACTTTACAAACAGAGTGTTTCCTAACTGCTCTATGAACAGAAAGGTTAAACTCTGTGAGTTGAAAGAACACATCACAACGCAGTTTGTGGGAATGATTCTGTCTAGTTTTGAAACGAAGATATTTCCTTTTCTGCCATTGACCTTAAACACTTGAAATCTACACTTGCAAATTGCACAAATAGAGTGTTTCAAATCTGCTCTGTCTAAGGGAACGTTCAACTCTGTGAGTTGAATGCACACAACACAAGGAAGTTACTGGGAATTCTTCTATCTAGCCTTATATGAAAAAAACCCGTTTCCAACGAAGGCCTCTAAGTGGTCAAAATATCAACGTGCAGACTTTACAAACAGAGTGTTTCCAAACCGCTGAATGAAAAGAAAAGTTAAACTCTGAGAGTTGAACGCACACATCACGCAGCAGTTTCTGAGAATGATTCTGTCTAGTTTTTATACGAAGATATTTCCTTTTCTGCCTTTGGCCCCAAAGCGCTTGAAATCTCCACTTGCAAATTCCACAAAAACAGTGTTTCAAATCTGCTCTCTCTAAATGAAAGTTCAACTCTGTCAGTTGAATACACCCAACACAAGGAAGTTACTGAGAATTCTTCTGTCTAGCAGAATATGAAGAAATCCCGTTTCCAACGAAGGCCTCAAAGGGGTCTGAATATCCACTTGCAGACTTTATAAACAGAGTGTTTACTAACTGCACTACGAAAAGAAATGTTAAACTCTGTGAGTTGAACACACACATCACAAAGGAGTTTCTGAGAATCTTTCAGTCTAGTCTTTATACGAAGATATTTCCTTTTCTACCATTGACCTCAAAGCGGCTGAAATCTCCACTTGCAAATTCCACAAAAAGAGTGTTTCAAGTCTGCTCTGTGAAAAGGATCGTTCAACTCTGTGAGTTGAATACACACAACACAAGGAAGTTACTGAGAATTCTTCTGTCTAGCAGAATATGAAGAAATCCCGTTTCCAACGAAGGCCACAAGATGTCAGAATATCCACTTACAAACTTTACAGAGTGTTTCCTAACTGCTCTATGAACAGAAAGGTTAAACTCTGTGAGTTGAACGAACACATGACAACGCAGTTTCTGGGAATGATTCTGTCTAGTTTTGAAACGAAGATATTTCCTTTTCTGTCATTGACCTTAAAGCGCTTGAAATCTACACTTGCAAATTGCACAAGTAGAGTGTTTCAAATCTGCTCTGTCTAAGGGAACGTTCAACTCTTTGAGTTGAATGCACACAACACAAGGAAGTTACTGAGAATTCTTCTGTCTAGCCTTACATGAAAAAAACCCGTTTCCAACGAAGGCCTCTAAGTGGTCAAATTATCCACGTGCAGACGTTACAAACAGAGTGTTTCCAAACTGCTGAATGAATAGAAAAGTTAAAATCTGAGAGTTGAACGCACACATCGCAGAGCAGTTTCTGAGAATGATTCTGTCTAGTTTTTATACGAAGATATTTCCTTTTCTGCCTTTGGCCTCAAAGCGCTTGAAATCTCCACTTGCAAATTCCACAAAAAGAGTGTTTCAAATCTGCTCTTTGTAAATGAAAGTTCAACTCTGTGAGTTGAACACACACAACACAAGGAAGTTACTGGGAATCCTTCTGTCTAGCAGAATATGAAGAAATCCCGTTTCCAACGAAGGCCTCAAAGGGGTTTGAATATCCACTTGCAGACTTTATAAACAGAGTGTTTACTAACTGCTCTATGAAAAGAAAGGTTAAACTCTGTGAGTTGAACACACACATCACAAAGGAGTTTCTGAGAATCATTCTGTCTAGTTTTTATACGAAGATATTTCCTTTTCTACCATTGACCTCAAAGCGGCTGAAATCTCCACTTGCAAATTCCACAAAAAGAGTGTTTCAAGTCTGCTCTGTGTAAAGGATCGTTCAACTCCTGTGAGTTGAATACACACAACACAAGGAAGTTACTGAGAATTCTTCTGTCTAGCAGAATATGAAGAAATCCCGTTTCCAACGAAGGCCACAAGATGTCAGAATATCCACTTACAGAATTGACAAACAGACTGTTTCCTAACTGCTCTATGAAAAGAAAGGTTAAACTCTGTGAGTTGAACGCACACATCACAAAGAAGTTTCTGAGAATCATTCTGTCTAGTTTTGTAACGACGATATTTCCTTTTCTGCCATTGACCTTAAAGCGCTTGAAATCTACACTTGCCAATTGCACAAATAGAGTGTTTCAAATCTGCTCTGTCTAAGGGAACGTTCAACTCTGTGAGTTGAATGCACACAACACAAGGAAGTTACTGGGAATTCTTCTGTCTAGCCTTACGTGAAAAAAACCCGTTTCCAACGAAGGCCTCTAAGTGGTCAAAATATCCACTTGCAGACTTTACAAACAGAGTGTTTCCAAACCGCTGAATGAAAAGAAAAGTTAAACTCTGAGAGTTGAACGCACACATCACGCAGCAGTTTCTGAGAATGATTCTGTCTAGTTTTTATACGAAGATATTTCCTTTTCTGCCTTTGGCCTCAAAGCGCTTGAAATCTCCACTTGCAAATTCCACAAAAAGAGTGTTTCAAATCTGCTCTGTGTAAATCAAAGTTCAACTCTGTGAGTTGAACACACACAACACAAGGGAAGTTACTGGGAATTCTTCTGTCTAGCATAATATGAAGAAATCCCGTTTCCAACGAAGGCCACAAAGGGATCTGAATATCCACTTGCAGACTTTATAAACAGAGTGTTTACTAACTGCTCTATGAAAAGAAAGGTTAAACTCTGTGAGTTGAACACACACATCATAAAGGAGTTTCTGAGAATCATTCTGTCTAGTTTTTCTACGAAGATATTTCCTTTTCTACTATTGACCTCAAAGCGGCTGTAATCTCAAATTGCAAATTCCACAAAAAGAGTGTTTCAAGTCTGCTCTGTGTAAAGGATCGTTCAACTCTGTGAGTTGAATACACACAACACAAGGAAGTTACTGAGAATTCTTCTGTCTAGCATAATATGAAGAAATCCCGTTTCCAACGAAGGCCTCAAAGAGGTCTGAATATCCACTTGCAGACTTTTCAAACAGAGTGTTTCCTAACTGCTCTATGAAAAGAAAGGTTAAACTCTGTGAGTTGAACGCACACATCACAAAGGAGTTTCAGAGAATCATTCTGTCTAGTTTTGAAACGAAGATATCTCCTTTTCGGCCATTGACCTTAAATCGCTTGAAATCTACACTTGCAAATTACACAAATAGAGTGTTTCAAATCTGCTCTGTCTAAGGGAATGTTCATCTCTGTGAGTTGAATGCACACAACACAAGGAAGTTACTGGGAATTCTTCTGTCTAGCCTTACATGAAAAAAACCCGTTTCCAACGAAGGCCTCTAAGTGGTCAAATTATCCACGTGCAGACTTTAGAAACAGAGTGTTTCCAAACTGCTGAATGAAAAGAAAAGTTAAACTCTGAGAGTTGAACGCACACATCGCAGAGCAGTTTCTGAGAATGATTCTGTCTAGTTTTTATACGAAGATATTTCCTTTTCTGCCTTTGGCCCCAAAGCGCTTGAAATCTCCAATTGCAAATTCCACGAAAACAGTGTTTCAAATCTGCTCTCTCTAAATGAAAGTTAAACTCTGTCAGTTGAATACACACAACACAAGGAAGTTACTTAGAAATCTTCTGTCTAGCATAATATGAAGAAATCCCGTTTCCAACGAAGGCCTCAAAGGGGTCTGAATATCCACATGCAGACTTTATAAACAGAGTGTTTACTAACGGCTCTATGAAAAGAAAGGTTAAACTCTGTGAGTTGAACACACACATCACAAACGAGTTTCTGAGAATCATTCTGTCTAGTTTCTATAGGAAGATATTTCCTATTCTACCATTGACCTCAAAGCGGCTGAAATCTCCACTTGCAAATTCAACAAAAAGAGTGTTTCAAGTCTGCTCTGTGTAAAGGATCGTTCAACTCTGTGAGTTGAATACACACAACACAAGGAAGTTACTGGGAATTCTTCTGTCTAGCAGAATATGAAGAAATCCCGTTTCCAACGAAGGCCTCAAGGAGGTCTGAATATCCACTTGCAGACTTTATAAACAGTGTGTTTCCTAACTGCTCTATGAAAAGAAAGGTTAAACTCTGTGAGTTGAACGCAAACATCACAAAGGAGTTTCTGAGAATCATTCTGTCTTGTTTCTATACGAGGATATTTCCTTTTCTACCATTGACCTCAAAGCGGCTGAAATCTCCACTTGCAAATTCCACAAAAAGAGTGTTTCAAGTCTGCTCTGTGTAAAGGATCGTTCAACTCTGTGAGTTGAATACACACAACACAAGGAAGTTACTGAGAATTCTTCTGTCTAGCCTTACATGAAAAAAACCCGTTTCCAACGAAGGCCTCTAAGTGGTCAAAATTTCCACGTGCAGACTTTACAAACAGAGTGTTTCCAAACCGCTGAATGAAAAGAAAAGTTAAACTCTGAGAGTTGAACGCACACATCACGCAGCAGTTTACTGAGAATGATTTCTGTCTAGTTTTTATACGAAGATATTTCCTTTTCTGCCTTTGGCCTCAAAGCGCTTGAAATCTCCATTTGCAAATTCCACAAAAAGAGTGTTTCAAATCTGCTCTGTGTAAATGAAAGTTCAACTCTGTGAGTTGAACACACACAACACATGGAAGTTAGCTGGGAATTCTTCTGTCTAGCAGAATATGAAGAAATCCCGTTTCCAACGAAGGCCTCAACGAGGTCTGAATATCCACTTGCAGACTTTACAAACAGAGTGTTTCCTAACTGCTCTATGAAAAGAAAGGTTAAACTCTGTGAGTTGAACACACACATCACAAAGGAGTTTCTGAGAATCATTCTGTCTAGTTTCTATAGGAAGATATTTCCTATTCTACCATTGACCTCAAAGCGGCTGAAATCTCCACTTGCAAATCCCACAAAAAGAGTGTTTCAAGTCTGCTCTGTGTAAAGGATCGTTCAACTCTGTGAGTTGAATACACACAACACAAGGAAGTTACTGAGAATTATTCTGTCTAGCAGAATATGAAGAAATCCAGTTTCCAACGAAGGCCACAAGATGTCAGAATATCCACTTACAGAATTGACAAACAGACTGTTTCCTCACTGCTCTATGAAAAGAAAGGTTAAACTCTGTGAGTTGAACGAACACATCACAACGCAGTTTGTGGGAATGATTCTGTCTAGTTTTGAAACGAAGATATTTCCTTTTCTGCCATTGACCTTAAAGCGCTTGAAATCTACACTTGCAAATTGCACAAATAGAGTGTTTCAAATCTGCTGTGTCTAAGGAACGTTCAACTCTGTGAGTTGAATGCACACAACACAAGGAAGTTACTGGGAATTCTTCTGTCTAGCCTTACATGAAAAAATCCCGTTTCCAACGAAGGCCTCTAAGTGGTCAAAATTTCCACGTGCAGACTTTACAAACAGAGTGTTTCCAAACCGCTGAATGAAAAGAAAAGTTAAACTCTGAGAGTTGAACGCACACATCACGCAGCAGTTTCTGAGAATGATTCTGTCTTGTTTTGAAACGAAGATATTTCCTTTTCTGCCTTTGGTCTCAAAGCGCTTGAAATCTCCACTTGCAAATTCCACAAAAAGAGTGTTTCAAATCTGCTCTGTGTAAATGAAAGTTCAACTCTGTGAGTTGAACACACACAACACAAGGAAGTTACTGGGAATTCTTCTTTCTAGCAGAATATGAAGAAATCCCGTTTCCAACGAAAGCCTCAAGGATGTCTGAATATCCACTTGCAGACTTTACAAACAGAGTGTTTCCTAACTGCTCTATGAAAAGAAAGGTTAAACTCCGTGAGTTGAACGCACACATCACAAAGGAGTTTCTGAGAATCATTCTGGCTAGTTTCTATAGGAAGATATTTCCTATTCTACCATTGACCTCAAAGCGGCTGAAATCTCCCCTTGCAAATTCCACAAAATGAGTGTTTCAAGTCTGCTCTGTGTAAAGCATCGTTCAACTCTGTGAGTTGAAAACACACAACACAAGGAAGTTTCTGAGAATTCTTCTGTCTAGCAGAATATGAAGAAATCCCGTTTCCAACGAAGGCCACAAGATGTCAGAATATCCACTTACAGACTTTACAAACAGAGTGTTTCCTAACTGCTCTATGAACAGAAAGGTTAAACTCTGTGAGTTGAACGAACAGATCACAACGCAGTTTGTGGGAATGATTCTGTCTAGTTTTGAAACGAAGATATTTCCTTTTCTGCCGTTGACCTTAAAGCGCTTGAAATCTACACTTGCAAATTGCACAAATAGAGTGTTTCAAATCTGCTCTGTCTAAGGGAACGTTCAACTCTGTGAGTTGAATGCACACAACACAAGGAAGTTACTGGGAATTCTTCTGTCTATCCTTACATGAAAAAAACCCGTTTCCAACGAAGGCCTCTAAGTGGTCAAAATACCCACGTGCAGACTTTACAAACAGAGTGTTTCCAAACCGCTGAATGAAAAGAAAAGTTAAACTCTGAGAGTTGAACGCACACATCACGCAGCAGTTTCTGAGAATGATTCTGTCTAGTTTTTATACGAAGATATTTCCTTTTCTGCCTTTGGCCCCAAAGCGCTTGAAATCTCCACTTGCAAATTCCACAAAAACAGTGTTTCAAATCTGCTCTCTCTAAATGAAAGTTCAGCTATGTCAGTTGAATACACACAACACAAGGAAGTTACTGAGAATTCTTCTGTATAGCAGAATATGAAGAAATCCCGTATCCAACGAAGGCCTCAAGGAGGTCTGAATATCCACTTGCAGACTTTACAATCAGAGTGTTTCCTAACTGCTCTATGAAAAGAAACGTTAAACTCTGTGAGTTGAACGCAGACATCACAAAGGAGTTTCTGAGAATCACTCTGTCTAGTTTTTCTACGAAGATATTTCCTTTTCTACTATTGACCTCAAAGCGGCTGAAATCTCCACTTGCAAATTCCACAAAAAGAGTGTTTCAAGTCTGCTCTGTGTAAAGGATCGTTCAACTCTGTGAGTTGAATACACACAACACAAGGAAGTTACTGAGAACTCTTCTGTCTAGCAGAATATGAAGAAATCCCGTTTCCAACGAAGGCCACAAGATGTCAGAATATCCACTTACAGACTTTACAAACAGAGTGTTTCCTAACTGCTCTATGAAAAGAAAAGTTAAACTCTGTGAGTTGCACGCACACATCACAAAGGAGTTTCTGAGAATCATTCTGTCTACTTTTGAAACGAAGATATTTCCTTTTCTGCCATTGAACTTAAAGCGCTTGAAATCTCCATTTGCCAATTGCACAAAAAGAGTGTTTCAAATCTGCTCTGTCTAAGGGAACGTTCAACTCTGTGAGTTGAATGTACACAACACAAGGAAGTTACTGGGAATTCTTCTGTCTAGCCTTACAGGAAAAAAACCCGTTTCCAACGAAGGCCTCTAAGTGGTCAAAATATCCACGTGCAGACTTTACAAACAGAGTGTTTCCAAACTGCTGAATGAAAAGAAAAGTTAAACTCCTGAGAGTTGAACGCACACATCGCAGAGCAGTTTCTGAGAATGATTTCTGTCTAGTTTTTATACGAAGATATTCCCTTTTCTACTATTGACCTCAAAGCGGCTGAAATCTCCACCTGCAAATTCCACAAAAAGAGTGTTTCTAATCTGCTCTGTGTAAAGGATCGTTCAACTCTGTGAGTTGAATACACACAACACAAGGAAGTTACTGAGAATTCTTCTGTCTAGCATAATATGACGAAATCCCGTTTCCAACGAAGGCCTCAAAGGGGTCTGAATATCCACTTGCAGACTTTATAAACAGAGTGTTTACTAACTGCTCTATGAAAAGAAAGGTTAAACTCTGTGAGTTGAACACACACATCACAAAGGAGTTTCTGAGAATCATTCTGTCTAGTTTCTATAAGAAGATATTTCCTATTCTACCATTGACCTCAAAGCGGCTGAAATCTCCACTTGCAAATTCGACAAAAAGAGTGTTTCAAGCCTGCTCTCTGTAAAGGATCCTTCAACTCTGTGAGTTGAATACACACAACACAATGAAGTTACTGAGAATTATTCTGTCTAGCAGAATATGAAGAAATCCCGTTTCCAACGAAGGCCTCAAGGAGGTCTGAATATCCACTTGCAGACTTTACAAACAGAGTGTTTCCTAACTGCTCTATGAAAAGAAAGGTTAAACTCTTTGAGTTGAACGCACACATCACAACGCAGTTTGTGGGAATGATTCTGTCTAGTTTTGAAACGAAGATATTTCCTTTTCTGCCATTGACCTTCAAGCGCTTGAAATCTCCATTTGCCAATTGCACAAAAAGAGTGTTTCAAATCTGCTCTGTCTAAGGGAACGTTCAACTCTGTGAGTTGAATGTACACAACACAAGGAAGTTACTGGGAATTCTTCTGTCTAGCCTTACAGGAAAAAAACCCGTTTCCAACGAAGGCCTCTAAGTGGTCAAAATATCCACATGCAGACTTTACAAACAGAGTGTTTCCAAACTGCTGAATGAAAAGAAAAGTTAAACTCTGAGAGTTGAACGCACACATCGCAGAGCAGTTTCTGAGAATGATTCTGTCTAGTTTTTATACGAAGATATTTCCTTTTCTGCCTTTGGCCCCAAAGCGCTTGAAATCTCCACTTGCAAATTCCACAAAAACAGTGTTTCAAATCTGCTCTCTCTAAATGATAGTTCAACTCCGTCAGTTGAATACACACAACACAAGGAAGTTACTGAGAATTCTTCTGTCTAGCATAATATGAAGAAATCCCGTTTCCAACGAAGGCCTCAAAGGGGTCTGAATATCCACTTGCAGACTTTATAAACAGACTGTTTACTAACTGCTCTATGAAAAGAAAGGTTAAACTCTGTGAGTTGAACACACACATCACAAAGGAGTTTCTGAGAATCATTCTGTCTAGTTTTTCTACGAAGATATTTCCTTTTCTACTATTGACCTCAAAGCGCCTGAAATCTCCACTTGCAAATTCCACAGAAAGAGTGTTTCAAGTCTGCTCTGTGTAAAGGATCGTTCAACTCTGTGAGTTGAATACACACAACACAAGGAAGTTACTGAGAATTCTTCTGTCTAGCATAATATGAAGAAATCCCGTTTCCAACGAAGGCCTCAAGGAGGTCCTGAATATCCACTTGCAGACTTTACAAACAGAGTGTTTCCTAACTGCTCTATGAAAAGAAAGGTTAAACTGTGGGAGTTGAACGCACACATCACAAAGGAGTTTCTCAGAATCATTCTGTCTAGTTTTGAAACGAAGATATTTCCTTTTCTGCCGTTGACCTTAAAGCGCTTGAAATCTACACTTGGAAATTGCACAAATAGAGTGTTTCAAATCTGCTCTGTCTAAGGGAACGTTCAACTCTGTGAGTTGAATGCACACAACACAAGGAAGTTACTGGGAATTCTTCTGTCTAGCCTTACATGAAAAAAACCCGTTTCCAACGAAGGCCTCTAAGTGGTCAAGTTATCCACGTGCAGACTTTACAAACAGAGTGTTTCCAAACTGCTGAATGAAAAGAAAAGTTAAACTCTGAGAGTTGAATGCACACATCGCAGAGCAGTTTCTGAGAATGATTCTGTCTAGTTTTTATACGAAGATATTTCCTTTTCTGCCTTTGGCCCCAAAGCGTTTGAAATCTCCACTTGCAAATTCCACAAAAACAGTGTTTCAAATCTGCTCTCTCTAAATGAAAGTTCAACTCTGTCAGTTGAATACACACAACACAAGGGAAGTTACTGAGAATTCTTCTGTCTAGCAGAATATGAAGAAACCCCGCTTCCAACGAAGGCCTCAAAGAAGTCTGAATATCCACTTGCAGACTTTACAAACAGAGTTTTTCCCAACTGCTCTATGAAAAGAAAGTTTGAACTCTGTGAGTTGAACGCACACATCACAAAGGAGTTTCTGAGAATCATTCTGTCTAGTTTCTATAGGAAGATATTTCCTATTCTAACATTGACCTCAAAGCGGCTGAAATCTCCACTTGCAAATTCCAGAAAAAGAGTGTTTCAAGTCTGCTCTGTTTAAAGGATCGTTCAACTCTGTGAGTTGAATACACACAACACAAGGAAGTTACTGAGAATTCTTCTGTCTAGCAGAATATGAAGAAATCCCGTTTCCAACGAAGGCCACAAGATGTCAGAATATCCACTTACAGAATTGACAAACAGACTGTTTCCTAACTGCTCTATGAAAAGAAAGGTTAAACTCTGTGAGTTGAACGAACACATCACAACACAGTTTGTGGGAATGATTCTGTCTAGTTTTAAAACGAAGATATTTCCTTTTCTGCCGTTGACCTTAAAGCGCTTGAAATCTACACTTGCAAATTGCACAAATAGAGTGTTTCAAATCTGCTCTGTCTAAGGGAACGTTCAACTCTGTGAGTTGAATGCACACAACACAAGGAAGTTACTGGGAATTTTTCTGTCTAGCCTTACATGAAAAAAACCCGTTTCCAACGAAGGCCTCTAAGTGGTCAAAATATCCACGTGCAGACTTTACAAACAGAGTGTTTCCAAAGCGCTGAATGAAAAGAAAAGTTAAACTCTGAGAGTTGAACGCACACATCACGCAGCAGTTTCTGAGAATGATTCTGTCTAGTTTCTATAGGAAGATATTTCCTATTCTACCATTGACCTCAAAGCGGCTGAAATCTCCACTTGCAAATTCCACAAAAAGAGTGTTTCAAGTCTGCTCTGTGTAAAGGATCGTTCAACTCTGTGAGTTGAATACACACAACGCAAGGAAGTTACTGAGAATTCTTCTGTCTAGCAGAATATGAAGAAATCCCGCTTCCAACGAAGGCCTCAAAGAAGTCTGAATATCCACTTGCAGACTTTACAAACAGAGTGTTTCCCAACTGCTCTATGAAAAGAAAGGTTAAACTCTGTGAGTTGAACGCACACATCACAAAGGAGTTTCTGAGAATCATTCTGTCTAGTCTTTATACGAAGATATTTACTTTTCTACCATTGACCTCAAAGCGGCTGAAATCTCCACTTGCAAATTCCACAAAAAGAGTGTTTGAAGTCTGCTCTGTGTAAAGGATCATTCAACTCTGTGAGTTGAATAAACACAACACAAGGAAGTTACTGAGAATTCTTCTGTCTAGCAGAATATGAAGAAATCCCGTTTCCAACGAAGGCCTCAAGGAGGTCTAAATATCCACTTGCAGACTTTACAAACAGAGTGTTTCCTAACTGCTCTATGAAAAGAAAGGTTAAACTCTGTGAGTTGAACGCACACATCACAAAGGAGTTCATGAGAATCATTTTGTCTAGTTTCTATAAGAAGATATTTCCTATTCTACCATTGACCTCAAAGCGGCTGAAACCTCCACTTGCAAATTCGACAAAAAGAGTGTTTCAAGCCTGCTCTCTGTAAAGGATCCTTCAACTCTGTGAGTTGAATACACACAACACAAGGAAGTTACTGAGAATTATTCTGTCTAGCCTTACAGGAAAGAAACCCGTTTCCAACGAAGGCCTCTAAGTGGTCAAAATATCCACGTGCAGACTTTACAAACAGAGTGTTTCCAAACTGTTGAATGAAAAGAAAAGTTAAACTCTGAGAATTGAACGCACACATCGCAGAGCAGTTTCTGAGAATGATTCTGTCTAGTTTTTATACGAAGATATTTCCTTTTCTACCATTGACCTCAAGGCGGCTGAAATCTCCACTTGCAAATTCCACAAAAAGAGTGTTTCAAGTCTGCTCTGTGTAAAGGATCGTTCAACTCTGTGAGTTGAATACACACAACACAAGGAAGTTACTGAGAATTCTTCTGTCTAGCACAGTATGAAGAAATCCCGTTTCCAACGAAGGCCTCAAAGAGGTCTGAATATCCACTTGCAGAGTTTAAAAACACAGTGTTTCCTAACTGCTCTATGAAAAGAAAGGTTAAACTCTGTGAGTTGAACACACACATCACAAAGAAGTTTCTGAGAATCATTCTGTCTAGTCTTTATACGAAGATATTTACTTTTCTACCATTGACTTCAAATCGGCTGAAATCTCCACTTGCAAATTACACAAAAAGAGTGTTTCAAGTCTGCTCTGTGTAAAGGATCATTCAAATCTGTGAGTTGAATAAACACAACACAAGGAAGTTACTGAGAATTCTTCTGTCTAGCAGAATATGAAGAAAGCCCGTTTCCAACGAAGGCCTCAAGGAGGTCTGAATATCCACTTGCAGACTTTACAAACAGAGTGTTTCCTAACTGCTCTATGAAAAGAAAGGTTAAACTCTGTGAGTTCAACGCACACATCACAAAGGAGTTCATGAGAATCATTCTGTCTAGTTTTGAAACGAAGATATTTCCTTTTATGCCATTGACCTTAAAGTGCTTGAAATCTACACTTGCAAATTGCACAAATTGAGTGTTTCACATCTGCTCTGTCTAAGGGAACGTTCATCTCTGTGAGTTGAATGCACACAACACAAGGAAGTTACTGGGAATTCTTCTGTCTAGCCTTACATGAAAAAAAACCGTTTCCAACGAAGGCCTCTAAGTGGTCAAATTATCCACGTGCAGACTTTACAAACAGAGTGTTTCCAAACTGCTGAATGAAAAGAAAAGTTAAACTCTGAGAGTTGAACGCACACATCGCAGAGCAGTTTCTGAGAATGATTCTGTCTAGTTTTTATACGAAGGTATTTCCTTTTCTGCCTTTGGCCCCAAAGCGCTTGAAGTCTCCACTTGCAAATTCCACAAAAACAGTGCTTCAAATCTGCTCTCTCTAAATGAAAGTTCAACTCTGTCAGTTGAATACACACAACACAAGGAAGTTACTGAGAATTCTTCTGTGTAGCACAGTATGAAGAAATCCCGTTACCAACGAAGGCCTCAAAGAGGTCTGAATATCCACTTGCAGAGTTTACAAACAGAGTGTTTCCTAACTGCTCTATGAAAAGAAAGGTGAAACTCTGTGAGTTGAACGCACACATCACAAAGAAGTTTCTGAGAAACATTCTGTCTAGTTTTTGTACGAAGATATTTCCTTTTCTACCATTGACCTCAAAGCGGCTGAAATCTCCACTTGCAAATTCCACAAAAAGAGTGTTTGTAATCTGCTCTGTGTAAAGGGTCGTTCAACTCTGTGAGTTGAATACACACAACACAAGGAAGTTACTGAGAATTCTTCTGTCTAGGAGAATATGAAGAAATCCCGTTTCCAACGAAGGCCACAAGATGTCAGAATATCCACTTACAGAATTGACAAACAGACTGTTTCCTAACTGCTCTATGAAAAGAAAGGTTAAACTCTGTGAGTTGAACGAACACATCACAACGCAGTTTGTGGGAATGATTCTGTCTAGTTTTGAAACGGAGATATTTCCTTTTCTGCCATTGACCTTAAAGCGCTTGAAATCTCCATTTGCCAATTGCACAAAAAGAGTGTTTCAAATCTGCTCTGTCTAAGGGAACGTTCAACTCTGTGAGTTGAATGTACACAACACAAGGAAGTTACTGGGAATTCTTCTGTCTAGCCTTACAGGAAAAAAACCCGTTTCCAACCAAGGCTTCTAAGTGGTCAAAATATCCACGTGCAGACTTTACAAACAGAGTGTTTCCAAACTGCTGAATGAAAAGAAAAGTTAAACTCTGAGAGTTGAACGCACACATTGCAGAGCAGTTTCTGAGAATGATTCTGTCTAGTCTTTATACGAAGATATTTCCTTTTCTACCATTGACCTCAAAGCGGCTGAAATCTCCACTTGCAAATTCCACAAAAAGAGTGTTTCAAGTCTGCTCTCTGTAAAGGATCGTTCAACTCTGTGAGTGGAATACACACAACACAAGGAAGTTACTGAGAATTATTCTGTCTACCATAATATGAAGAAATCCCGTTTCCAACGAAGGCCTCAAAGAGGTCTGAATATCCACTTGCAGACTTTACAAACAGAGTGTTTCCTAACTGCTCTATGAAAAGAAAAGTTAAACTCTGTGAGTTGAACGCACACATCACAAAGGAGTTTATGAGAATCATTCTGTCTAGTTTCTATAGGAAGATATTTCCTATTCTACCATTGACCTCAAATCGGCTAAAATCTCCACTTGCAAATTCCACAAAAAGAGTGTTTCAAGTCCGCTCTGTGTAAAGGATCGTTCAACTCTGTGAGTTGAATACACACAACACAAGGAAGTTACTGAGAATTCTTCTGTCTAGCAGAATATGAAGAAATCCCGTTTCCAACGAAGGCCACAGGATGTCAGAATATCCACTTACAGACTTTACAAACAGAGTGTTTCCTAACTGCTCTATGAACAGAAAGGTTAAACTCTGTGAGTTGAACCAACACATCACAACGCAGTTTTTGGGAATGATTCTGTCTAGTTTTGAAACGAAGATATTTCCTTTTCTGCCGTTGACCTTAAAGAGCTTGAAAACTACACTTGCAAATTGCACAAATAGAGTGTTTCAAATCTGCTCTGTCTAAGGGAACGTTCAACTCTGTGAGTTGAATGCACACAACACAAGGAAGTTACTGGGAATTCTTCTGTCTAGCCTTACATGAAAAAAACCCGTTTCCAACGAAGGCCTCTAAGTGGTCAAATTATCCACGTGCAGACTTTACAAACAGAGTGTTTCCAAACTGCTGAATGAAAAACAAAGTTAAACTCTGAGAGTTGAACGCACACATCGCAGAGCAGTTTCTGAGAATGATTCTGTCTAGTTTTTCTACGAAGATATTTCCTTTTCTACTATTGACCTCAAAGCGGCTGAAATCTCCACTTGCAAATTCCACAAAAAGAGTGTTTCAAGTCTGCTCTGTGTAAAGGATCATTCAACTCCGTGAGTTGAATACACACAACACAAGGAAGTTACTGAGAATTCTTCTGTCTAGCAGAATATGAAGAAATCCCGTTTCCAACGAAGGCCTCAAAGAAGTCTGAATATCCACTTGCAGACTTTACAAACAGAGTGTTTCCTGAACTGCTCTATGAAAAGAAAGGTTAAACTCTGTGAGTTGAACGCACACATCACAAAGGAGTTTCTGAGAATCATTCTGTCTAGTTTCTATAGGAAGATATTTCCTATTCTACCATTGACCTCCAAGAGGCTGAAATCTCCACTTGCAAATTCCACAAAAAGAGTGTTTCAAGTCTGCTCTCTGTAAAGGATCGTTCAACTCTGTGAGTTGAATACACACAGCACAAGGAATTTACTGAGAATTATTCTGTCTAGCATAATATTAAGAAATCCCGTTTCCAACGAAGGCCTCAAAGAGGTCTGAATATCCACTTGCAGACTTTACAAACAGAGTGTTTCCTAACTGCTGTATGAAAAGAAAAGTTAAAATCTGTGTGTTGAACGCACACATCACAAAGGAGTTTCTGAGAATCATTCTGTCTAGTCTTTATACGAAGATATTTCCTTTTCTACTATTGACCTCAAAGCGGCTGAAATCTCCACTTGCAAATTCCACAAAAAGAGTGTTTCAAGTCTGCTCTCTGTAAAGGATCGTTCAACTCTGTGAGTTGAATACACACAACACAAGGAAGTTACTGAGAATTCTTCTGTCTAGCCTTACAGGAAAAAAACCCGTTTCCAACGAAGGCCTCTAAGTGGTCAAAATATCCACGTGCAGACTTTACAAACAGAGTGTTCCCAAACTGCTGAATGTAAAGAAAAGTTAAACTCTGAGAGTTGAACGCACACATCGCAGAGCAGTTTCTGAGAATGATTCTGTCTAGTTTTTATACGAAGATATTTCCTTTTCTGCCTTTGGCCTCAAAGCGCTTCAAACCTCCATTTGCAAATTCCACAAAAAGAGTGTTTCAAATCTGCTCTGTGTAAATGAAAGTTCAACTCTGTGAGTTGAACACACACAACACAAGGAAGTTACTGGGAATTCTTCTGTCTAGCCTTATATGAAAAAAACCCGTTTCCAACGAAGGCCTCAAAGAGGTCTGAATATCCTCTTGCAGACTTTACAAACAGAGTGTTTCCTAACTGCTCTATGAAAAGAAAAGTTAAACTCTGTGAGTTGAATGCACACATCACAAAGGAGTTTCTGAGAATCATTCTGTCTAGTTTTTATACGAAGATATTTCCTTTTCTACCATTGACCTCAAAGCGGCTGAAATCTCCACTTGCAAATTACACAAAAAGAGTGTTTCAAGTCTACTCTGTGTAAAGCATCGTTCAACTCTGTGAGTTGAGAACACACAACACAAGGAAGTTTCTGAGAATTCTTCTGTCTAGCAGAAAATGAAGAAATCCCGTTTCCAACGAAGGCCACAAGATGTCAGAATATCCACTTACAGACTTTACAAACAGAGTGTTTCCTAACTGCTCTATGAACAGAAAGGTTAAACTGCTGTGAGTTGAACGAACACATCACAACGCAGTTTGTGGGAATGATTCTGTCTAGTTTTTATACGAAGATATTTCCTTTTCTACCATTGACTTCAAAGCGGCTGAAATCAGCACTTGCCAATTGCACAAAAAGAGTGTTTCAAATCTGCTCTGTCTAAGGGAACGTTCAACTCTGTGAGTTGAATGTACACAACACAAGGAAGTTACTGGGAATTCTTCTCTCTAGCCTTACAGGAAAAAAACCCGTTTCCAACGAAGGCCTCTAAGTGGTCAAAATATCCACGTGCAGACTTTACAAACACAGTGTTTCCAAACTGCTGAATGAAAAGAAAAGTTAAACTCTGAGAGTTGAACGCACACATCGCAGAGCAGTTTCTGAGAATGATTCTGTCTAGTTTTTATACGAAGATATTTCCTTTTCTGCCTTTGGCCCCAAAGCGCTTGAAATCTCCACTTGCAAATTCCACAAAAACAGTGTTTCAAATCTGCTCTCTCTAAATGAAAGTTCAGCTCTGTCAGTTGAATACACACAACACAAGGAAGTTACTGAGAATTCTTCTGTCTAGCAGAATATGAAGAAATCCCGCTTCCAACGAAGGCCTCAAAGAAGTCTGAATATCCACTTGCAGACTTTACAAACAGAGTGTTTCCCAACTGCTCTATGAAAAGAAAGTTTGAACTCTGTGAGTTGAACGCACACATCACAAAGGAGTTTCTGAGAATCATTCTGTCTAGTTTCTATAGGAAGATATTTCTTATTCTATCATTGACCTCAAAGCGGCTGAAATCTCCACTTGCAAATTCCACAAAAAGAGTGTTTCAAGTCTGCTCTCTGTAAAGGATCGTTCAACTCTGTGAGTTGAATACACGCAACACAAGGAAGTTACTGAGAATTATTCTGTCTAGCAGAATATGAAGAAATCCCGTTTCCAACGAAGGCCACAAGAGGTCAGAATATCCACTTACAGACTTTACAAACAGAGTGTTTCCTAACTGCTCTATGAGCAGAAAGGTTAAACTCTGTGAGTTGAACGAACACATCACAACGCAGTTTGTGGGAATGATTCTGTCTAGTTTTGAAACGAAGATATTTCCTTTTCTGCCATTGACCTTAAAGCGCTTTTAATCTACACTTGCAAATTACACAAATACAGTGTTTCAAATCTGCTGTGTCTAAGGGAATGTTCATCTCTGTGAGTTGAATGCACACAACACAAGGAAGTTACTGGGAATTCTTCTGTCTAGCCTTACATGAAAAAAACCCGTTTCCAACGAAGGCCTCTAAGTGGTCAAAATATCCACGTGCAGACTTTACAAACAGAGTGTTTCCAAACCGCTGAATGAAAAGAAAGGTTAAACTATGAGAGTTGAACGCACACATCACGCAGCAGTTTCTGAGAATGATTCTGTCTAGTTTTTATACGAAGATATTTCCTTTTCTGCCTTTGGCCCCAAAGCGCTTGAAATCTCCACTTGCAAATTCCACAAAAACAGTGTTTCAAATCTGCTCTCTCTAAATGATAGTTCAACTCTGTCAGTTGAATACACACAACACAAGGAAGTTACTGAGAATTCTTCTGTATAGCAGAATATGAAGAAATCCCGTTTCCAACGAAGGCCACAAGGAGGTCTGAATATCCACTTGCAGACTTTACAAACAGAGTGTTTCCTAACTGCTCTATGAAAAGAAAGGTTAAACTCTGTGAGTTGAACGCAAACATCACAAAGGAGTTTCTGAGAATCACTCTGTCTAGTTTCTATAGGAAGATATTTCCTATTCTACCATTGACCTCAAAGCGGCTGAAATCTCCACTCGCAAATTCCACAAAAAGAGTGCTTCAAGTCTGCTCTGTGTAAAGGATCGTTGAACTCTGTGAGTTGAATACACACAACACAAGGAAGTTACTGAGAATTCTTCTCTCTAGCAGAATATGAAGAAATCCCGTTTCCAACGAAGGCCTCAAAGAGGTCTGAATATCCACTTGCAGACTTTACAAACAGAGTGTTTCCTAACTGCTCTATGAAAAGAAAGGTTAAACTCTGTGAGTTGAACGCACATATCACAAAGGAGTTTCTGAGAATAATTCTGTCTAGTCTTTATACGAAGATATTTCCTTTTCTGCCATTGACCTCAAAGCGGCTGAAATCTCCACTTGCAAATTCCACAAAAAGAGTGTTTCAAGTCTGCTCTGTGTAAAGGATCGTTCAACTCTGTGAGTTGAATACACACAACACAAGGAATTTACTGAGAATTCTTCTGTCTAGCCTTACTTGCAAAAAACCCGTTTCCAACGAAGGCCTCTAAGTGGTCAAAATATCCACGTGCAGACTTTACAAACAGAGTGTTTCCAAACCGCTGAATGAAAAGAAAAGTTAAACTCTGAGAGTTGAACGCACACATCACGCAGCAGTTTCTGAGAATGCTTCTGTCTAGTTTTTATACGAAGATATTTCCTTTTCTGCCCTTGGCCCCAAAGCGCTTGAAATCTCCACTTGCAAATTCCACAAAAACAGTGTTTCAAATCTGCTCTCTCTAAATGAAAGTTCAACTCTGTCAGTTGAATACACACAACACAAGGAAGTTACTGAGAATTCTTCTGTCTAGCAGAATATGAAGAAATCCCGTTTCCAACGAAGGCCTCAAAGAGGTCTGAATATCCATTTGCAGACTTTACAAACAGAGTGTTTCCTAACTGCTCTATGAAAAGAAAGGTTAAACTCTGTGAGTTGAACGCACACATCACAAAGGAGTTTCTGAGAATCATTCTGTCTAGTTTCTATAGGAAGATATTTCCTATTCTACCATTGACCTCAAAGCGGCTGAAATCTCCACTTGCAAATTCCACAAAAAGAGTGTTTCAAGCCTGCTCTCTGTAAAGGATCCTTCAACTCTGTGAGTTGAATACACACAACACAAGGAAGTTACTGAGAATTATTCTGTCTAGCAGAATATGAAGAAATCCCGTTTCCAACGAAGGCCACAAGATGTCAGAATATCCACTTACAGAATTTACAAACAGACTGTTTCCTAACTGCTCTATGAAAAGAAAGGTTAAACTCTGTGAGTTGAACGAACACCTCACAACGCAGTTTGTGGGAATGATTCTGTCTAGTTTTGAAACGAAGATATTTCCTTTTCTGCCATTGACCTTAAAGCGCTTGAAATCTGCACTTGCCAATTGCACAAAAAGAGTGTTTCAAATCTGCTTGGCCTAAATGAAAGTTCAACTGTGACACTTGAATACACACAACACAAGGAAGTTACTGAGAATTCTTCTGTCTAGCCTTACATGAAAAAAACCCTTTTCCAACGAAGGCCTCTAAGTGGTCAAAATTTCCACGTGCAGACTTTACAAACAGAGTGTTTCCAAACCGCTGAATGAAAAGAAAAGTTAAACTCTGAGAGTTGAACGCAAACATCACGCAGCAGTTTCTGAGAATGATTCTGTCTAGTTTTTATACGAAGATATTTCCTTTTCTGCCTTTGGCCCCAAAGCGCTTGAAATCTCCAATTGCAAATTCCACAAAAACAGTGTTTCAAATCTGCTCTCTCTAAATGAACGTTCAACTCTGTCAGTTGAATACACACAACACAAGGAAGTTACTGAGAATTATCTTGTCTAGCAGAATATGAAGAAATCCCGTTTCCAACGAAAGCCTCAAGGATGTCTGAATATCCACTTGCAGACTTTACAAACAGAGTGTTTCCTAACTGCTCTATGAACAAGAAAGGTTAAACTCTGTGAGTTGAACGCACACATCACAAAGGAGTTTCTGAGAATCATTCTGTCTATTCTTTATACGAAGATAGTTTCCTTTTCTACCATTGACCTCAAAGCGGCTGAATTCTCCACTTGCAAATTCCACAAAAAGAGTGTTTCAAGTCTGCTCTGTGTAAAGGATCGTTCAACTCTGTGAGTTGAATACACACAACACAAGGAAGTTACTGAGAATTCTTCTGTCTAGCAGAATATGAAGAAATCCCGTTTCCAACGAAGGCCACACGATGTCAGAATATCCACTTACAGAATTTACAAACAGAGTGTTTCCTAACTGCTCTATGAAAAGAAAGGTTAAACTCTGTGAGATGAACGAACACATCACAACGCAGTTTGTGGGAATGATTCTGTCTAGTTTTGAAACGAAGATATTTCCTTTTCTGCCATTGACCTTAAAGCGCTTGAAATCTCCACTTGCCAATTGCACAAAAAGAGTGTTTCAAATCTGCTCTGTCTAAGGGAACGTTCAACTCTGTGAGTTGAATGTACACAACACAAGGAAGTTACTGGGAATTCTTCTGTCTAGCCTTACATGAAAAAAACCCGTTTCCAACGAAGGCCTCTAAGTGGTCAAAATGTCCACGTGCAGACTTTACAAACAGAGTGTTTCCAAACCGCTGAATGAAAAGAAAAGTTAAACTCTGAGAGTTGAACGCACACATCACGCAGCAGTTTCTGAGAATGATTCTGTCTAGTTTTTATACGAAGATATTTCGTTTTTTGCCTTTGGCCCCAAAGCGCTTGAAATCTCCACTTGCAAATTCCACAAAAACAGTGTTTCAAATCTGCTCTCTCTAAACGAAAGTTCAACTCTGTCAGTTGAATACACACAACACAAGGAAGTTACTGAGAATTCTTCTGTCTAGCAGAATATGAAGAAATCCCGTTTCCAACGAAGGCCTCAAAGGGGTCTGAATATCCACTTGCAGACTTTACAAACAGAGTGTTTCCTAACTGCTCCATGAGAAGAAAAGTGAAACTCTGTGAGTTGAACGCACACATCACAAAAGATTTTCTGAGAATCATTCTGTCTAGTTTCTATAGGAAGATATTTCCTATTCTACCATTGACCTCAAAGCGGCAGAAATCTCCACTTGCAAATTCCACAAAAAGAGTGTTTCAAGACTGCTCTGTGTAAAGGATCGTTCAACTACTGTGAGTTGAATACACACAACACAAGGAAGTTACTGAGAATTCTTCTGTCTAGCATAGTATGAAGAAATCCCGTTTCCAACGAAGGCCTCAAAGAGGTATGAATATCCACTTGCAGACTTTACAAACAGAGTGTTTCCTAACTGCTCTATGAAAAGAAAGGTTAAACTCTGTGAGTTGAACGCACACATCACAAAGAAGTTTCTGAGAATGATTCTGTCTAGTTTTGAAACGAAGATATTTCCTTTTCTGCCTTTGGCCTCAAAGCGCTTGAAATCTCCATTTGCAAATTCCACAAAAAGAGTGTTTCAAATCTGCTCTGTGTAAATGAAAGTTCAACTCTGTGAGTTGAACACACACAACACAAGGAAGTTACTGGGAATTCTTCTGTCTAGCCTTACATGAAAAAAAACCGTTTCCAACGAAGGCCTCTAAGTGGTCAAAATATCCACGTGCAGACTTTACAAACAGAGTGTTTCCAAACCGCTGAATGAAAAGAAAAGTTGAACTCTGAGAGTTGAACGTACACATCACACAGCAGTTTCTGAGAATGATTCTGTCTAGTTTTTATACGAAGATATTTCCTTTTCTGCCTTTGGCCTCAAAGCGCCTGAAATCTCCACTTGCAAATTCCACAAAAAGAGTGTTTCAAATCTGCTCTGTGTAAATGAAAGTTCAACTCTGTGAGTTGAACACACACAACACAAGGAAGTTACTGGGAATTCTTCTGTCTAGCCTTATATGAAAAAAACCCGTTTCCAACGAAGGCCTCAAAGAGGTCTGAATATCCACTTGCAGACTTTACCAACAGAGTGTTTCCTAACTGCTCTATGAAAAGAAAGGTTAAACTCTGTGAGTTGAACGCACACATCACAAAGGAGTTTCTGAGAATCATTCTGTCTAGTTTTTATACGAAGATATTTCCTTTTCTACCACGGACCTCAAAGCGGCTGAAATCTCCACTTGCAAATTCCACAAAAAGAGTGTTTCAAATCTGTTCTGTGTAAACCATCGTTCAACTCTGTGAGTTGAATACACACAACACAAGGAAGATTCTGAGAATTCTTCTGTCTAGCAGAATATGAAGAAATCCCGTTTCCAACGAAGGCCAGAAGATGTCAGAATATCCACTTACAGACTTTACAAACACAGTGTTTCCTAACTGCTCTATGAACAGAAAGGTTAAACTCTGTGAGTTGAACGAACACATCACAACGCAGTTTGTGGGAATGATTCTGTCTAGTTTTGAAACGAAGATATTTCCTTTTCTGCCATTGACCTTAAAGCGCTTGAAATCTACACTTGCAAATTGCACAAATAGAGTGTTTCAAATCTGCTCTGTCTAAGGGAACGTTCAACTCTGTGAGTTGAGTGCACACAACACAAGGAAGTTACTGGGAATTCTTCTGTCTAGCCTTACATGAAAGAAACCCGTTTCCAACGAAGGCCTCTAAGTGGTCAAAATATCCACGTGCAGACTTTACAAACACAGTGTTTCCAAACCGCTGAATGAAAAGAAAAGTTAAACTCTGAGAGTTGAACGCACACATCACGCAGCAGTTTCTGAGAATGATTCTGTCTAGTTTTGAAACGAAGATATTTCCTTTTCTGCCTTTGGCCTCAAAGCGCTTGAAATCTCCACTTGCAAATTCCACAAAAAGAGTGTTTCAAATCTGCTCTGTGTAAAGGAAAGTTCAACTCTGTGAGTCGAACACACACTACACAAGGAAGTTACTGGGAATTCTTCTGTCTAGCACAGTATGAAGAAATCCCGTTTCCAACGAAGGCCTCAAAGAGGTCTGAATATCCACTTGCAGAGTTTACAAACAGAGTGTTTCCTAACTGCTCTATGAAAAGAAAGGTTAAGCTCTGTGAGTTGAACGCACACATCACAATGAAGTTTCTGAGAATCATTCTGTCTAGTTTTTATACGAAGATATTTCCTTTTCTGCCATTGACCTCAAAGCGGCTGAAATCTCCACTTGCCAATTCCACAAAAAGAGTGTTTCAAGTCTGCTCTGTGTAAAGGATCGTTCAACTCTGTGAGTTGAATACACACAACACAAGGAAGTTTCTGAGAATTCTTCTGTATAGCAGAATATGAAGAAATCCCGTTTCCAACGAAGGCCTCAAGGAGGTCTCAATATCCAATTGCAGACTTTACAAACAGAGTGTTTCCTAACTGCTCTATGAAAAGAAAGGTTAAACTCTGTCAGTTGAACGCAGACATCACAAAGGAGTTTCTGAGAATCACTCTGTCTAGTTTTGAAACGAAGATATTTCCTTTTCTGCCATTGACCTCAAAGCGCTTGAAATCTCCACTTGCCAATTGCACAAAAAGAGTGTTTCAAATCTGCTCTGTCTAAGGGAACGTTCAACTCTGTGAGTTGAATGTACACAACACAAGGAAGTTACTGGGAATTCTTCTGTCTAGCGTTACAGGAAAAAAACCCGTTTCCAACGAAGGCCTCTAAGTGGTCAAAATATCCACGTGCAGACTTTACAAACAGAGTGTTTCCAAACTGCTGAATGAAAAGAAAAGTTAAACTCTGAGAGTTGAACGCACACATCGCAGAGCAGTTTCTGAGAATGATTCTGTCTAGTTTTTATACGAAGATATTTCCTTTTCTGCCTTTGGCCTCAAAGCGCTTGAAATCTCCATTTGCAAATTCCACAAAAAGAGTGTTTCAAATCTGCTCTGTGTAAATGAAAGTTCAACTCTGTGAGTTGAACACACACAACACAAGGATGTTACTGGGAATTCTTCTGTCTAGCCTTATACGAAAAAATCCCGTTTCCAACGAAGGCCTCAAAGAGGTCTGAATATCCACTTGCAGACTTTACAAACAGAGTGTTTCCTAACTGCTCTATGAAAAGAAAGGTTAAACTCTGTGAGTTGAACACACACATCACAAAGGAGTTTCTGAGAATCATTCTGTCTAGTTTCTATAGGAAGATATTTCCTATTCTACCATTGACCTCAAAGCGGCTGAAATCTCCACTTGCAAATTCCACAAAAAGAGTGTTTCAAGTCTGCTCTGTGTAAAGGATCGTTCAACTCTGTGAGTTGAATACACACAACACAAGGAAGTTACTGAGAATCTTCTGTCTAGCAGAATATGAAGAAATCCTGTTTCCAACGAAAGCCTCAAAGATGTCTGAATATCCACTTGCAGACTTTACAAACAGAGTGTTTCCTAACTGCTCTATGAAAAGAAAGGTTGAACTCTGTGAGTTGAACGCACACATCACAAAGGAGTTTCTCAGAATCATCTGTCTAGTTTTTATAGGAAGATATTTCCTTTTCTACATTTGACTTCAAAGCGGCTGAAATCTCCACTTGCAAATTCCACAAAAAGAGTGTTACAAGTCTGCTCTGTGTAAAGGATCGTTCAACTGTGTGAGTTGAATACACACAACACAAGGAAGTTACTGAGAATTCTTCTGTCTAGCCTTACATGAAAAAAACCCGTTTCCAACGAAGGCCTCTAAGTGGTCAAAATATCCACGTGCAGACTTTACAAACAGAGTGTTTCCAAACCGCTGAATGAAAAGAAAAGTTAAACTGTGAGAGTTGAAGGCACACATCACACAGCAGTTTCTGAGAATGATTCTGTCTAGTTTTTATACGAAGATATTTCCTTTTCTGCCTTTGGCCTCAAAGCGCTTGAAATCTCCACTTGCAAATTCCACAAAAAGTGTGTTTCAAGTCCGCTCTGTGTAAAGGATCGTTCAACTCTGTGAGTTGTATACACACAACACAAGGAAGTTACTGAGAATTCTTCCTTCTAGCAGAATATGAAGAAATCCCGTTTCCAACGAAAGCCTCAAGGATGTCTGAATATCCACTTGCAGACTTTACAAACAGAGTGTTTCCCAACTGCTCTATGAAAAGAAAGGTTAAACTCTGTGAGTTGAACGCACACATCACAAAGGAGTTTCTGAGAATCATTCTGTCTAGTCTTTATACGAAGATATTTCCTTTTCTACTATTGACCTCAAAGCGGCTGAAATCTCCACTTGCAAATTCCACAAAAAGAGTGTTTCAAGTCTGCTCTGTGTAAAGGATCGTTCAACTCTGTGAGTTGAATACAGACAACACAAGGAAGTTACTGAGAATTCTTCTGTCTAGCAGAATATGAAGAAATCCCGTTTCCAACGAAGGCCACAAGATGTCAGAATATCCACTTACAGAATTGACAAACAGACTGTTTCCTAACTGCTCTATGAAAAGAAAGGTTAAACTCTGTGAGTTGAGCGAACACATCACAACGCTGTTTGTGGGAATGATTCTGTCTAGTTTTGAAACCAAGATATTTCCTTTTCTGCCGTTGACCTTAAAGAGCTTGAAAACTACACTTGCAAATTGCACAAATAGAGTGTTTCAAATCTGCTCTGTCTAAGGGAACGTTCAACTCTGTGAGTTGAATGCACACAACACAAGGAAGTTACTGGGAATTCTTCTGTCTAGCCTTACATGAAAAAAACCCGTTTCCAACGAAGGCCTCTAAGTGGTCAAAATATCCACGTGCAGACTGTACAAACAGAGTGTTTCCAAACCGCTGAATGAAAAGAAAAGTTAAACTCTGAGAGTTGAACGCACACATCACGCAGCAGATTCTGAGAATGATTCTGTCTAGTTTTTATACGAAGATATTTCCTTTTCTGCCTTTGGCCTCAAAGCGCTTGAAATCTCCACTTGCAAATTCCACAAAAAGAGTGTTTCAAATCTGCTCTGTGTAAATCAAAGTTCAACTCTGTGAGTAGAACACACACAACACAAGGAAGTTACTGGGAATTCTTCTGTCTAGCATAATATGAAGAAATCCCGTTTCCAACGAATGCCTCAAGGAGGTCTGAATATCCACTTGCAGACTTTACAAACACAGTGTTTCCTAACTGCTCTATGAAAAGAAAGGTTAAACTCTGTGAGTTGAACGCACACATCACAAAGGAGTTTCTGAGAATCATTCTGTCTAGTTTCTATATGAAGATATTTCCTATTCTAACATTGACCTCAAAGCGGCTGAAATCTCCACTTGCAAATTCCACAAAAAGAGTGTTTCAAGTCTGCTCTGTGTAAAGGATCGTTCAACTCTGTGAGTTGAATACACACAACACAAGGAAGTTACCGAGAATTCTTCTGTCTAGCAGAATATGAAGAAATCCCTTTTCAAACGAAGGCCACAAGACGTCAGAATATCCACTTACAGACTTTACAAACAGAGTGTTTCCTAACTGCTCTATGAACCGAAAGGTTAAACTCTGTGAGTTGAACGAACACATCACAACGCAGTTTGTGGGAATGATTCTGTCTAGTTTTGAAACGAAGTACATTTCCTTTTCTGCCTTTGGCCTCAAAGCGCTTGAAATCTCCATTTGCAAATTCCACAAAAAGAGTGTTTCAAATCTGCTCTGTGTAAATGAAAGTTCAACTCTGTGAGTTGAACGCACACAACACAAGGAAAGTTACTGGGAATTCTTCTGTCTAGCCTTACAAGAAAGAAACCCGTTTCCAACGAAGGCCTCTAAGTGGTCAAAATATCCACGTGCAGACTTTACAAACAGAGTGTTTCCAAACTGCTGAATGAAAAGAAAAGTTAAACTCTGAGAGTTGAACGCACACATCGCAGAGCAGTTTCTGAGAATGATTCTGTCTAGTTTCTATAGGAAGATATTTCCTATTCTACCCTTGAACTCAAAGCGGCTGAAATCTCCACTTGCAAATTCCACAAAAAGAGTGTTTCAAGTCTGCTCTGTGTAAAGGATCGTTCAACTCTGTGAGTTGAATACACACAACACAAGGAAGTTACTGACAATTCTTCTGTCTAGCATAATATGAAGAAATCCCGTTTCCAACGAAGGCCTCAAGGAGGTCTGAATATCCACTTGCAGACTTTACAAACAGAGTGTTTCCTAACTGCTCTATGAAAAGAAAGGTTAAACTTTGTGAGTTGAATGCACACATCACAAAGGAGTTTCTCAGAATCATTCTGTCTAGTCTTTATATGAAGATAGTTTCCTTTTCTACCATTGACCTCAAAGCGGCTGAAATCTCCACTTGCAAATTCCACAAAAAGAGTGTTTCAAGTCTGCTCTGTGTAAAGGATCATTCAACTCTGTGAGTTGAATACACACAACACAAGGAAGTTACTGAGAATTATTCTGTCTAGCAGAATATGAAGAAATCCTGTTTCCAACGAAGGCCACAAGATGTCAGAATATCCACTTACAGAATTTACAAACAGTCTGTTTCCTAAGTGCTCTATGAAAAGAAATGTTAAACTGTGTGAGTTGAACGAACACATCGCAACGCAGTTTGTGGGAATGATTCTGTCTAGTTTTGAAACGAAGATATTTCCTTTTCTGCCATTGACCTTAAAGCGCTTGAAATCTACACTTGCAAATTGCACAAATAGAGTGTTTCAAATCTGCTCTGTCTAAGGGAACGTTCAACTCTGTGAGTTTAATGCACCCAACACAAGGGAAGTTACTGGGAATTCTTCTGTCTAGCCTTACATGAAAAAAACCCGTTTCCAACGAAGGCCTCTAAGTGGTCAAAATATCCACGTGCAGACTTTACAAACAGAGTGTTTCCAAACCGCTGAATGAAAAGAAAAGTTAAACTCTGAGAGTTCAACGCACACATCACGCAGCAGTTTCTGAGAATGATTCTGTCTAGTTTTTCTACGAAGATATTTCCTTTTCTGCCTTTGGCCCCAAAGCGCTTGAAATCTCCACTTGCAAATTCCACAAAAACAGTGTTTCAAATCTGCTCTCTCCAAATGAAAGTTCAACTCTGTCAGTTGAATACACACAACACAAGGAAGTTACTGAGAATTCTTCTGTCTAGCATAATATGAAGAAATCGCGTTTCCAACGAAGGCCTCAAGGAGGTCTGAATATCCACTTGCAGACTTTACAAACAGAGTGTTTCCTAACTGCTCTATGAAAAGAAAGGTTAAACTCTGTGTGTTGAACGCACACATCACAAAGGAGTTTCTCAGAATCATTCTGTCTAGTTTTTATACGAAGATATTTCCTTTTCTACCATTGACCTCAAAGCGGCTGAAATCTCCACTTGCAAATTCCACAAAAAGAGTGTTTCAAGTCTATTCTGTGTAAAGGATCGTTCAACTCTGTGAGTTGAAAACACACAACACAACGAAGTTTCTGACAATTCTTCTGTCTAGCAGAATATGGAGAAATCCCGTTTCCAACGAAGGCCTCTAGGAGGTCTGAATATCCACTTGCAGACTTTACAAACAGAGTGTTTCCTAACTGCTCTATGAACAGAAAGGTTAAACTCTGTGAGTTGAACGAACACATCACAACGCAGTTTGTGGGAATGATTCTGTCTAGGTTTGAAACGAAGATATTTCCTTTTCTGCCGTTGACCTTAAAGCGCTTGAAATCTACACTTGTAAATTGCACAAATAGAGTGTTTCAAATCTGCTCTGTCTAAGGGAACGTTCAACTCTGTGAGTTGAATGCACACAACACAAGGAAGTTACTGGGAATTCTTCTGTCTAGCCTTACATGAAAAAAACCCGTTTCTAACGAAGGCCTCTAAGTGGTCAAAATATCCACGTGCAGACTTTACAAACAGAGTGTTTCCAAACCGCTGAATGAAAAGAAAAGTTAAACTCTGAGAGTTGAACGCACACATCATGCAGCAGTTTCTGAGAATGATTCTGTCTAGTTTTTATACGAAGATATTTCCTTTTCTGCCTTTGGCCCCAAAGCGCTTGAAATCTCCACTTGCAAATTCCACAAAAACAGTGTTTCAAATCTGCTCTCTCTAAATGAAAGTTCAACTCTGTGAGTTGAATACACACAACACAAGGAAGTTACTGAGAATTCTTCTGTCTAGCAGAATATGAAGAAATCCCGTTTCCAACGAAGGCCTCAAAGAGGTCTGAATATCCACTTGAAGACTTTACAAACAGAGTGTTTCCTAACTGCTCTATGAAAAGAAAAGTTAAACTCTATGAGTTGAACGCACACATCACAAAGGAGTTTCTGAGAATCATTCTGTCTAGTTTTTATACGAAGATATTTCCTTTTCTAACATTGACCTCAAAGCGGCTGAAATCTCCACTTGCAAATTCCACAAAAAGAGTGTTTCAAGTCCGCCCTGTGTAAAGGATCGTTCAGCTCTGTGAGTTGAATACACACAACACAAGGAAGTTACTGAGAATTCTTCTGTCTAGCACAGTATGAAGAAAACCCGTTTCCAACGAAGGCCTCAAAGAGGTCTGAATATCCACTTGCAGAGTTTACAAACAGAGTGTTTCCTAACTGCTCTATAAAAAGAAAGGTTAAACTCTGTGAGTTGAACGCACACATCACAATGAAGTTTCTGAGAATCATTCTGTCTAGTTTTTATACGAAGATATTTCCTTTTCTACCATTGACCTCAAAGCGGCTGAAATAACCACTTGCCAATTGCACAAAAAGAGTGTTTCAAATCTGCTCTGTCTAAGGGAACGTTCAACTCTGTGAGTTGAATGTACACAACACAAGGAAGTTACTGGGAATTCTTCTGTTTAGCCTTACATGCAAAAAACCCGTTTCCAACGAAGGCCTCTAAGTGGTCAAAATATCCACGTGCAGACTTTACAAACAGAGTGTTTCCAAACCGCTGAATGAAAAGAAAAGTTAAACTCTGATAGTTGAACGCACACATCACGCAGCAGTTTCTGAGAATGATTCTGTCTAGTTTTTATACGAAGATATTTCCTTTTCTGCCTTTGGCCTCAAAGCGCTTGAAATCTCCACTTGCAAATTCCACAAAAAGAGTGTTTCAAATCTGCTCTGTGTAAATGAAAGTTCAACTCTGTGAGTTGAACACACACAACAAAAGGAAGTTACTGGAAATTCTTCTGTCTAGCAGAATAGGAAGAAATCCCGTTTCCAACGAAGGCCTCAAAGAGGTCTGAATATCCACTTGCAGACTTTACAAACAGAGTGTTTCCTAACTGCTCTATGAAAAGAAAGGTTAAACTCTGTGAGTTGAACGCACACATCACAAAGGAGTTTATGAGAATCATTCTGTCTAGTTTTTATACGAAGATATTTCCTTTTCTACTATTTACCTCAACACGGCTGAAATCTCCACTTGCAAATTCCACAAAACGAGTGTTTCAAGTCCGCTCTGTGTAAAGGATCGTTCAACTCTGTGAGTTGAATACACACAACACAAGGAAGTTACTGAGAATTCTTCTGTCTAGCAGAATATGAAGAAATCCCGTTTCCAACGAAGGCCAAAAGATGTCAGAATATCCACTTACAGAATTTACAAACAGAGTGTTTCCTAACTGCTCTATGAAAAGAATGGTTAAACTCTGTGAGTTGAACGAACACATCACAACGCAGTTTGTGGGAATGATTCTGTCTAGTTTTGAAACGAAGATATTTCCTTTTCTGCCATTGACCTTAAGCGCTTGAAATCTCCACTTGCCAATTGCACAAAAAGAGTGTTTCAAATCTGCTCTGTCCAAGGGAACGTTCAACTCTGTGAGTTGAATGTACACAACACAAGGAAGTTACTGGGAATTATTCTGTCTAGCCTTACAGGAAAAAAACCCGTTTCCAACGAAGGCCTCTAAGTGGTCAAAGTATCCACGTGCAGACTTTACAAACAGTGTGTTTCCAAACTGCTGAATGAAAAGAAAAGTTAAACTCTGAGAGTTGAACGCACACATCGCAGAGCAGTTTCTGAGAATGATTCTGTCTAGTTTTTATACGAAGATATTTCCTTTTCTGCCTTTGGCCTCAAAGCGCTTGAAATCTCCATTTGCAAATTCCACAAAAAGAGTGTTTCAAATCTGCTCTGTGTAAATGAAAGTACAACTCTGTGAGTTGAACACACACAACACAAGGAAGTTACTGGGAATTCTTCTGTCTAGCCTTATATGAAAAAAACCCGTTTCCAACGAAGGCCTCAAAGAGGTCTGAATATCCACTTGCAGAGTTTACAAACAGAGTGTTTCCTAACTGCTCTATGAAAAGAAAGGTTAAACTGTGAGTTGAACGCACACATCACAATGAAGTTTCTGAGAATCATTCTGTCTAGTTTCTATAGGAAGATATTTCCTATTCTACCATTGACCTCAAAGCGGCTGAATTCTCCACTTGCAAATTCCACAACAAGAGTGTTTCAAGTATGCTCTGTGTAAAGGATCGTTCAACACTGTGAGTTGAATACACACAACACAAGGAAGTTACTGAGAATTCTTCTGTCTAGCATAGTATGAAGAAATCCCGTTTCCAACGAAGGCCACAAGCTGTCAGAATATCCACTTACAGAATTTACAAACAGACTGTTTCCTAACTGCTCTATGAAAAGAAAGGTTAAACTCTGTGAGTTGAACGAACACATCACAACGCAGTTTGTGGGAATGATTCTATCTAGTTTTGAAACGAAGATATTTCCTTTTCTGCCATTGACTTCAAAGCGCTTGAAATCTCCACTTGCCAATTGCACAAAAAGAGTGTTTCAAATCTGCTCTGTTTAAGGGAACGTTCAACTCTGTGAGTTGAATGTACACAACACAAGGAAGTTACTGGGAATTCTTCTGTCTAGCCTTACATGAAAAAAACCCGTTTCCAACGAAGGCCTCTAAGTAGTCAAATTATCCACGTGCAGACTTTACAAACAGAGTGTTTCCAAACTGCTGAATGAAAAGAAAAGTTAAACTCTGAGAGTTAAACGCACACATCGCAGAGCAGTTTCTGAGAATGATTCTGTCTAGTTTTGAAACGAAGATATTTCCTTTTCTGCCTTTGGCCTCAAAGCGCTTGAAATCTCCACTTGCAAATTCCACAAAAAGAGTGTTTCAAATCTGCTCTGTGTAAATGAAAGTTCAACTCTGTGAGTTGAACACACACAACACAAGGAAGTTACTGAGAATTCTTCTGTCTAGCAGAATATGAAGAAATCCCGTTTCCAACGAAGGCCTGAAGGAGGTCTGAATATCCACTTGCAGACTTTACAAACAGAGTGTTTCCTAACAGCTCTATGAACAGAAAGGTTAAACTCTGTGAGTTGAACGCACACATCACAAAGGAGTTTCTGAGAATCATTCTGTCTAGTTTTTCTACGAAGATATTTCCTTTTCTACTATTGACCTCAAAGCGGCTGAAATCTCCACTTGCAAATTCCACAAAAAGAGTGTTTGAAGTCTGCTCTGTGTAAAGGATCGTTCAACTCTGTGATTTGAATACACACAACACAAGGAAGTTACTGAGAATTCTTCTGTCTAGCATAATAGGAAGAAATCCCGTTTCCAACGAAGGCCTCAAAGAGGTCTGAATATCCACTTGCAGACTTTACAAACAGAGTGTTTCCTAACTGCTCTATGAAAAGAAAGGTTAAACTCTGTGAGTTGAACGCACACATCACAAAGGAGTTTCTGAGAATCAATCTGTCTAGTTTTGAAACGAAGATATTTCCTTTTCTGCCATTGACCTTAAAGCACTTGAAATCTCCATTTGCCAATTGCACAAAAAGAGTGTTTCAAATCTGCTCTGTCTAAGGGAACGTTCAACTCTGTGAGTTGAATGTACACAACACAAGGAAGTTACTGGGAATTCTTCTGTCTAGCCTTTCATGAAAAAAACCCGTTTCCAACGAAGACCTCTAAGTGGTCAAAATATCCACGTGCAGACTTTACAAACTGAGTGTTTCCAAACTGCTGAATGAAAAGAAAAGTTAAACTCTGAGAGTTGAACGCACACATAACAGAGCAGTTTCTGAGAATGATTCTGTCTAGTTTTGAAACGAAGATATTTCCTTTTCTGCCTTTGGCCTCAAAGCGCTTGAAATCTCCACTTGCAAATTCCACAAAAAGAGTGTTTCAAATCTGCTCTGTGTAAATGAAAGTTCAACTCTGTGAGTTGAACACACACAACACAAGGAAGTTACTCGGAATTCTTCTGTCTAGCACAGTATGAAGAAATCCCGTTTCCAACGAAGGCCTCAAAGAGGTCTGAATATCCACTTGCAGACTTTACAAACAGAGTGTTTCTTAACTGCTCTATGAAAAGAAAGGTTAAACTCTCTGAGTTGAACGCACACGTCACAATGAAGTTTCTGAGAATCATTCTGTCTAGTTTTTATACGAAGATATTACCTTTTCTACCATTGACCCCAAAGCGGCTGAAATCACCACTTGCCAATTGCACAAAAAGAGTGTTTCAAATCTGCTCTGTCTAAGGGAACGTTCAACTCTGGGAGTTGAATACACACAACACAAGGAAGTTACTGAGAATTCTTCTGTCTAGCAGAATATGAAGAAATCCCGTTTCCAACGAAGGCCTCAAAGAGGTCTGAATATCCACTTGCAGACTTTACAAACAGAGTGTTTCCTAACTGTTCTATGAAAAGAAAGGTTAAACTCTGTGAGTTGAACGCACACATTACAACGCAGTTTGTGGGAATGATTCTGTCTAGTTTTTATACGAAGATATTTCCTTTTCTGCCTTTGGCCTCAAAGCGCTTGAAATCTCCACTTGCCAATTGCACAAAAAGAGTGTTTCAAATCTGCTCTGTGTAAGGGAACGTTCAACTCTGTGAGTTGAATGTACACAACAAAAGGAAGTTACTGAGAATTCTTCTGTCTAGCCTTACATGAAATAAACCCGTTTCCAATGAAGGCCTCTAAGTGGTCAAAATATCCACGTGCAGACTTTACAAACAGAGTGTTTCCAAACCGCTGAATGAAAAGAAAAGTTAAACTCTGAGAGTTGAACGCACACATCACGCAGCAGTTTCTGAGAATGATTCTGTCTAGTTTTGAAACGAAGATATTTCCTTTTCTGCCTTTGGCCTCAAAGCGCTTGAAATCTCCACTTTCAAATTCCACAAAAAGAGTGTTTCAAATCTGCTCTGTGTAAATGAAAGTTCAACTCTGTGAGTTGAACACACACAACACAAGGAAGTTACTGGGAATTCTTCTGTCTAGCCTTATATGAAAAAAACCCGTTTCCAACGAAGGCCTCAAGGAGGTCTGAATATCCACTTGCAGACTTTACAAACAGAGTGTTTCCTAACTGCTCTAAGAAAAGAAAGGTTAAACTCTGTGAGTTGAACGTACACATCACAAAGGAGTTTCTGAGAATCATTCTGTCTAGTCTTTATACGAAGATATTTCCTTTTCTACCATTGACCTCAAAGCGGCTGAAATCTCCACTTGCAAATTCCACAAAAAGAGTGTTTCAAGTCTGCTCTCTGTAAAGGATCGTTCAACTCTGTGAGTTGAATACACACAACACAAGGAAGTTAGTGAGAATTCTTCTGTCTAGCAGAATATGAAGAAATCCCGTTTCCAACGAAGGCCACAAGATGTCAGAATATCCACTTACAGACTTTAGAAACAGAGTGTTTCCTAACTGCTCTGTGAACAGAAAGGTTAAACTCTGTGAGTTGAACGAACACATCACAACGCAGTTTGTGGGAATGATTCTGTCTAGTTTTGAAACGAAGATATTTCCTTTTCTGCCATTGACCTCAAAGCGCTTGAAATCTCCACTTGCCAATTGCACAAAAAGAGTGTTTCAAATCTGCTCTGTCTAAGGGAACGTTCAACTCTGTGAGTTGAATGTACACAACACAAGGAAGTTACTGGGAATTCTTCTGTCTAGCCTTACAGGAAAAAAACCCGTTTCCAATGAAGGCCTCTAAGTGGTCAAATTATCTACGTGCAGACTTTACAAACAGAGTGTTTCCAAACTGCTGAATGAAAAGAAAAGTTAAACTCTGAGAGTTGAACGCACACATCGCAGAGCAGTTTCTGAGAATGATTCTGTCTAGTTTTTATACGAAGATATTTCCTTTTCTGCCTTTGGCCTCAAAGCGCTTGAAATCTCCATTAGCAAATTCCACAAAAAGAGTGTCTCAAACCTGCTCTGTGTAAATGAAAGTTCAACTCTGTGAGTTGAACACACACAACACAAGGAAGTTACTGGGAATTCTTCTGTCTAGCATAATATGAAGAAATCCCGTTTCCAACGAAGGCCACAAAGGGGTCTGAATATCCACTTGCAGACTTTATAAACAGAGTGTTTACTAACTGCTCTATGAAAAGAAAGGTTAAACTCTGTGAGTTGAACACACACATCACAAAGGAGTTTCTGAGAATCATTCTGTCTAGTCTTTATATGAAGATAGTTTCCTTTTCTACCATTGACCTCAAAGCGGCTGAAATCTGCACTTGCAAATTCCACAAAAAGAGTGTTTCAAGTCTGCTCTGTGTAAAGGATCGTTCAACTCTGTGAGTTGAATACACACAACACAAGGAAGTTACTGAGAATTCTTCCGTCTAGCAGAATATGAAGAAATCCCGTTTCCAACGAAGGCCACAAGATGTCAGAATATCCACTTACAGAATTTACAAACAGACTGTTTCCTAACTGCTCTATGAAAAGAAAGGTTAAACTCTGTGAGATGAACGAACACATCACAACGCAGTTTGTGGGAATGATTCTGTCTAGTTTTGAAACGAAGATATTTCCTTTTCTGCCATTGACCTTAAAGCGCTTGAAATCTCCACTTGCCAATTGCACAAAAAGAGTGTTTCAAATCTGCTCTGTCTAAGGGAACGTTCAACTCTGTGAGTTGAATGTACACAACACAAGGAAGTTACTGGGAATTCTGTCTAGCCTTACATGAAAAAAACCCGTTTCCAACGAAGGCCTCTAAGTGGTCAAGTTATCCACGTGCAGACTTTACAAACAGAGTGTTTCCAAACTGCTGAATGAAAAGAAAAGTTAAACTCTGAGAGTTGAACGCACACATCGCAGAGCAGTTTCTAAGAATGATTCTGTCTAGTTTTTATACGAAGATATTTCCTTTTCTGCTTTGGCCTCAAAGCGCTTGAAATCTCCACTTGCAAATTCCACAAAAAGAGTGTTTCAAATCTGCTCTGTGTAAATGAAAGTTCAACTCTGTGAGTTGAACACACACAACACAAGGAAGTTACTGGGAATTCTTCTGTCTAGCAGAATATGAAGAAATCCCGTTTCCAACGAAGGCCTCAAAGAGGTCTGAATATCCACTTGCAGACTTTACAAACAGAGTGTTTCCTAACGGCTCTATGAACAGAAAGGTTAAACTCTGTGAGTTGAACGCACACATCACAAAGGAGTTTCTGAGAATCATTCTGTCTAGTTTTTATACGAAGATATTTCCTTTTCTACCATTGACCTCAAAGCGGCTGAAATCTCCACTTGCAAATTCCACAAAAAGAGTGTTTCAAATCTGCTCTGTGTAAACCATCGTTCAACTGTGTGAGTTGAATACACACAACACAAGGAAGTTTCTGAGAATTCTTCTGTCTAGCAGAATATGAAGAAATCCCGTTTCCAACGAAGGCCACAAGATGTCAGAATATCCACTTTCAGACTTTACAAACAGAGTATTTCCTAACTGCTTTATGAACAGAAAGGTTAAACTCTGTTAGTTGAACGAACACCTCACAACGCAGTTTGTGGGAATGATTCTGTCTAGTTTTGAAACGAAGATATTTCCTTTTCTGCCATTGACCTTAAAGAGCTTGAAATCTACACTTGCAAATTGCACAAATAGAGTGTTTCAAATCTGCTCTTTCTAAGGGAACGTCCAACTCTGTGAGTTGAATGCACACAACACAAGGAAGTTACTGGGAATTCTTCTGTCTAGCCTTACATGAAAAAAACCCGTTTCCAACGAAGGCCTCTAAGTGGTCAAAATGTCCACGTGCAGACTTTACAAACAGAGTGTTTCCAAACCGCTGAATGAAAAGAAAAGTTAAACTCTGAGAGTTGAACGCACACATCACTCAGCAGTTTCTGAGAATGATTCTGTCTAGTTTTTATACGAAGATATTTCGTTTTCTGCCTTTGGCCACAAAGCGCTTGAAATCTCCACTTGCAAATTCCACAAAAAGAGTGTTTCAAATCTGCTCTCTCTAAATGAAAGTTCAACTCTGTCAGTTGAATACACACAACACAAGGAAGTTACTGAGAATTCTTCTGTCTAGCATAATATGAAGAAATCCCGTTTCCAACGAAGGTCTCAAGGAGGTCTGAATATCCACTTGCAGACTTTACAAACAGAGTGTTTCCTAACTGCTCTATGAAAAGAAAGGTTAAACTCTGTGAGTTCAACGCACACATCACAAAGGAGTTTCTGAGAATCATTCTGTCTAGTTTCTACAGGAAGATATTTCCTATTCTACCATTGACCTCAAAGCGGCTGAAATCTCCACTTGCAAATTCCACAAAAAGAGTGTTTCAAGTCTGTTCTGTGTAAAGGATCGTTCAACTCTGTGAGTTGAATACACACAACACAAGGCAGTTACTGAGAATTCTTCTGTCTAGCAGAATATGAAGAAATCCCGTTTCCAACGAAGGCCACAAGATGTCAGAATATCCACTTACAGAATTTACAAACAGACTGTTTCCTAACTGCTCTATGAAAAGAAAGGTTAAACTCTGTGAGATGAACGAACACATCACAACGCAGTTTTTGGGAATGATTCTGTCTAGTTTTGAAACGAAGATATTTCCTTTTCTGCCATTGACCTTAAAGCGCTTGAAATCTCCACTTGCCAATTGCACAAAAAGAGTGTTTCAAATCTGCTCTGTCTAAGGGAACGTTCAACTCTGTGAGTTGAATGTACACAACACAAGGAAGTTACTGGGAATTCTTCTGTCTAGCCTTACAGGAAAGAAACCCGTTTCCAACGAAGGCCTCTAAGTGGTCAAAATATCCACGTGCAGATTTTACAAACAGAGTGTTTCCAAACTGCTGAATGAAAAGAAAAGTTAAACTCTGAGAGTTGAACGCACACATCGCAGAGCAGTTTCTGAGAATGAGTCTGTCTAGTTTTTATACGAAGATATTTCCTTTTCTGCCTTTGGCCCCAAAGCGTTTGAAATCTCCACTTGCAAATTCCACAAAAACAGTGTTTCAAATCTGCTCTCTCTAAATGAAAGTTCAACTCTGTCAGTTGAATACACACAACACAAGGAAGTTACTGAGAATTCTTCTGTCTAGCAGAATATGATGAAATCCCGTTTCCAACGAAAGTCTCAAAGATGTCTGAATATTCTCTTGCAGACTTTACAAACAGAGTGTTTCCTAACTGCTCTATGAAAAGAAAGGATAAACTCTGTGAGTTGAACGCACACATCACAAAGGAGTTTCTGAGAATCATTCTGTCTAGTTTTTATACGAAGATATTTCCTTTTCTACCATTGACCTCAAAGCGGCTGAAATCTCCACTTGCAAATTACACAAAAAGAGTGTTTCAAGTCTACTCTGTGTAAAGCATCGTTCAACTCTGTGAGTTGAAAACACACAACACAAGGAAGTTTCTGAGAATTCTTCTGTCTAGCAGAATATGAAGAAATCCCGTTTCCAACGAAGGCCTCAAAGAGGTCTGAATATCCACTTGCAGACTTTACAAACAGAGTGTTTCCTAACTGCTCTATGAACAGAAAGGTTAAACTCTGTGAGTTGAACACACACATTACAAAGGAGTTTCTGAGAATCATTCTGTCTAGTTTTTATACGAAGATATTCCCTTTTCTACCATTGACCTCAAAGCGGCTGAAATCTCCACTTGCAAATTCCACAAAAAGAGTGTTTCTAATCTGCTCTGTTTAAAGTATCGTTCAACTCTGTGAGTTGAATCCACACAACACAAGGAAATTACTGGGAATTCTTCTGTCTAGCAGAATATGAAGAAATCCCGTTTCCAACTAAGGCCACAAGATGTCAGAATATCCACTTACAGAATTGACAAACAGACTGTTTCCTAACTGCTCTATGAAAAGAAAGGTTAAACTCTGTGAGTTGAACGAACACATCACAACGCAGTTTGTGGGAATGATTCTGTCTAGTTTTGAAACGAAGATATTTCCTTTTCTGCCGTTGACCTTAAAGAGCTTGAAAACTACACTTGCAAATTGCACAAATAGAGTGTTTCAAATCTGCTCTGTCTAAGGGAACGTTCAACTCTGTGAGTTGAATGCACACAACACAAGGAAGTTACGGGGAATTCTTCGGTCTAGCCTTACATAAAAAAAACCCGTTTCCAACGAAGGCCTCTAAGTGGTCAAAATATCCACGTGCAGACTTTGCAGAGTGTTTCCAAACCGCTGAATGAAAAGAAAAGTTAAACTCTGACAGTTGAACGCACACATCACGCAGCAGTTTCTGAGAATGATTCTGTCTAGTTTTGAAACGAAGATATTTCCTTTTCTGCCTTTGGCCTCAAAGCGCTTGAAATCTCCACCTGCAAATTCCACAAAAAGAGTGTTTCAAATCTGCTCTGTGTAAATGAAAGTTCAACTCTGTGAGTTGAACACACACAACACAAGGAAGTTACTGGGAATTCTTCTGTCTAGCCTTATATGAAAAAAACCCGTTTCCAGCGAAGGCCTCAAAGAGGTCTGAATATCCACTTGCAGACTTTACAAACAGAGTGTTTCCTAACTGCTCTATGAAAAGAAAGGTTAAACTCTGTGAGTTGAACGCACACATCACAAAGGAGTTTCTGAGAATCATTCTGTCTAGTTTCTATAGGAAGATATTTCCTATTCTAACATTGACCTCAAAGCGGCTGAAATCTCCACTTGCAAATTCCACAAAAAGAGTGTTTCAAGTCTGCTCTGTGTAAAGGATCGTTCAACTCTGTGAGTTGAATACACACAACACAAGGAAGTTAAAGAGAATACTTCTGTCTAGCAGAATATGAAGAAATCCCGTTTCCAACTAAGGCCACAAGATGTCAGAATATCCACTTACAGAATTGACAAACAGACTGTTTCCTAACTGCTCTATGAAAAGAAAGGTTAAACTCTGTGAGTTGAACGAACACATCACAACGCAGTTTGTGGGAATGATTCTGTCTAGTTTTCAAACGAAGATATTTCCTTTTCTGCCATTGACCTTAAAGCGCTTGAAATCTACACTTGCAAATTGCACAAATAGAGTGTTTCAAATCTGCTCTGTCTAAGGGAACGTTCAACTCTGTGAGTTGAATACACACAACACAAGGAAGTTACTGGGAATTCTTCTGTCTAGCCTTACATTAAAAAAAACCCGTTTCCAACGAAGACCTCTAAGTGGTCAAAATATCCACGTGCAGACTTTACAAACAGAGTGTTTCCAAACCGCTGAATGAAAAGAAAAGTTAAACTCTGAGAGTTGAACGCACACATCACGCAGCAGTTTCTGAGAATGATTCTGTCTAGTTTTGAAACGAAGACATTTCCTTTTCTGCCTTTGGCCTCAAAGTGCTTGAAATCTCCATTTGCAAATTCCACAAAAAGAGTGTTTCAAATCTGCTCTGTGTAAATGAAAGTTCAACTCTGTGAGTTGAACACACACAACACAAGGAAGTTACTGGGAATTCTTCTGTCTAGCAGAATATGAAGAAATCCCGTTTCCAACGAAGGCCTCAAAGAGGTCTGAATATCCACTTGCAGACTTTACAAACAGAGTGTTTCCTAACTGCTCTATGAAAAGAAAGGTTAAACTCTGTGAGTTGAACGCACACATCACAAAGGAGTTTATGAGAATCAATCTGTCTAGTTTTTCTACGAAGATATTTCCTTTTCTACTGTTGACCTCAAAGCGGCTGAAATCTCCACTTGCAAATTCCACAAAAAGAGTGTTTCAAGTCTGCTCTGTGTAAAGGATCGTTCAACTCTGTGAGTTCAATACACACAACACAAGGAAGTTACTGAGAATTCTTCTGTCTAGCAGAATATGAAGAAATCCCGTTTCCAACGAAGGCCACAAGATGTCAGAATATCCACTTACAGACTTTACAAACAGAGTGTTTCCTAACTGCTCTATGAAAAGAAAGGTTAAACTCTGTGAGTTGAGCGCACACATCACAAAGGAGTTTCTGAGAATCATTCTGTCTAGTTTTCAAACGAAGATATTTCCTTTTCTGCCATTGACCTTAAAGCGCTTGAAATCTACACTTGCAAATTGCACAAATAGAGTGTTTCAAATCTGCTCTGTCTAAGGGAACGTTCAACTCTGTGAGTTGAATGCACACAACACAAGGAAGTTACTGGGAATTCTTCTGTCTAGCCTTACATGAAAAAAAACCCCTTTCCAACGAAGGCCTCTAAGTGGTCAAAATATCCACGTGCAGTCTTTACAAACAGAGTGTTTCCAAACCGCTGAATGAAAAGAAAAGTTAAACTCTGAGAGTTGAACGCACACATCACGCAGCAGTTTCTGAGAATGATTCTGTCTAGTTTTTATACGAAGATATTTCCTTTTCTGCCTTTGGCCCCAAAGCGCTTGAAATCTCCTCTTGCAAATTCCACAAAAACAGTGTTTCAAATCTGCTCTCTCTAAATGAAAGTTCAACTCTGTCAGTTGAATACACACAACACAAGGAAGTTACTGAGAATTCTTCTGTCTAGCATAATATGAAGAAATCCCCGTTTCCAACGAAGGCCTCAAAGGGGTCTGAATATCCACTTGCAGACTTTATAAACAGAGTGTTTACTAACTGCTCTATGAAAAGAAAGGTTAAACTCTGTGAGTTGAACACACACATCACAAAGGAGTTTCTGAGAATGATTCTGTCTAGTTTCTATAAGAAGATATTTCCTATTCTACCATTGACCTCAAAGCGGCTGAAATCTCCACTTGCAAATTCGACAAAAAGAGTGTTTCAAGCCTGCTCTCTGTAAAGGGTCTTTCAACTCTGTGAGTTGAATACACACAACACAAGGCAAGTTACTGAGAATTATTCTGTCTAGCATAATATGAAGAAATCCCTTTTCCAACGAAGGCCTCAAAGAGGTCTGAATATCCACTTGCACACTTTACAAACAGAGTGTTTCCTAACTGCTCTATGAGAAGAAAAGTTAAACTCTGTGAGTTGAACGCACACATCACAAAATATTTTCTTAGAATCATTCTGTCTAGTTTTTATACGAAGATATTTCCTTTTCTACCATTGACCTCAAAGCGGCTGAAATCACCACTTGCCAATTGCACAAAAAGAGTGTTTCAAATCTGCTCTGTCTGAGGGAACGTTCAACTCTGTGAGTTGAATGTACACAACACAAGGAAGTTACTGGGAATTCTTCTGTCTAGCCTTAAAGGAAAAAAACCCGTTTCCAACGAAGGCCTCTAAGTGGTCAAAATATCCACGTGCAGACTTTACAAACAGAGTGTTTCCAAACTGCTGAATGAAAAGAAAAGTTAAACTCTGAGAGTTGAACGCACACATCGCAGAGCAGTTTCTGAGAATCATTCTGTCTAGTTTTTATACGAAGATATTTCCTTTTCTGCCTTTGGCCTCAAAGCGCTTGAAATCTCCACTTTCAAATTCCACAAAAAGAGTGTTTCAAATCTGCTCTGTGTAAATGAAAGTTCAACTCTGTGAGTTGAACACACACAACACAAGGAAGTTACTGGGAATTCTTCTGTCTAGCAGAATATGAAGAAATCCCGTTTCCAAAGAAGGCCTCAAGGAGGTCTGAATATCCACTTGCAGACTTTACAAACAGAGTGTTTCCTAACTGCTCTATGAACAGAAAGGTTAAACTCTGTGAGTTGAACGCACACATCACAAAGGAGTTTCTGAGAATCATTCTGTCTAGTTTCTATAGGAAGATATTTCCTATTCTACCATTGACCTCTAAGCGGCTGAAATCTCCACTTGCAAATTCCACAAAAAGAATGTTTCAAGTCTGCTCTGTGTAAAGGATCGTTCAACTTCTGTGAGTTGAATACACACAACACAAGGAAGTTACTGAGAATTCTTCTGTCTAGCATAATATGAAGAAATCCCGTTTCCAACGAAGGCCTCAAAGGGTTCTGAATATCCACATGCAGACTTTATAAACAGAGTGTTTACTAACTGCTGTATGAAAAGAAAGGTTAAACTCTGTGAGTTGAACACACACATCACAAAGGAGTTTCTGAGAATCATTCTGTCTAGTTTTTCTACGAAGATATTTTCTTTTCTACCATTGACCTCAAAGCGGCTGAAATCTCCACTTGCAAATTCCACAAAAAGAGTGTTTCAAGTCTGCTCTGTGTAAAGGATCGTTCAACTCTGTGAGTTGAATACACACAACACAAGGAAGTTACTGAGAATTCTTCTGTCTAGCCTTACATGAAAAAAACCCGTTTCCAACGAAGGCCTCTAAGTGGTCAAAATATCCACGTGCAGACTTTACAAACAGAGTGTTTCCAAACCGCTGAATGAAAAGAAAAGTTAAACTCTGAGAGTTGAACGCACACATCACACAGCAGTTTCTGAGAATGATTCTGTGTAGTTTTTCTACGAAGATATTTCCTTTTCTACTATTGACCTCAAAGCGGCTGAAATCTCCACTTGCAAATTCCACAAAAAGAGTGTTTCAAGTCTGCTCTGTGTAAAGGATCGTTCAACTCTGTGAGTTGCATACACACAACACAAGGAAGTTACTGAGAATTCTTCTGTCTAGCAGAATATGAAGAAATCCCGTTTCCAACGAAGGCCTCAAGGAGGTCTGAATATCCACTTGCAGACTTTACAAACAGAGTGTTTCCTAACTGCTCTATGAAAAGAAAGGTTAAACTCTGTGAGTTGAACGCACACATCACAAAGGAGTTTCTGAGAATCGTTCTGTCTAGTCTTTATACGAAGATAGTTTCCTTTTCTACCATTGACCTCAAAGCGGCTGAAATCTCCACTTGCAAATTCCACAAAAAGAGTGTTTCAAGTCTGCTCTGTGTAAAGGATCGTTCAACTCTGTGAGTTGAATACACACAACACAAGGAAGTTACTGAGAATTCTTCTGTCTAGCAGAATATGAAGAAATCCCGTTTCCAACGAAGGCCTCAAGGAGGTCTGAATATCCACTTGCAGACTTTACAAACAGAGTGTTTCCTAACTGCTCTATGAAAAGAAAGGTTAAACTCTGTGAGTTGAAGGCACACATCACAAAGGAGTTTATGATAATCATTCTGTCTAGTTTTGAAACGAAGATATTTCCTTTTCTGCCGTTGACCTTAAAGCGCTTGAAATCTACACTTGCAAATTGCACAAATAGAGTGTTTCAAATCTGCTCTGTCTAAGGGAACGTTCAACTCTGTGAGTTGAATGCACACAACACAAGGAAGTTAATGGGAATTCTTCTGTGTAGCCTTACATGAAAAAAAACCCGTTTCCAACGAAGGCCTCTAAGTGGTCAAAATATCCACGTGCAGACTTTACAAACAGAGTGTTTCCAAACCGCTGAATGAAAACAAAAGTTAAACTCTGAGAGTTGAACGCACACATCACGCAGCAGTTTCTGAGAATGATTCTGTCTAGTTTTTATACGAAGATATTTCCTTTTCTGCCTTTGGCCTCAAAGCGCTTGAAATCTCCACTTGCAAATTCCACAAAAAGAGTGTTTCAAATCTGCTCTGTGTAAATGAAAGCTCAACTCTGTGAGTTGAACACACACAACACAAGGAAGTTACTGGGAATTCTTCTGTCTAGCATAGTATGAAGAAATCCCGTTTCCAACGAAGGCCTCAATGAGGTCTGAATATCCACTTGCAGAGTTTACAAACAGAGTGTTTCCTACCTGCTCTATGAAAAGAAAGGTTAAACTCTGTGAGTTGAACGCACACATCACAAAGAAGATTCTGAGAATCATTCTGTCTAGTTTCTAAAGGAAGATATTTCCTATTCTACCATTGACCTCAAATCGGCTGAAATCTCCACTTGCAAATTCCACAAAAAGAGTGTTTCAAGTCTGCTCTGTGTAAAGGATCGTTCAACTCTGTGAGTTGAATACACACAACACAAGGAAGTTACTGAGAATTCTTCTGTCTAGCATAATATGAAGAAATCCCGTTTCCAACGTAGGCCTCAAGGAGGTCTGAATATCCACTTGCAGACTTTACAAACAGAGTGTTTCCTAACTGCTCTATGAAAAGAAAGGTTAAACTCTGTGAGTTGAATGCACACATCACAAAGGAGTTTCTGAGAATCATTCTGTCTAGTTTTGAAACGAAGATATTTCCTTTTCTGCCGTTGACCTTAAAGCGCTTGAAATCTACACTTGCAAATTGGACAAATAGAGTGTTTCAAATCTGCTCTGTCTAAGGGAACGTTCAACTCTGTGAGTTGAATGCACACAACACAAGGAAGTTACTGGGAATTCTTCTGTCTAGCCTTACATGAAAAAAACCCGTTTCCAACGAAGGCCTCGAAGTGTTCAAAATATCCACGTGCAGACTTTACAAACAGAGTGTTTCCAAACTGCTGAATGAAAAGAAAAGTTAAACTCTGAGAGTTGAACGCACACATCACAGAGCAGTTTCTGAGAATGATTCTGTCTTGTTTTTATACGAAGATATTTCCTTTTCTGCCTTTGGCCCCACAGCGCTTGAAATCTCCACTTGCAAATTCCACAAAAACAGTGTTTCAAATCTGCTCTCTATAAATGAAAGTTCAACTCTGTCAGTTGAATACACACAACACAAGGAAGTTACTGAGAATTCTTCTGTCTAGCCTTACATGAAAAAAACCCGTTTCCAATGAAGGCCTCAAAGAAGTCCAAATATCCACGTGCAGCCTTTACAAACAGAGTGTTTCCTAACTGCTCTATGAAAAGAAAGGTTAAACTCTGTGAGTTGAACGCACACATCACAAAGGAGTTTCTGAGAATCATTCTGTCTAATTTTTATATGAAGATATTTCCTTTTCAACCATTGACCTCAAAGCGGCTGAAATCTCCATATGCAAATTCCACAAAAAGAGTGTTTCAAGTCTGCTCTGTGTAAAGGATCGTTCAACTCTGTGAGTTGAATACACACAACACGAGGAAGTTACTGAGAATTCTTCTGTCTAGCAGAATATGAAGAAATCCCGTTTCCAACGAAGGCCTCAAAGAGGTCTCATTATCCACTTGCAGAATTTACAAACAGAGTGTTTCCTAACTGCTCTATGAAAAGAAAGGTTAAACTCTGTGAGTTGAACGCACACATCATAAAGGAGTTTCTGACAATCGTTCTGTGTAGTTTTGAAACGAAGATATTTCCTTTTCTGCCATTGACCTTAAAGCGCTTGAAATCTACACTTGCAAATTGCACAAATAGAGTGTTTCAAATCTGCTCTGTCTAAGGGAACGTTCAACTCTGTGAGTTGAATGCACACAACACAAGGAAGTTACTGGGAATTCTTCTGTCTAGCCTTACATGAAAAAAACCCGTTTCCAATGAAGGCCTCTAAGTGGTCAAAATATCCACGTGCAGACTTTACAAACAGAGTGTTTCCAAACCGCTGAATGAAAAGAAAAGTTAAACTCTGAGAGTTGAACGCACACATCACGCAGCAGTTTCTGAGAATGATTCTGTCTAGTTTTTATACGAAGATATTTCCTTTTCTGCCTTTGGCCTCAAAGCGCTTGAAATCTCCATTTGCAAATTCCACGAAAAGAGTGTTTCAAATCTGCTCTGTGTACATGAAAGTTCAACTCTGTGAGTTGAACACACACAACACAAGGAAGTTACTGGGAATTCTTCTGTCTAGCATAATATGAAGAAATCCCGTTTCCAACGAATGCCTCAAGGAGGTCTGAATATCCACTTGCAGACTTTACAAACAGAGTGTTTCCTAACTGCTCTATGAAAAGAAAGGTTAAACTATGTGAGTTGAACGCACACATGACAAAGGAGTTTCTCAGAATCATTCTGTCTAGTTGTTATACGAAGATATTTCCTTTTCTACCATGGACCTCAAAGCGGCTGAAATCTCCACTTGCAAATTCCACAGAAAGAGTGTTTCAAATCTGCTCTGTGTAAACAATCGTTCAACTGTGTGAGTTGAATACACACAACACAAGGAAGATTCTGAGAATTCTTCTGTCTAGCATAATATGAAGAAATCCCGTTTCCAACGAAGGCCACAAGATGTCAGAATATCCACTTACAGACTTTACAAACAGAGTGTTTCCTAACTGCTCTATGAAAAGAAAGGTTAAACTCTGTGAGTTGAACGAGCACATCACAACGCAGTTTGTGGGAATGATTCTGTCTAGTTTTGAAACGAAGATATTTTCTTTTCTGCCGTTGACCTTAAAGCGCTTGAAATCTACACTTGCAAATTGCACAAATAGAGTGTTTAAAATCTGCTCTGTCTAAGGGAACGTTCAATTCTGTGAGTTGAATGCACACAACACAAGGAAGTTACTGGGAATTCTTCTGTCTAGCCTTACATGAAAAAAACCCGTTTCCAACGAAGACCTCAAAGAAGTCCAAATATCCACGTGCAGACGTTACAAACAGAGTGTTTCCTAACTGCTCTATGAAAAGAAAGGTTAAACTCTGTGAGTTGAACGCCCACATCACAAAGGAGTTTCTGAGAATCATTCTGTCTAGTTTTTATAGGAAGATATTTCCTTTTCTGCCTTTGGCCTCAAAGCGCTTGAAATCTCCACCTGCAAATTCCACAAAAAGAGTGTTTCAAATCTGCTCTGTGTAAATGAAAGTTCAACTCTGTGAGTTGAACACACACAACACAAGGAAGTTACTGGGAATTCTTCTGTCAAGCAGAACATGAAGAAATCCCGCTTCCAACGAAGGCCTCAAAGAAGTCTGAATATCCACTTGCAGACTTTACAAACAGAGTGTTTCCCAACTGCTCTATGAAAAGAAAGGTTGAACTCTGTGAGTTGAACGCACACATCAGAAAGGAATTTCTGAGAATCATTCTGTCTAGTTTTTATAGGAAGATATTTCCTTTTCTACCTTTGACTTCAAAGCGGCTGAAATCTCCACTTCCAAATTCTACAAAAAGAGTGTTACAAGTCTGCTCTGTGTAAAGGATCGTTCAACTCTGTGAGTTGAATACACACAACACAAGGAAGTTACTGAGAATTCTTCTGTCTAGCAGAATATGAAGAAATCCCGTTTCCAACGAAGGCCACAAGATGTCAGAATATCCACTTGCAGACTTTACAAACAGAGTGTTTCCTAACTGCTCTATGAACAGAAAGGTTAAACTCTGTGAGTTGAACGAACACATCACAACGCAGTTTGTGGGAATGATTCTGTCTAGTTTTGAAACGAAGATATTTGCTTTTCTGCCATTGACCTTAAAGCGCTTGAAATCTCCACTTGCCAATTGCACAAAAAGTGTGTTTCAAATCTGCTCTGTCTAAGGGAACGTTCAACTCTGTGAGTTGAATGTACACAACACAAGGAAGTTACTGGGAATTCTTCTGTCTAGCCTTACAGGAAAAAAACCCGTCTCCAACGAAGGCCTCTAAGTGGTCAAAATATCCACGTGCAGACTTTACAAACAGAGTGTTTCCAAACTGCTGAATGAAAAGAAAAGTTAAACTCTGAGAGTTGAACGCACACATCGCAGAGCAGTTTCTGAGAATGATTCTGTCTTGTTTTTATACGAGGATATTTCCTTTTCAGCCTTTGGCCGCAAAGCGCTTGAAATCTCCACTTGCAAATTCCACAAAAACAGTGTTTCAAATCTGCTCTCTCCAAATGAAAGTTCAACTCTGTCAGTTGAATACACACAACACAAGGAAGTTACTGAGAATTCTTCTGTCTAGCACAGTATGAAGAAATCCCATTTCCAACGAAGGCCTCAAAGACGTCTGAATATCCACTTGCAGAGTTCACAAACAGAGTGTTTCCTAACTGCTCTATGAAAAGAAAGGTTAAACTCTGTGAGTTGAACTGCACACATCACAATGAAGTTTCTGAGAATCATTCTGTCTAGTCTTTATACGAAGATATTTACTTTTCTACCGTTGACCTCAAAGCGGCTGAAATCTCCACTTGCAAATTCCACAAAAAGAGTGTTTCAAGTCTGCTCTTTGTAAAGGATCATTCAACTCTGTGAGTTGAATAAACACAACACAAGGAAGTTACTGAGAATTCTTCTGTCCAGCATAATATGAAGAAATCCCTTTTCCAGCGAAGGCCTCAAGGATGTCTGAATATCCACTTGCAGACTTTACAAACAGAGTGTTTCCTAACTGCTCTATGAAAAGAAAGGTTAAACTCTGTGAGTTGAACGCACACATCACAAAGGAGTTTCTGAGAATCATTCTGTCTAGTTTTAATAGGAAGATATTTCCTTTTCTACCTTTGACTTCAAAGCGGCTGAAATCTCCACTTGCAAATTCCACAAAAAGAGTGTTACAAGTCTGCTCTGTGTAAAGGATCGTTCAACTGTGTGAGTTGAATACACACAACACAAGGAAGTTACTGAGAATTCTTCTGTCTAGCCTTACATGAAAAAAACCCGTTTCCAACGAAGGCCTCTAAGTGGTCAAATTATCCACGTGCAGACTTTACAAACAGAGTGTTTCCAAACTGCTGAATGAAAAGAAAAGTTAAACTCTGAGAGTTGAACGCACACATCGTAGAGCAGTTTCTGAGAATGATTCTGTCTAGTTTTTATACGAAGATATTTCTTTTCTGCCTTTGGCCCCAAAGCGCTTGAAATCTCCATTTGCAAATTCCACAAAAACAGTGTTTCAAATCTGCTCTCTCTAAATGAAAGTTCAACTCTGTCAGTTGAATACACACAACACAAGGAAGTTACTGAGAATTCTTCTGTCTAGCACAGTATGAAGAAATCCCGTTTCCAACGAAGGCCTCAAAGAGGTCTGAATATCCACTTGCAGAGTTTACAAACAGAGTGTTTCCTAACCGCTCTATGAAAAGAAAGGTTAAACTCTGTGAGTTGAACGCACACATCACAATGAAGTTTCTGAGAATCATTCTGTCTAGTTTTTATACGAAGATATTTCCTTTTCTACCATTGACCTCAAAGCGGCTGAAATCTCCACTTGCAAATTCCACAAAAAGAGTGTTTCAAATCTGCTCGTGTAAACCATCGTTCAACTCTGTGAGTTGAATACACACAACACAAGGAAGATTCTGAGAATTCTTCTGTCTAACAGAATATGAAGAAATCCCGATTCCCACGAAGGCCACAAGATGTCAGAATATCCACTTACAGACTTTACAAACAGAGTGTTTCCTAACTGCTCTATGAACAGAAAGGTTAAACTCTGTGAGTTGAACGAACACATCACAACGCAGTTTGTGGGAATGATTCTGTCTAGTTTTGAAACGAAGATATTTCCTTTTCTGCCGTTGACCTTAAAGAGCTTGAAAACTACACTTGCAAATTGCACAAATAGAGTGTTTCAAATCTGCTCTGTCTAAGGGAACGTTCAACTCTGTGAGTTGAATGCACACAACACAAGGAAGTTACTGGGAATTCTTCTGTCTAGCCTTACATAAAAAAAAACCGTTTCCAACGAAGGCCTCTAAGTGGTCAAAATATCCACGTGCAGACTTTACAGAGTGTTTCCAAACCGCTGAATGAAAAGAAAAGTTAAACTCTGAGAGTTGAACGCACACATCACGCAGCAGTTTCTGAGAATGATTCTGTCTAGTTTTTATACGAAGATATTTCCTTTTCTGCCTTTGGCCCCAAAGCGCTTGAAATCTCCACTTGCAAATTCCACAAAAACAGTGTTTCAAATCTGCTCTCTCTAAATGAAAGTTCAACTCTGTGAGTTGAATACACACAACACAAGGAAGTTACTGAAAATTCTTCTGTGTAGCATAATATGAAGAAATCCCGTTTCCAACGAAGGCCTCAAAGAGGTCTGAATATCCACTTGCAGACTTTACAAACAGAGTGTTTCCTAACTGCTCTATGAAAAGAAAAGTTAAACTCTGTGAGTTGAACGCACACATCACAAAGGAGTTTATGAGAATCATTCTGTCTAGTTTTTATATGAAGATATTTCCTTTTCTACCATTGACCTCAAAGCGGCTGAAATCTCCACTTGCAAATTCCACAAAAAGAGTGTTTCAAATCTGCTCTGTGTAAACCATCGTTCAACTCTGTGAGTTGAATACACACAACACAAGGAAGATTGTGAGAATTCTTCTGTCTAGCAGAATATGAAGAAATCCAGTTTCCAACGAAGGCCTCAACGAGGTCTGAATATCCACTTGCAGACTTTACAAACAGAGTGTTTCCTAACTGCTCTATGAAAAGAAAGGTTAAACTCTGTGAGTTGAACACACACATCACAAAGGAGTTTCTGAGAATCATTCTGTCTAGTTTTGAAACGAAGATATTTCCTTTTCTGCCATTGACCTGAAAGCGCTTGAAATCTACACTTGCAAATTGCGCAAATAGAGTGTTTCAAATCTGCTCTGTCTAAGGGAACGTTCAACTCTGTGAGTTGAATGCACACAACACAAGGAAGTTACTGGGAATTCTTCTGTCTAGCCTTACATGAAAAAAAACCCGTTTCCAACGAAGGCCTCTAAGTGGTCAAAATATCCACGTGCAGTTTTTACAAACAGAGTGTTTCCAAACCGCTGAATGAAAAGAAAAGTTAAACTCTGAGAGTTGAACGCACACATCACGCAGCAGTTTCTGAGAATGATTCTGTCTAGTTTTGAAACGAAGATATTTCCTTTTCTGTCTTTGGCCTCAAAGCGCTTGAAATCTCCATTTGCAAATTCCACAAAAAGAGTCTTTCAAATCTGCTCTGTGTAAATGAAAGTTCAACTCTGTGAGTTGAACACACACAACACAAGGATGTTAGTGGGAATTCTTCTGTCTAGCCTTATATGAAAAAAACCCGTTTCCAACGAAGGCCTCAAAGAGGTCTGAACATCCACTTGCAGACTTTACAAACAGAGTGTTTCCTAACTGCTCTATGAAAAGAAAGGTTAAACTCTGTGAGTTGAACGCACACATCACAAAGGAGTTTCTGAGAATCATTCTGTCTATTTTCTATAGGAAGATATTTCCTATTCTACCATTGACCTCAAAGCGGCTGAAATCTCCACTTGCAAATTCCACAAAAAGAGTGTTTCAAGTCTGCTCCTGTGTAAAGGATCGTTCAACTCTGTGAGTTGAATACACACAACACAAGGAAGTTACTGAGAATTCTTCTGTCTAGCATAATATGAAGAAATCCCGTTTCCAACGAAGGCCTCAAAGGGGTCTGAATATCCACTTGCAGACTTTATAAACAGCGTGTTTCCTAACTGCTCTATGAAAAGAAAGGTTAAACTCTCTGAGTTGAACGGCACACATCACAAAGGAGTTTCTGAGAATCATTCTGTCTAGTTTTGAAACGAAGATATTTCCTTTTCTGCCATTGACCTTAAAGCGCTTGAAATCTCCACTTGCCAATTGCACAAAAAGAGTGTTTCAAATCTGCTCTGTCTAAGGGAACGTTCAACTCTGTGAGTTGAATGTACACAACACAAGGAAGTTACTGGGAATTCTTCTGTCTAGCATAATATGAAGAAATCCCGTTTCCAACGAAGGCCTCAAAGGAGGTCTGAATATCCACTTGCAGACTTTACAAACAGAGTGTTTCCTAACTGCTCTATGAAAAGAAAAGTTATACTCTGTGTGTTGAACGTACACATCACAAAGGAGTTTCTGAGAATCATTCTGTCTACTTTTTATACGAAGATATTTCCTTTTCTGCCTTTGGCCCCAAAGCGCTTGAAATCTCCACTTGCAAATTCCACAAAAACAGTGTTTCAAATCTGCTCTCTCTAAATGAAAGTTCAATTCTGTCAGTTGAATACACACAACACAAGGAAGTTACTGAGAATTCTTCTGTCTAGCCTTATATGAAAAAAACCCGTTTCCAACGAAGGCCTCAAACAGGTCTGAATATCCACTTGCAGACTTTACAAACAGAGTGATTCCTAACTGCTCTATGAAAAGAAAGGTTAAACTCTGTGAGTTGAACACACACATCACAAAGGAGTTTCTGAGAATCATTCTGTCTAGTTTTTCTACGACGATATTTCCTTTTCTACTATTGACCTCAAAGCGGCTGAAATCTCCAATTGCAAATTCCACAAAAAGAGTGTTTCAAGTCTGCTCTGTGTAAAGGATCGTTCAACTCTGTGAGTTGAATACACACAACACAAGGAAGTTACTGAGAATTCTTCTGTCTAGCAGAATATGAAGAAATCCCGTTTCCAACGAAGGCCTCAAAGAGGTCTGAATATCCACTTGCAGACTTTACAAACAGAGTGTTTCCTAACTGCTCTATGAACAGAAAGGTTAAACTCTGTGAGGTGAACGAACACATCACAACGCAGTTTGTGGGAATGATTCTGTCTAGTTTTGAAACGAACATATTTCCTTTTCTGCCATTGACCTTAAAGCGCTTGAAATCTCCACTTGCCAATTGCACAAAAAGAGTGTTTCAAATCTGCTCTGTCTAAGGGAACGTTCAACTCTGTGAGTTGAATGTACACAACACAAGCAAGTTACTGGGAATTCTTCTGTCTAGCCTTACAGGAAAAAAAACCCGTTTCCAACGAAGGCCTCTAAGTGGTCAAAATATCCACGTGCAGACTTTACAAACAGAGTGTTTCCAAACTGCTGAATGAAAAGAAAAGTTAAACTCTGAGAGTTGAACGCACACATCGCAGAGCAGTTTCTGAGAATCATTCTGTCTAGTTTTTCTACGAAGATATTTCCTTTTCTACTATTGACCTCAACGCGGCTGAAATCTCCACTTGCAAATTCCACAAAAAGAGTGTTTCAAGTCTGCTCTGTGTAAAGGATCGTTCAACTCTGTGAGTTGAATACACACAACACAAGGAAGTTACTGAGAATTCTTCTGTCTAGCAGAATAGGAAGAAATCCCGTTTCCAACGAAGGCCTCAAGGAGGTCTGAATATCCACTTGCAGACTTTACAAACAGAGTGTTTCCTAACTGCTCTATGAACAGAAAGGTTAAACTCTGTGAGTTGAACGCACACATCACAAAGGAGTTTCTGAGAATCATTCTGTATAGTCTGTATAAGAAGATATTTCCTTTTCTACCATTGACCTCAAAGCGGCTGAAATCTCCACTTGCAAATTCCACAAAAAGAGTGTTTCAACTCCGCTCTGTGTAAAGGATCGTTCAACTCTGTGAGTTGAATACACACAACACAAGGAAGTTACTGAGAATTCTTCTGTCTAGCAGAATATGAAGAAATCCCGTTTCCAACGAAAGCCTCAAGGATGTCTGAATATCCACTTGCAGACTTTACAAACAGAGTGTTTCCTAACTGCTCTATGAAAAGAAAGGGTAAACTCTGTGAGTTGAACGCACACATCACAAAGGAGTTTCTGAGAATCATTCTGTCTAGTTTTTATACGAAGATATTTCCTTTTCTACCATTGACCTCAAAGCGGCTGAAATCTCCACTTGCAAATTCCACAAAACGAGCGTTTCAAGTCTGCTCTGTGTAAAGGATCGTTCAACTCTGTGAGTTGAATACACACAACACAAGGAAGTTACTGAGAATTCTTCTGTCTAGCCTTACATGAAAAAAACCCGTTTCCAACGAAGGCCTCTAAGTGGTCAAATTATGCACGTGCAGACTTTACAAACAGAGTGTTTCCAAACTGCTGAATGAAAAGAAAAGTTAAACTCTGAGAGTTGAACGCACACATCGCAGAGCAGTTTCTGAGAATGATTCTGTCTAGTTTTTATACGAAGATATTTCCTTTTCTGCCTTTGGCCCCAAAGTGCTTGAAATCTCCACTTGCAAATTCCACAAAAACAGTGTTTCAAATCTGCTCTCTCTAAATGAAAGTTCAACTCTGTCAGTTGAATACACACAACACAAGGTAAGTTACTGAGAATTCTTCTCTCTAGCATTATATGAAGAAATCCCGTTTCCAACGAAGGCCTCAAAGATGTCTGAATATCCACTTGCAGACTTTACAAACAGAGTGTTTCCTAACTGCTCTATGAAAAGAAAGGTTCAACTCTGTGAGTTGAACGCAGACATCACAAAGGAGTTTCTGAGAATCACTCTGTCTAGTTTTTATACGAAGATATTTCCTTTTCTACCATTGACCTCAAAGCGGCTGAAATCTCCACTTGCAAATTACACAAAAAGAGTGTTTCAAGTCTACTCTGTGTAAAGGATCGTTCAACTCTGTGAGTTGAAAACACACAACACAAGGAAGTTTCTGAGAATTCTTCTGTCTAGCAGAATATGAAGAAATCCCGTTTCCAACGAAGGCCACAAGATGTCAGAATATCCACTTACAGAATTAACAAACAGACTGTTTCCTAACTGCTCTATGAAAAGAAAGGTTAAACTCTGTGAGTTGAACAAACACATCACAACGCAGTTTGTGGGAATGATTCTGTCTAGTTTTGAAACGAAGATATTTCCTTTTCTGCCATTGACCTTAAAGCGCTTGAAATCTACACTTGCAAATTGCACAAATAGAGTGTTTCAAATCTGCTCTGTCTAAGGGAACGTTCAACTGTGTGAGTTGAATGCACACAACACAAAGAAGTTACTGGGAATTCTTCTGTCTAGCCTTACATGAAATAAACCCGTTTCCAACGAAGGCCTCTAAGTGGTCAAAATATCCACGTGCAGACTTTACAAACAGAGTGTTTCCAAACCGCTGAATGAAAAGAAAAGTTAAACACTGAGAGTTGAACGCACACATCACGCAGCAGTTTCTGAGAATGATTCTGTCTAGTTTTTATACGAAGATATTTCCTTTTCTGCCTTTGGCCCGAAAGCGCTTGAAATCTCCACTTGCAAATTCCACAAAAACAGTGTTTCAAATCTGCTCTCTCTAAATGAAAGTTCAACTCTGTCAGTTGAATACACACAACACAAGGAAGTTACTGAGAATTCTTCTGTCTAGCATAATATGAAGAAATCTTGTTTCCAACGAAGGCCTCAAAGAGGTCTGAATATCCACTTGCAGACTTTACAAACAGAGTGTTTCCTAACTGCTCTATGAAAAGAAAAGTTTAACTCTGTGTGTTGAACGCACACATCACAAAGGAGTTTCTGAGAATCATTCTGTCTAGTTTTTCTATGAAGATATTTCCTTTTCCACTATTGACCTCAAAGCGGCTGAAATCTCCACTTGCAAATTCCACAAAAAGAGTGTCTCAAGTCTGCTCTGTGTAAAGGATCGTTCCACTCTGTGAGTTGAATACACACAACACAAGGAAGTTACTGAGAATTCTTCTGTCTAGCAGAATATGAAGAAATCCCGTTTCCATCGAAGGCCACAAGATGTCAGAATATCCACTTACAGAATTGACAAACAGACTGTTTCCTAACTGCTCTATGAAAAGAAAGGTTAAACTCTGTGAGTTGAACGAACACATCACAACGCAGTTTGTGGGAATGATTCTGTCTAGTTTTGAAACGAAGATATTTCCTTTTCTGCCATTGACCTTAAAGCGCTTGAAATCTCCGCTTGCCAATTGCACAAAAAGAGTGTTTCAAATCTGCTCTGTCTAAGGGAACGTTCAACTCTGTGAGTTGAATGTACACAACACAAGGAAGTTATTGGGAATTCTTCTGTCTAGCATAATAGGAAGAAATCCCGTTTCCAACGAAGGCCTCAAAGAGGTCTGAATATCCACTTGCAGACTTTACAAACAGAGTGTTTCCAAACCGCTGAATGAAAAGAAAAGTTAAACTCTGAGAGTTGAACGCACGCATCACGCAGCAGTTTCTGAGAATTATTCTGTCTAGTTTTTATACGAAGATATTTCCTTTTCTGCCTTTGGCCCCAAAGCGCTTGAAATCTCCACTTGCAAATTCCACAAAAACAGTGTTTCAAATCTGCTCTCTCTAAATGAAATTTCAACTCTGTCAGTTGAATACACACAACACAAGGAAGTTACTGAGAATAGTTCTGTCTAGCATAATATGAAGAAATCCCGTTTCCAACGAAGGCCTCAAGGAGGTCTGAATATCCACTTGCAGACTTTACCAACAGAGTGTTTCCTAACTGCTCTATGAAAAGAAAGGTTAAACTCTGTGAGTTGAACGCACACATCACAAAGGAGTTTCTGAGAATCATTCTGTCTAGTTTTTATAGGAAGATATTTCCTTTTCTACCTTTGACTTCAAAGCGGCTGAATTCTCCACTTGCAAATTCCACAAAAAGAGTGTTACAACTCTGCTCTGTGTAAAGGATCGTTCAACTCTGTGAGTTGAATACACACAACACAAGGAAGTTACTGAGAATTCTTCTGTCTAGCAGAATATGAAGAAAACCCGTTTCCAACGAAGGCCTCAAAGAGGTCTGAATATCCACTTGCAGACTTTACAAACAGAGTGTTTCCTAACTGCTCTATGAAAAGAAAGGTTAAACTCTGTGAGTTGAATGCACACATCACAAAGGAGTTTCTGAGAATCATTCTGTCTAGTTTCTATAGTAAGATATTTCCTATTCTACCATTGACCTCAAAGCGGCTGAAATCTCCACTTGCAAATTCCACAAAAAGAGTGTTTCAAGTCTGCTCTGTGTAAAGGATCATTCAACTCTGTGAGTTGAATAAACACAACACAAGGAAGTTACTGAGAATTCTTCTGTCTAGCCTTACATGAAAAAATCCCGTTTCCAACGAAGGTCTCTAAGTTGTCAAAATTTCCACGTGCAGACTTTACAAACAGAGTGTTTCCAAACCGCTGAATGAAAAGAAAAGTTAAACTCTGAGAGTTGATCGCACACATCATGCAGCAGTTTCTGAGAATGATTCTGTCTAGTTTTTATAAGAAGATATTTCCTTTTCTGCCTTTGGCCTCAAAGCACTTGAAATCTCCACTTGCAAATTCCACAAAAAGAGTGTTTCCAATCTGCTCTGTGTAAATGAAAGTTCAACTCTGTGAGTTGAACACACACAACACAAGGAAGTTATTGGGAATTCTTCTGTCTAGCAGAATATGAAGAAATCCCGCTTCCAACGAAGGCCTCAAAGAGGTCTGAATATCCACTTGCAGACTTTACAAACAGAGTGTTTCCCAACTGCTCTATGAAAAGAAAGGTTGAACTCTGTGAGTTGAACGCACACATCACAAAGGAGTTTCTGAGAATCATTCTGTCTAGTTTTTATACGAAGATATTTCCTTTTCTACCATTGACCTCAAAGCGGCTGAAATCTCCACTTGCAAATTCCACAAAAAGAGTGTTTCAAGTCTGCTCTGTGTAAAGGATCTTTCAACTCTGTGAGTTGAATACACACAACACAAGGAAGTTACTGAGAATTCTTCTGTCTAGCAGAATATGAAGAAATCCCGTTTCCAACGAAGGCCACAAGATGTCAGAATATCCACTTACAGAATTTACAAACAGACTGTTTCCCAACTGCTCTATGAAAAGAAAGGTTAAACTCTGTGAGTTGAACGCACACATCACAATGAAGTTTCTGAGAATCATTCTGTCTAGTTTTGAAACGAAGATATTTCCTTTTCTGCCGTTGACCTTAAAGCGCTTGAAATCTACACTTGCAAATTGCACAAATAGAGTGTTTCAAATCTGCTCTGTCTAAGGGAACGTTCAACTCTGTGAGTTGAATGCACACAACACAAGGAAGTTACTGGGAATTCTTCTGTCAAGCCTTACATGAAAAAAACCCGTTTCCAACGAAGGCCTCTAAGTGGTCAAAATTTCCACGTGCAGACTTTACAAACAGAGTGTTTCCAAACCGCTGAATGAAAAGAAAAGTTAAACTCTGAGAGTTGAACGCACACATCACGCAGCAGTTTCTGAGAATGATTCTGTCTAGTTTTGAAACGAAGATATTTCCTTTTCTGCCTTTGGCCTCAAAGCGCTTGAAATCTCCACTTGCAAATTCCACAAAAAGAGTGTTTCAAATCTGCTCTGTGTAAATGAAAGTTCAACTCTGTGAGTTGAACACACACAACACAAGGAATTTACTGGGAATTCTTCTGTCTAGCAGAATATGAAGAAATCCCGTTTCCAACGAAAGCCTCAAAGATGTCTGAATATCTACCTGCAGACTTTACAAACAGAGTGTTTCCTAACTGCTCTATGAAAAGAAAGGTTAAACTCTGTGAGTTGAACGCACACATCACAAAGGAGTTTCTGAGAATCATTCTGTCTAGTTTTTCTACGAAGATATTTCCTTTTCTACTATAGACCTCAAAGCGGCTGAAATCTCCACTTGCAAATTCCACAAAAAGAGTGTTTCAAGTCTGCTCTGTGTAAAGGATCGTTCAACTCTGTGAGTTGAATACACACAACACAAGGAAGTTACTGAGAATTCTTCTATATAGCAGAATATGAAGAAATCCCGTTTCCAAAAAAAGCCTCAATGATGTCTGAATATCCACCTGCAGACATTACAAACAGAGTGTTTCCTAACTGCTCTATGAAAAGAAACTTTAAACTCTGTGAGTTGAACGCACACAGCACCAAGGAGTTTCTGACAATCATTCTGTCTAGTTTTTATACGAAGATATTTCCTTTTCTACCATTGACCTCAACGCGGCTGAAATCTCCACTTGCAAATTCCACAAAAAGAGTGTTCCAAGTCTGCTCTGTGTAAAGGATCGTTCAACTCTGTGAGTTGAATACCCACAACACAAGGAAGTTACTGAGAATTCTTCTGTCTAGCAGAATATGAAGAAATCCCTTTTCCAACGAAGGCCACAAGATGTCAGAATATCCACTTACAGAATTGACAAACAGACTGTTTCCTAACTGCTCTATGAAAAGAAAGGTTAAACTCTGTGAGTTGAACGAACACATCACAACGCAGTTTGTGGGAATGATTCTGTCTAGTTTTGAAACGAAGATATTTCCTTTTCTGCTTTGACCTTAAAGCGCTTGAAATCTCCACTTGCCAATTGCACAAAAAGAGTGTTTCAAATCTGCTCTGTCTAAGGGAACGTTCAACTCTGTGAGTTGAATGTACACAACACAAGGAAGTTACTGGGAATTCTTCTGTCTGGCCTTACATGAAAAAAACCCGTTTCCAACGAAGGCCTCTAAGTGGTCAAAATTTCCACGTGCAGACTTTACAAACAGAGTGTTTCCAAACCGCTGAATGAAAAGAAAAGTTAAACTCTGAGAGTTGAACGCACACATCACGCAGCAGTTTCTGAGAATGATTCTGTCTAGTTTTGAAACGAAGATATTTCCTTTTCTGCCTTTGGCCTCAAAGCGCTTGAAATCTCCACTTGCAAATTCCACAAAAAGAGTGTTTCAAATCTGCTCTGGGTAAATGAAAGTTAAACTCTGTGAGTTGAACACACACAACACAAGGAAGTTACTGGGAATTCTTCTGTCTAGCATAATATGAAGAAATCCCGTTTCCAACGAAGGCCTCAAAGAGGTCTGAATATCCACTTGCAGACTTTATAAACAGAGTGTTTCCTAACTGCTCTATGAAAAGAAAAGTTAAACTCTGTGAGTTGAACGCACACATCACAAAGGAGTTTCTGAGAATCATTCTGTCTAGTTTTTATAGGAAGATATTTCCTTTTCTACCTTTGACGTCAAAGCGGGTGAAATCTCCACTTGCAAATTCCACAAAAAGAGTGTTACAAGTCTGCTCTGTGTAAGGGATCGTTCAACTCTATGAGTTGAATACACACAACACAAGGAAGTTACTGAGAATTCTTCTGTCTAGCAGAATATGAAGAAATCCCGTTTCCAACAAAGGCCACAAGATGTCAGAATATCCACTTACAGACTTTACAAACAGAGTGTTTCCTAACTGCTCTATGAACAGAAAGGTTAAACTCTGTGAGTTGAACGAACACATCACAACGCAGTTTGTGGGAATGATTCTGTCTAGTTTTGAAACGAAGATATTTCCTTTTCTGCCATTGACCTTAAAGCGCTTGAAATCTCCACTTGCCAATTGCACAAAAAGAGTGTTTCAAATCTGCTCTGTCTAAGGGAACGTTCAACTCTGTGAGTTGAATGTACACAACACAAGGAAGTTACTGGGAATTCTTCTGTCTAGCCTTACAGGAAAGAAAACCGTTTCCAACGAAGGCCTCTAAGTGGTCAAAATATCCACGTGCAGACTTTACAAACAGAGTGTTTCCAAACTGCTGAATGAAAAGCAAAGTTAAACTCTGAGAGTTGAACGCACACATCGCAGAGCAGTTTCTGAGAATGATTCTGTCTAGTTTTTATACGAAGATATTTCCTTTTCTGCCTTTGGCCTCAAAGCGCTTGCAATCTCCACTTGCAAATTCCACAAAAAGAGTGTTTCCAATCTGCTCTGTGTAAATGAAAGTTCAACTCTGTGAGTTGAACACACACAACACAAGGAAGTTACTGGGAATTCTTTCTCTCTAGCAGAATATGAAGAAATCCCGTTTCCAACGAAAGCCTCAAAGATGTCTGAATATCCTCTTGCAGACTTTACAAACTGAGTGTTTCCTAACTGCTCTATGTAAAGAAAGGTTAAACTCTGTGAGTTGAACGCACACATCACAAAGGAGTTTCTGAGAATCATTCTGTCTAGTTTCTATAGGAAGATATTTCCTATTCTACCATTGACCTCAAAGCGGCTGAAATCTCCACTTGCAAATTCCACAAAAAGAGTGTTTCAAGTCTGCTCTGTGTAAAGGATCGTTCAACTCTGTGAGTTGAATACACACAACACAAGGAACTTACTGAGAATTCTTCTGTCTAGCATAATATGAAGAAATCCCGTTTCCAACGAAGGCCTCAAGGAGGTCTGAATATCCACTTGCACACTTTACAAACAGAGTGTTTCCTAACTGCTCTATGAAAAGAAAGGTTAAACTCTGTGAGTTGAACGCACACATCACAAAGGAGTTTCTGAGAATCATTCTGTCTAGTTTTGAAACGAAGATATTTCCTTTTCTGCCGTTGACCATAAAGCGCTTGAAATCTACACTTGCAAATTGCACAAATAGAGTGTTTCAAATCTGCTCTGTCTAAGGGAACGTTCAAGTCTGTGAGTTGAATGCACACAACACAAGGAAGTTACTGGGAATTCTTCTGTCTAGCCTTACAGGAAAAAAACCCGTTTCCAACGAAGTCCTCTAAGTGGTCAAGTTATCCAAGTGCAGACTTTACAACCAGAGTGTTTCCAAACTGCTGAATGAAAAGAAAAGTTAAACTCTGAGAGTTGAACGCACACATCGCAGAGCAGTTTCTGAGAATGATTCTGTCTAGTTTTTATACGAAGATATTTCCTTTTCTGCCTTTGGTCCCAAAGCGCTTGAAATCTCCACTTGCAAATTCCACAAAAACAGTGTTTCAAATCTGCTCTCTCTAAATGAAAGTTCAACTCTGTCAGTTGAATACACACAACACAAGGAAGTTACTGAGAATTCTTCTGTCTAGCAGAATATGAAGAAATCCCGTTTCCAACGAAGGCCTCAAAGAGGTCTGAATATCCACTTGCAGACTTTACAAACAGAGTGTTTCCTAACTGCTCTATGAAAAGAAAGTTTAAACTCTGTGAGTTGAACGCACACATCACAAAGGAGTTTCTGAGAATCGTTCTGTCTAGTTTCTATAGGAAGATATTTCCTATTCTACCATTGACCTCAAAGCGGCTGAAATCTCCAGTTGCAAATTCCACGAAAAGAATGTTTCAAGTCTGCTCTGTGTAAAGGATCGTTCAACTCTGTGAGTTGAATACACACAACACAAGGAAGTTACTGAGAGTTCTTGTGTCTAGCAGAATATGAAGAAATCCCGTTTCTAACGAAGGCCACAAGATGTCAGAATATCCCCTTACAGACTTTACAAACAGAGTGTTTCCTAACTGCTCTATGAAAAGAAAGGTTAAACCCTGTGAGTTGAACGAACACATCACAACGCAGTTTGTGGGAATGATTCTGTCTAGTTTTGAAACGAAGATATTTCCTTTTCTGCCTTTGGTCTCAAAGCGCTTGAAATCTCCACTTGCCAATTCCACATAAAGAGGGTTTCAAATCTGCTCTGTCTAAATGAAAGTTCAACCCTGTCAGTTGAATACACACCACACAAGGGAGTTTCTGAGAATTCTTCTGTCTAGCCTTACATGAAAAAAACCCGTTTCCAACGAAGGCCTCTAAGTGGTCAAAATATCCACGTGCAGACTTTACAAACAGAGTGTTTCCAAACCGCTGAATGAAAAGAAAAGTTAAACTCTGAGAGTTGAACGCACACATCACGCAGTAGTTTCTGAGAATGATTCTGTCTAGTTTTGAAACGAAGATATTTCCTTTTCTGGCTTTGGCCTCAAAGCGCTTGAAATCTCCATTTGCAAATTCCACAAAAAGAGTGTTGCAAATCTGCTCTGTGTAAATGAAAGTTCAACTCTGTGAGTTGAACACACACAACACAAGGAAGTTACTGGGAATTCTTCTGTCTAGCATAGTATGAAGAAATCCCGTTTCCAACGAAGGCCTCAAAGAGGTTTGAATATCCACTTGCAGAGTTTACAAACAGAGTGTTTCCTAACTGCTCTATGAAAAGAAAGGTTAAACTCTGTGAGTTGAACGCACACATCACAAAGAAGTTTCTGAGAATCATTCTGTCTAGTTTTTATACGAAGATATTTCCTTTTCTACCATTGACCTCAACGCGGCTGAAATCTCCACTTGCAAATTCCATCAAAAGAGTGTTTCAAGTCCGCTCTGTGTAAAGGATCGTTCAACTCTGTGAGATGAATACACACAACACAAGGAAGTTACTGAGAATTCTTCTGTCTAGCACAGTATGAAGAAATCCCGTTTCCAAAGAAGGCCTCAAAGAGGTCTGAATATCCACTTGCAGAGTTTACAAACAGAGTGTTTCCTAACTGCTCTATGAAAAGAAAGGTTAAACTCTGTGAGTTGAACGCACACATCACAAAGAAGTTTCTGAGAATCATTCTGTCTAGTTTTTATACGAAGATATTTCCTTTTCTACCATTGACCTCAAAGCGGCTGAAATCTCCACTTGCAAATTCCACAAAAAGAGTGTTTCAAATCCGCTCTGTGTAAACCATCGTTAAACTCTGTGAGTTGAATACACACAACACAAGGAAGATTCTGAGAATTCTTCTGTCTAGCAGAATATGAAGAAATCCCGTTTCCAACGAAGGCCACAAGATTTCAGAATATCCACTTACAGAATTTACAAACAGACAGTTTCCTAACTCCTCTCTGAAAACAAAGGTTAAACTCTGTGAGTTGAACGAACACATCACAACGCAGTTTGTGGGAATGATTCTGTCTAGTTTCTATAGGAAGATATTTCCTATTCTACCATTGAACTCAAAGCGGCTGAAATCTCCACTTGCAAATACCACAAAAAGAGTGTTTCAAGTCTGCTCTGTGTAAAGGATCGTTCAACTCTGTGAGTTGAAAACACACAACACAAGGAAGTTTCTGAGAATTCTTCTGTCTAGCAGAACATGAAGAAATCCCGCTTCCAACGAAGGCCTCAAGGAGGTCTGAATATCCACTTGCAGACTTTACAAACAGAGTGTTTCCTAACTGGTCTATGAAAAGAAAGGTTAAACTCTGTGAGTTGAACGCACACATCACAAAGGAGTTTCTGAGAATCATTCTGTCTAGTTTTGAAACGAAGAATATTTCCTTTTCTACCATTGACCTCAACGCGGCTGAAATCTCCATTTGCAAATTCCACAAAAAGAGTGTTTCAAATCTGCTCTGTGTAAATGAAAGTTCAACTCTGTGAGTTGAACACACACAACACAAGGAAGTTACTGGGAGTTCTTCTGTCTAGCAGAATATGAAGAAATCCCGTTTCCAACGAAGGCCACAAGATGTCAGAATATCCCCTTACAGAATTTTCAAACAGACTGTTTCCTAACTGCTCTATGAAAAGAAAGGTTAAACTCTGTGAGTAGAACGAACACATCACAACGCAGTTTGTGGGAATGATTCTGTCTAGTTTTGAAACGAAGATATTTCCTTTTCTGCCATTGACCTCAAAGCGCTTGAAATCTCCACTTGCCAATTGCACAAAAAGAGTGTTTCAAATCTGCTCTGTCTAAGGGAACGTTCAACTCTGTGAGTTGAATGTACACAACACAAGGAAGTTACTGGGAATTCTTCTGTCTAGCCTTACAGGAAAAAAACCCGTTTCCAACGAAGGCCTCTAAGTGGTCAAAATATCCACGTGCAGACTTTACAAACAGAGTGTTTCCAAACTGCTGAATGAAAAGAAAAGTTAAACTCTGAGAGTTGAACGGACACATCGCAGAGCAGTTTCTGAGAATGATTCTGTCTAGTTTTGAAACGAAGATATTTCCTTTTCTGCCTTTGGCCTCAAAGTGCTTGAAATCTCCACTTGCAAATTCCACAAAAAGAGTGTTTCAAATCTGCTCTGGGTAAATGAAAGTTCAACTCTGTGAGTTGAACACACACAACACAAGGAAGTTACTGGGAATTCTTCTGTCTAGCCTTACATGAAAAAAACCCGTTTCCAACGAAGGCCTCAAAGCGGTCAAAATATCCACTTGCAGAATTTACAAACAGAGTGTTTCCTAACTGCTGTATGAAAAGAAAGGTTAAACTCTGTGAGTTGAACACACACATCACAAAGGAGTTTCTGAGAATCATTCTGTCTAGTTTCTATAGGAAGATATTTCCTATTCTACCATTGACCTCACAGCGGCTGAAATCTCCACTTGCAAATTCCACAAAAAGAGTGTTTCAAGTCTGCTCTGTGTAAAGGATCGTTCAACTCTGTGAGTTGAAAACACACAACACAAGGAAGTTTCTGAGAATTCTTCTGTCTAGCAGAATATGAAGAAATCCCGTTTCCAACGAAGGCCACAACATGTCAGAATATCCACTTTCATACTTTACAAACAGAGTGTTTCCTAACTGCTCTATGAACAGAAAGGTTAAACTCTGTGGGTTGAACGAACACATCACAACGCAGTTTGTGGCAATGATTCTGTCTAGTTTTGAAACGAAGATATTTACTTTTCTGCCATTGACCTTAAATCGCTTGAAATCTCCAGTTGCCAATTGCACTAAAAGAGTGTTTCAAATCTGCTCTGTCTAAGGGAACGTTCAACTCTGTGTGTTGAATGTACACAACACAAGGAAGTTACTGGGAATTCTTCTGTCTAGCCTTACAGGAAAAAAACCCGTTTCCAACGAAGGCCTCTAAGTGGTCAAGTTATCCACGTGCAGACTTTAGAAACAGAGTGTTTCCAAACTGCTGAATGAAAAGAAAAGTTAAGCTCTGAGAGTTGAACGCACACATCGCAGAGCAGTTTCTGAGAATGATTCTGTCTAGTTTTTATACGAAGATATTTCCTTTTCTGCCTTTGGCCTCAAAGCGCTTGAAATCTCCACTTGCAAATTCCACAAAAAGAGTGTTTCAAATCTGCTCTGTGTAAATCAAAGTTCAACTCTGTGAGTTGAACACACACAACAGAAGGAAGTTACTGGGAATTCTTCTGTCTAGCATAATATGAAGAAATCCCGTTTCCAACGAAGGCCTCAAGGAGTTCTGAATATCCACTTGCACACTTTACAAACAGAGTGTTTCCTAACTGCTCTATGAAAAGAAAGGTTAAACTCTGTGAGTTGAACGCACACATCACAAAGGAGTTTCTCAGAATCATTCTGTCTAGTTTCTATAGGAAGATATTTCCTATTCTACCATTGACCTCAAAGCGTCAGAAATCTCCACTTGCAAATTCCACAAAAAGAGTGTTTCAAGTCTGCTCTGTGTAAAGGATCGTTCAAATCTGTGAGTTGAATACACACAACACAAGGAAGTTACTGAGAATTCTTCTGTCTAGCAGAATATGAAGAAATCCCGTTTCCAACGAAGGCCTCAAGGAGGTCTGAATATCCACTTGCAGACTTTACAAACAGAGTGTTCCCTAACTGCTCTATGAAAAGAAAGGTTAAACTCTGTGATTTGAACGCACACATCACAAAGGAGTTTCTGAGAATCATTCTGTCTACTTTTTATACGAAGATATTTCCTATTCTACCATTGACCTCAAAGCGGCTGAAATCTCCACTTGCAAATTCCACAAGAAGAGTGTTTCAAGTATGCTCTGTGTAAAGGATCGTTCAACTCTGTCAGTTGAATACACACAACACAAGGAAGTTACTGAGAATTCTTCTGTCTAGCCTTACATGAAAAAAACCCGTTTCCAACGAAGGCCTCTAAGTGGTCAAGTTATCCACGTGCAGACTTTACAAACAGAGTTTTTCCAAACTACTGAATGAAAAGAGAAGTTAAACTCTGAGAGTTGAACGCACACATCGCAGAGCAGTTTCTGAGAATGATTCTGTCTAGTTTTTATACGAAGATATTTCCTTTTCTGCCTTTGGCCCCAAAGCGCTTGAAATCTCCCCTTGCAAATTCCACAAAAACAGTGTTTCAAATCTGCTCTCTCTAAATGAAAGTTCAACTCTGTCAGTTGAATACACACAACACAAGGAAGTTACTGAGAATTCTTCTGTATAGCAAAATATGAAGAAATCCGGTTTCCAATGAAGGCCTCAAGGAGGTCTGAATATCCACTTGCAGACTTTACAAACGGAGTGTTTCCTAACTGCTCTATGAAAAGAAAGGTTAAACTCTGTGAGTTGAACGCAGACATCACAAAGGAGTTTCTGAGAATCACTCTGTCTAGTTTTTATACGAAGATATTTCCTTTTCTACCATTGACCTCAAAGCGGCTGAAATCTCCACTTGCCAATTCAACAAAAAGAGTGTTTCAAGTCTACTCTGTGTAAAGGATCGTTGAACTCTGTGAGTTGAAAACACACAACACCAGGAAGTTTCTGAGAATTCTTCTGTCTAGCAGAATATGAAGAAATCCCGTTTCCAACAAAGGCCTCAAAGAGGTCTGAATATCCACTTGCAGACTTCACAAACAGAGTGTTTCCTAACTGCTCTATGAAAAGAAAGGTTAAACTCTGTGAGTTGAACGCACACATCACAAAGGAGTTTCTGAGAATCATTCTGTCTAGTTTTGAAACGAAGATATTTCCTTTTCTGCCATTGACCTTAAAGCGCTTGAAATCTCCATTTGCCAATTGCACAAAAAGAGTGTTTCAAATCTGCTCTGTCTAAGGGAACGTTCAACTCTGTGAGTTGAATGTACACAACACAAGGAAGTTACTGAGAATTCTTCTGTCTAGCCTTACAGGAAAAAAACCCGTTTCCAACGAAGGCCTCTAAGTGGTCAAAATATCCACGTGCAGACTTTACAAACAGAGTGTTTCCAAACTGCTGAATGAAAAGAAAAGTTAAACTCTGAGAGTTGAACGCACACATCACAGAGCAGTTTCTGAGAATGATTCTGTCTAGTTTCTATAGGAAGATATTTCCTATTCTACCGTTGACCTCAAAGCGCCTGAATTCTCCACTTGCAAATTCCACAACAAGAGTGTTTCAAGTCTGTTCTGTGTAAAGGATCATTCAACTCTGTGAGTTGAATACACACAACACAAGGAAGTTACTGAGAATTCTTCTGTCTAGCAGAATATGAAGAAATCCCGTTTCCAACGAAGGCCTCAAAGAGGTCTGAATATCCACTTGCAGACTTTACAAACAGAGTGTTTCCTAACTGCTCTATGAAAAGAAAAGTTAAACTCTGTGAGTTGAACGCACACATCACAAAGGTGTTTCTGAGAATCATTCTGTCTAGTTTCTATAGGAAGATATTTCCTATTCTACCATTGACCTCAAAGCGGCTGAAATCTCCACTTGCAAATTCCACAAAAAGAGTGTTTCAAGTCTGCTCTGTGTAAAGGATCGTTCAACTCTGTGAGTTGAATACATACAACACAAGGAAGTTACTGAGAATTCTTCTGTCTAGCAGAATATGAAGAAATCCCGTTTCCAACGGAGGCCACAAGATGTCAGAATATCCACTTACAGAATTTACCAACAGAGTGTTTCCTAACTGCTCTATGAAAAGAAAGGTTAAACTCTGTGAGTTGAACGAACACATCACAACGCAGTTTGTGGGAATGATTCTGTCTAGTTTTTATACGAAGATATTTCCTTTTCTACCATTGACCTCAAAGCGGCTGAAATCACCACTTGCCAATTGCACAAAAAGAGTGTTTCAAATCTGCTCTGTCTAAGGGAACGTTCAACTCTGTGAGTTGAATGTACACAACACAAGGAAGTTACTGGGAATTCTTCTGTCGAGCCTTACATGAAAAAAACCCGTTTCCAACGAAGGCCTCTAAGTGGTCAAAATTTCCACGTGCAGACTTTACAAACAGAGTGTTTCCAAACCGCTGAATGAAAAGAAAAGTTAAACTCTGAGAGTTGAACGCACACATCACACAGCAGTTTCTGAGAATGATTTCTGTCTAGTTTTGAAACGAAGATATTTCCTTTTCTGCATTTGGCCTCAAAGCGCTTGAAATCTCCACTTGCAAATTCCACAAAAAGAGTGTTTCAAATCTGCTCTGTGTAAATGAAAGTTCAACTCTGTGAGTTGAACACACACAACACAAGGAAGTTACTGGGAATTCTTCTGTCTGGCAGAATATGAAGAAATCCCGTTTCCAACGAGGGCCTAAAAGGGGTCTGAATATCCACTTGCAGACTTTATAAACAGAGTGTTTACTAACTGCTCTATGAAAAGAAAGGTTAAACTCTGTGAGTTGCAGACACACATCACAAAGGAGTTTCTGAGAATCATTCTGTCTAGTTTTTATACGAAGATATTTCCTTTTCTACCATGGACCTCAAAGCGGCTGAAATCTCCACTTGCAAATTCCACAAAAAGAGTGTTTCAAGTCTGCTCTGTGTAAAGGATCGTTCAACTCTGTGAGTTGAATACACACAACACATGGAAGATTCTGAGAATTCTTCTGTCTAGCAGAATATGAAGAAATCCCGTTTCCAACGAAGGCAACAAGATGTCAGAATATCCACTTGCAGACTTTACAAACAGAGTGTTTCCTAACTGCTCTATGAACAGAAAGGTTAAACTCTGAGAGTTGAACAAACACATCACAACGCAGTTTGTGGGAATGATTCTGTCTAGTTTTTATAGGAAGTTATTTCCTTTTCTACTTTGACTTCAAAGTGGCTGAAATCTCCACTTGCAAATTCCACAAAAATAGTGTTACAAGTCTGCTCTGTGTAAAGGATCATTCAACTCTGTGAGTTGAATACACACAACACAAGGAAGTTACTGAGAATTCTTCTGTCTAGCCTTACATGAAAAAAACCCGTTTCCAACGAAGGCCACTAAGTGGTCAAAACATCCACGTGCAGACTTTACAAACAGAGTGTTTCCATACTGCTGAATGAAAAGAAAAGTTAAACTCTGAGAGTGGAACGCACACATCACAGAGCAGTTTCTGAGAATGATTCTGTCTAGTTTTCATACGAAGATATTTCCTTTTCTGCCTTTGGCCCCAAAGCGCTTGAAATCTCCACTTGCAAATTCCACAAAAACAGTGTTTCAAATCTGCTCTCTCTAAATGAAAGTTCAACTCTGTCAGTTGAATACACACAACACAAGGAAGTTACTGAGAATTCTTCTGTCTAGCATAATATGAAGAAATCCCGTTTCCAACGAAGGCCTCAAAGGGGTCTGAATATCCACTTGCAGACTTTATAAACAGAGTGTTTACTAACTGCTCTATGAAAAGAAAGGTTAATCTCTGTGAGTTGAACACACACATCACAAAGGAGTTTCTTAGAATCATTCTGTCTAGTTTCTATAGGAAGATATTTCCTATTCTACAATTGACCTCAAAGCGGCTGAAATCTCCAGTTGCAAATTCCACAAAAAGAATGTTTCAAGTCTGCTCTGTGTAAAGGATCGTTCAACTCTGTGAGTTGAATACACACAACACAAGGAAGTTACTGAGAATTATTCTGTCTAGCAGAATATGAAGAAATCCCGTTTCCAACGAAGGCCACACGATGTCAGAATATCCACTTACAGACTTTACAAACAGTGTTTCCTAACTGCTCTATGAACAGAAAGGTTAAACTCTGTGAGTTGAACGAACACATCACAACGCCGTTTGTGGGAATGATTCTGTGTAGTTTTGAAACGAAGATATTTCGTTTTCTGCCATTGACCTTAAAGCGCTTGAAATCTCCACTTGCCAATTGCACAAAAAGAGTGTTTCAAATCTGCTCTGTCTAAGGGAACGTTCAACTCTGTGAGTTGAATGTACACAACACAAGGAAGTTACTGGGAATTCTTCTGTCTAGCCTTACATGGAAAAAACCCGTTTCCAACGAAGGCCTCAAAGAAGTCCAAATATCCACGTGCAGACATTACAAACAGAGTGTTTCCTAACTGCTCTATGAAAAGAAAGGTTAAACTATGCGAGTTGAACGCACACATCACAAAGGAGTTTCTGAGAATCATTCTGTCTAGTTTTTATACGAAGATATTTCCTTTTCTACCATTGACCTCAAAGCGGCTGAAATCTCCACCCTGCCAATTCCACAAAAAGAGTGTTTCAAGTCTACTCTGTGTAAAGGATCGTTGAACTCTGTGAGTTGAAAACACACAACACAAGGAAGTTTCTGAGAATTCTTCTGTATAGCAGAATATGAAGAAATCCCGTTTCCAACGAAGGCCTCAAGGAGGTCTGAATATCCACTTGCAGACTTTACAAACAGAGTGTTTCTTAACTGCTCTATGAAAAGAAAGGTTAAGCTCTGTGAGTTGAACGCAGACATCACAAAGGAGTTTCTGAGAATCACTCTGTCTAGTCTTTATACGAAGATAGTTTCCTTTTCTACCATTGACCTCAAAGCGGCTGAAATCTCCACTTGCAAATTCCACAAAAAGAGGGTTTCAAGTCTGCTCTGTGTAAAGGATCGTTCAACTCTGTGAGTTGAATACACACAACACAAGGAAGTTACTGAGAATTCTTCTGTCTAGCAGAATATGAAGAAATCCCGTTTCCAACGAAGGCCTCAAGGAGGTCTGAATATCCACTTGCAGACTTTACAAGCAGAGTGTTTCCTAACTGCTCTATGAAAAGAAAGGTTAAACTCTGTGAGTTGAACGCACACATCACAAAGGAGTTTATGAGAATCATTCTGTCTAGTTTTGAAACGAAGATATTTCCTTTTCTGCCACTGACCTTAAAGCGCTTGAAATCTCCACTTGCCAATTGCACAAAAAGAGTGTTTCAAATCTGCTCTGTCTAAGGGAACGTTCAACTCTGTGAGCTGAATGTACGCAACAGAAGGAAGTTACTGGGAATTCTTCTGTCTAGCCTTACATGAAAAAAACCCGTTTCCAACGAAGGCCTCTAAGTGGTCAAATTATCCACGTGCAGATTTTACAAACAGAGTGTTTCCAAACTGCTGAATGAAAAGCAAAGTTAAACTCTGAGAGTTGAACGCACACATCGCAGAGCAGTTTCTGAGAATGATTCTGTCTAGTTTTTATACGAAGATATTTCCTTTTCTGCCTTTGGCCTCAAAGCGCTTGAAATCTCCATTTGCAAATTCCACAAAAAGAGTGTTTCAAATCTGCTCTGTGTAAATGAAAGTTCAACTCTGTGAGTTGAACACACACAAAACAAGGAAGTTACTGGGAATTCTTCTGTATAGCAGAATATGAAGAAATCCCGTTTCCAACGAAGGCCTCAAGGAGGTCTGAATATCCACCTGCAGACTTTACAAACAGAGTGTTTCCTAACTGCTCTATGAAAAGAAAGGTTAAACTCTGTGAGTTGAACGCAGACATCACAAAGGAGTTTCTGAGAATCACTCTGTCTAGTTTTTATACGAAGATATTTCCTTTTCTACCATTTACCTCAAATTGGCTGAAATCTCCACTTGAAAATACCAAAAAAAGTGTGTTTCAAGTCTGCTCTGTGTAAAGGATCGTTCAACTCTGTGAGTTGAATACACACAACACAAGGAAGTTTCTGAGAATTCTTCTGTCTAGCAGAATATGAAGAAATCCCGTTTCCAACTAAGGCCACAAGATGTCAGAATATCCACTTACAGAATTTACAAACAGACTGTTTCCTAACTGCTCTATGAAAAGAAACGTTAAACTCTGCGAGTTGAGCGAACACATCACAACGCAGTTTGTGGGAATGATTCTGTCTAGTTTTGAAACGAAGATATTTCCTTTTCTGCCATTGACCTTAAAGCGCTTGAAATCTACACTTGCAAATTGCACAAATAGAGTGTTTCAAATATGCTCTGTCTAAGGGAACGTTCAACTCTGTGAGTTGAATGCACACAACACAAGGAAGTTACTGGGAATTCTTCTGTCTAGCCTTACATGAAAAAAACCCGTTTCTAACGAAGGCCTCTAAGTGGTCAAATTATCCACGTGCAGACTTTACAAACAGAGTGTTTCCAAACTGCTGAATGAAAAGAAAAGTTAAACTCTGAGAGTTGAACGCACACATCGCAGAGCAGTTTCTGAGAATGATTCTGTCTAGTTTTTATACGAAGATATTTCCTTTTCTGCCTTTGGCCCCAAAGCGCTTGAAATCTCCACTTGCAAATTCCACAAAAACAGTGTTTCAAATCTGCTCTCTCTAAATGAAAGTTCAATTCAGTCAGTTGAATACACACAACACAAGGAAGTTACTGAGAATTCTTCCGTCTAGCAGAATATGAAGAAATCCCGTTTCCAACGAAGGCCTCAAAGAGGTCTGAATATCCACTTGCAGACTTTACAAACAGAGTGTTTCCTAACTGCTCTATGAAAAGAAAGGTTAAACTCTGTGAGTTGAACGCACACATCACAAAGGAGTTTATGAGAATCATTCTGTCTAGTTTCTATAGGAAGATATTTCCTATTCTACCTTTGACCTCAAAGCGGCTGAAATCTCCACTTGCAAATTCCACAAAAAGAGTGTTTCAAGTCTGCTCTCTGTAAAGGATCGTTCAACTCTGTGAGTTGAATACACACAACACAAGGAAGTTACTGAGAATTATTCTGTCTAGCAGAATATGAAGAAATCCCGTTTCCAACGAAGGCCACAAGATGTCAGAATATCCACTTACAGACTTTACAAACAGAGTGTTTCCTAACTGCTCTATGAACAGAAAGGTTAAACTCTGTGAGTTGAACGCACACATCACAAAGGAGTTTCTGAGAATCATTCTGTCCAGTCTTTATACGAAGATATTTACTTTTCTACCATTGACTTCAAAGCGGCTGAAATCTCCACTTACAAATTCCACAAAAAGAGTGTTTCAAGTCTGCTCTGTGTAAAGGATCATTCAACTCTGTGAGTTGAATAAACACAACACAAGGAAGTTACTGAGAATTCTTCTGTCTAGCCTTACATGAAGAAAACCCGTTTCCAACGAAGGCCTCTAAGTGGTCAAAATATCCACGTGCAGTCTTTACAAACAGAGTGTTTCCAAACCGCTGAATGAAAAGAAAAGTTAAACTCTGAGAGTTGAACGCACACATCACGCAGCAGTTTCTGAGAATGATTCTGTCTAGTTTTTATACCAAGATATTTCCTTTTCTGCCTTTGGCCCCAAGGCGCCTGAAATCTCCACTTGCAAATTCCACAAAAACAGTGTTTCAAATCTGCTCTCTCTAAATGAAAGTTCAACCCTGTCAGTTGAATACACACAACACAAGGAAGTTACTGAGAATTCTTCTGTCTAGCCTTATATGACAAAAACCCGTTTCCAACGAAGGCCTCAAAGAGGTCTGAATATCCACTTGCAGACTTTACAAACAGAGTGTTTCCTAACTGCTCTATGAAAAGAAAGGTTAAACTCTGTGAGTTGAACGCACACATCACAAAGGAGTTTCTGAGAATCATTCTGTCTAGTTTTTCTACGAAGATATTTCCTTTTCTACTATTGACCTCAAAGCGGCTGAAATCTCCTCTTGCAAATTCCACAAAAAGAGTGTTTCAAGTCTGCTCTGTGTAAAGGATCGTTCAACTCTGTGAGTTGAATACACACAACACAAGGGAAGTTACTGAGAATTCTTCTGTCTAGCAGAATATGAAGAAATCCCGTTTCCAACGAAGGCCACAAGATGTCAGAATATCCACTTACAGAATTTTCAAACAGACTGTTTCCTAACTACTCTATGAAAAGAAAGGTTAAACTCTGTGAGTTGAACGAGCACATCACAACGCAGTTTGTGGGAATGATTCTGTCTAGTTTTGAAACGAAGATATTTCCTTTTCTGCCGTTGACCTTAAAGCGCTTGAAATCTACACTTGCAAATTGCACAAATAGAGTGTTTCAAATCTGCTCTGTCTAAGGGAACGTTCAACTTTGTGAGTTGAATGCACACAACACAAGGAAGTTACTGGGAATTCTTCTGTCTAGCCTTACAGGAAAAAAACCCGTTTCCAACGAAGGCCTCTAAGTGGTGAAAATATCCACGTGCAGACTTTACAAACAGAGTGTTTCCAAACTGCTGAATGAAAAGAAAAGTTAAACTCTGAGAGTTGAACACACACATCGCAGAGCAGTTTCTAAGAATGATTCTGTCTAGTTTTTATACGAAGATATTTCCTTTTCTGCCTTTGGCCTCAAAGCGCTTGAAATCTCCACTTGCAAATTCCACAAAAAGAGTTTTTCAAATCTGCTCTGTGTAAATGAAAGTTCAACTCTGTGAGTTGAACACACACAACAGAAGGAAGTTACTGGGAATTCTTCTGTCTAGCAGAACATGAAGAAATCCCGCTTCCAACGAAGGCCTCAAAGGAAGTCTGAATATCCACTTGCAGACTTTACAAACAGAGTGTTTCCCAACTGCTCTATGAAAAGAAAGGTTAAACTCTGTGAGTTGAACGCACACATCACAAAGGAGTTTCTGAGAATCATTCTGTCTAGTTTTTATACGAAGATATTTCCTTTTCTACCATTGACCTCAAAGCGGCTGAAATCTCCACTTGCAAATTCCACAAAAAGAGTGTTTCAAGTCTGCTCTGTGTAAAGGATCGTTGAACTCTGTGAGTTGAATACACACAACACAAGGAAGTTACTGAGAATTCTTCTGTCTAGCAGAATATGAAGAAATCCCGTTTCCAACGAAGGCCACAAGATGTCAGAATATCCACTTACAGAATTTACAAACAGACTGTTTCCAAACTGCTCTATGAAAAGAAAGGTTAAACTCTGTGAGATGAACGAGCACATCACAACGCAGTTTGTGGGAATGATTCTGTCTAGTTTTGAAACGAAGATATTTCCTTTTCTGCCGTTGACCTTAAAGTGCTTGAAAACTACACTTGCAAATTGCAGAAATAGAGTGTTTCAAATCTGCTCTGTCTAAGGGAACGTTCAACTCTGTGAGTTGAATGCACACAACACAAGGAAGTTACTGGGAATTCTTCTGTCTAGCCTTACAGGAAAAAAACCCGTTTCCAACGAAGGCCTCTAAGTGGTCAAGTTATCCACGTGCAGACTTTACAAACAGAGTGTTTCCAAACTGCTGAATGAAAAGAAAAGTTAAACTCTGAGAGTTGAACGCACACATCGCAGAGCAGTTTCTGAGAATGATTCTGTCTAGTTTTTATACGAAGATATTTCCATTTCTGCCTTTGGCCTCAAAGCGCTTGAAATCTCCATTTGCAAAGTCCACAAAAAGAGTGTTTCAAATCTGCTCTGTGTAACTGAAAGTTCAACTCTGTGAGTTGAACACACACAACACAAGGAAGTTACTGGGAATTCTTCTGTCTAGCCTTACATGAAAAAACCCGTTTCCAACGAAGGCCTCAAAGAGGTCTGAATATCCACTTGCAGAGTTTACAAACAGAGTGTTTCCTAACTGCTCTATGAAAAGAAAGGTTAAACTCTGTGAGTTGAACGCACACATCACAATGAAGTTTCTGAGAATCATTCTGTCTAGTCTTTATACGAAGATATTTACTTTTCTACCATTGACTTCAAAGCGGCTGAAATCTCCACTTGCAAATTCCACAAAAACAGTGTTTCAAGTCTGCTCTGTGTAAAGGATCATTCAACTCTGTGAGTTGAATAAACACAACACAAGGAAGTTACTGAGAATTCTTCTGTCTAGCAGAATGTGAAGAAATCCCGTTTCCAACGAAGGCCACAAGATGTCAGAATATCCACTTACAGACTTTACAAACAGAGTGTTTCCTAACTGCTCTATGAATAGAAAGGTTAAACCCTGTGAGTTGAACGAACACATCACAACGCAGTTTGTGGGAATGATTCTGTCTAGTTTTGAAACGAAGATATTTCCTTTTCTGCCATTGACCTTAAAGCGCTTGAAATCTCCATTTGCCAATTGCACAAAAAGAGTGTTTCAAATCTGCTCTGTCTAAGGGAACGTTCAACTCTGTGAGTTGAATGTACACAACACAAGGAAGTTACTGGGAATCTTCTGTCTAGCCTTACATGAAAAAAACCTGTTTCCAACGAAGGCCTCTAAGTGGTCAAATTATGCACGTGCAGACTTTACAAACAGAGTGTTTCCAAACTGCTGAATGAAAAGAAAAGTTAAACTCTGAGAGTTGAACGCACACATCGCAGAGCAGTTTCTGAGAATGATTCTGTCTAGTTTTTATACGAAGATATTTCCTTTTCTGCCTTTGGCCTCAAAGCGCTTGAAATCTCCACTTGCAAATTCCACAAAAAGAGTGTTTCAAATCTGCTCATTGTAAATGAAAGTTCAACTCTGTGAGTTGAACACACACAACACAAGGAAGTTACTGGGAATCCTTCTGTCTAGCACAGTATGAAGAAATCCCGTTTCCAACGAAGGCCTCAAAGAGGTCTGAATATCCACTTGCAGAGTTTACAAACAGAGTGTTTCCTAACTGCTCTATGAAAAGAAATGTTAAACTCTGTTAGTTGAACGCACACATCACAAAGAAGTTTCTGAGAATCATTCTGTCTAGTTTTTATACGAAGATATTTCCTTTTCTACCATGGACCTCAAAGCGGCTGAAATCTCCACTTGCAAATTCCACAAAAAGAGTGCATCAAGTCTGCTCTGTGTAAAGGATCGTTCAACTCTGTGAGTTGAATACACACAACACAAGGAAGATTCTGAGAATTCTTCTGTCTAGCAGAATATGAAGAAATCCCGTTTCCAACGAAGGCCTCAAAGAGGTCTGAATATCCACTTGCAGACTTTACAAACAGAGTGTTTCCTAACTGCTCTATGAACAGAAAGGTTAAACTCTGTGAGTTGAACGAACACATCACAACGCAGTTTGTGGGAATGATTCTGTCTAGTTTTGAAACGAAGATATTTCCTTTTCTGCCATTGACCTTAAAGCGCTTGAAATCTCCACTTGCCAATTGCACAAAAAGAGTGTTTCAAATCTGCTCTGTCTAAGGGAACGTTCAACTCTGTGAGTTGAATGTACACAACACAAGGAATTTACTGGAAATTCTTCTGTCTAGCCTTACATGCAAAAAACCTGTTTCCAACGAAGGCCTCTAAGTGGTCAAAATATCCACGTGCAGACTTTACAAACAGAGTGTTTCCAAACCGCTGAATGAAAAGAAAAGTTAAACTCTGAGAGTTGAACGCACACATCATGCAGCAGTTTCTGAGAATGATTCTGTCTAGTTTTGAAACGAAGATATTTCCTTTTCTGCCTTTGGCCTCAAAGCGCTTGAAATCTCCACTTGCAAATTCCACAAAAAGAGTGTTTCAAATCTGCTCTGTGTAAATGAAAGTTCAACTCTGTGAGTTGAACACACACAACACAAGGAAGTTACTGGGAATTCCTCTGTCTAGCAGAATATGAAGAAATCCCGTTTCCAACGAAGGCCTCAAAGAGGTCTGAATATCCACTTGCAGACTTTTCAGAAAGAGTGTTTCCTAACTGCTCTATGAAAAGAAAGGTTAAACTCTGTGAGTTGAACGCACACATCACAAAGGAGTTTCTGAGAATCATTCTGTCTAGTTGTTATACGAAGATATTTCTTTTTCTACCATTGACCTCAAAGCGGCTGAAATCTCCACTTGCAAATTCCACCAAATGAGTGTTTCAAATCTGCTCTGTGTAAACCATCATTCAACTCTGTGAGTTGAATACACACAACACAAGGAAGATTCTGAGAATTCTTCTGTCAAGCAGAATATGAAGAAATCCCGTTTCCAACGAAGGCCACAAGATGTCAGAATATCCACATACAGAATTTACAAACAGACTGTTTCCTAACTGCTCTATGAAAAGAAAGGTTAAACTCTGTTAGTTGAACGAACACATCACAACGCAGTTTGTGGGAATGATTCTGTCTAGTTTTGAAACGAAGATATTTCCTTTTCTGCCATTGACCTTAAAGCGCTTGAAATCTCCATTTGCCAATTGCACAAAAAGAGTGTTTCAAATCTGCTCTGTCTAAGGGAACGTTCAACTCTGTGAGATGAATGTACACAACACAAGGAAGTTACTGGGAATTCTTCTGTCTAGCCTTACAGGAAAAAAACCCGTTTCCAACGAAGGCCTCTAAGTGGTCAAAATATCCACGTGCAGACTTTACAAACAGAGTGTTTCCAAACTGCTGAATGAAAAGAAAAGTTAAACTCCTGAGAGTTGAACGCACACATCGCAGAGCAGTTTCTGAGAATGATTTCTGCCTAGTTTTTCTACGAAGATATTTCCTTTTCTACTATTGACCTCAAAGCGGCTGAAATCTCCACTTGCAAATTCCACAAAAAGAGTGTTTGAAGTCTGCTCTGTGTAAAGGATCGTTCAACTCTGTGAGTTGAATACACACAACACAAGGAAAGTTACTGAGAATTCTTCTGTCCAGCAGAATATGAAGAAATCCCGTTTCCAACGAAGGCCTCAAAGAGGTCTGAATATCCACTTGCAGACTTTACAAACAGAGTGTTTCCTAACTGCTCTATGAAAAGAAAGGTTAAACTCTGTGAGTTGAACGCACACATCACAAAGGAGTTTCTGAGAATCATTCTGTCTAGTCTTTATACGAAGATATTTCCTTTTCTACCATTGACCACAAAGCGGCTGAAATCTCCACTTGCAAATTCCACAAAAAGAGTGTTTCAAGTCTGCTGCTGTGTAAAGGATCATTCAACTCCTGTGAGTTGAATAAACACAACACAAGGAAGTTACTGAGAATTCTTCTGTATAGCAGAATATGAAGAAATCCCGTTTCCAACGAAAGCCTCAAAGATGTCTGAATATCCACTTACAGACTTTACAAACAGAGTGTTTCCTAACTGCTCTATGAAAAGAAAGGTTCAACTATGTGAGTTGAACGCACACATCACAAAGGAGTTTCTGAGAATCATTCTGTCTAGTTTTGAAACGAAGATATTTCCTTTTCTGCCATTGACCTTAAAGCGCTTGAAATCTACACTTGCAAATTGCACAAATAGTGTGTTTCAAATCTGCTCTGTCTAAGGGAATGTTCAACTCTGTGAGTTGAATGCACACAACACAAGGAAGTTACTGGGAATTCTTCTGTCTACCCTTACATGAAAAAAACCCGTTTCCAACGAAGGCCTCTAAGTGGTCAAAATATCCACGTGCAGACTTTACAAACAGAGTGTTTCCAAACTGCTGAATGAAAACAAAAGTTAAACTCTGAGAGTTGAACGCACACATCACAAAGCATTTTCTGAGAATGATTCTGTCTAGTTTTTATACGAAGATATTTCCTTTTCTGCCTTTGGCCCCAAAGCGCTTGAAATCTCCACTTGCAAATTCCACAAAAACAGTGTTTCAAATCTGCTCTCTCTAAACGAAAGTTCAACTCTGTCAGTTGAATACACACAAAACAAGGAAGTTACTGAGAATTCTTCTGTCTAGCAGAATATGAAGAAATCCTGCTTCCAACGAAGGCCTCAAAGAAGTCTGAATATCCATTTGCAGACTTTACAAACAGAGCGTTTCCCAACTGCTCTATGAAAAGAAAGGTTGAACTCTGTGAGTTGAACGCACACATCACAAAGGAGTTTCTGAGAATCATTCTGTCTAGTCTTTATAGGAAGATATTTCCTTTTCTACCATTGACCTCAAAGCGGCTGAAATCTCCACTTGCAAATTCCACAAAAAGAGTGTTTCAAGTCTGCTCTCTGTAAAGGATCGTTCAACTCTGTGAGTTGAATACACACAACACAAGGGAAGTTACTGAGAATTCTTCTGTCTAGCAGAATATGAAGAAATCCCGTTTCCAACGAAGGCCACAAGATGTCAGAATATCCACTTACAGAATTTACAAACAGACTGTTTCCTAACTGCTCTATGAAAAGAAAGGTTAAACTCTGTGAGTTGAGCGAACACATCACAACGCAGTTTGTGGGAATGATACTGTCTAGTTTTGAAACGAAGTTATTTCCTTTTCTGCCATTGACCTTAAAGCGCTTGAAATCTCCACTTGCAAATTGCACAAAAAGAGTGTTTCAAATCTGCTCTGTCTAAAGGAACGTTCAACTCTGTGAGTTGAATGCACACAACACAAAGAAGTTACCGGGAATTCTTCTGTCTAGCCTTACATGAAAAAAACCCGTTTCTAACGAAGGCCTCTAAGTGGTCAAATTATCCACGTGCAGACTTTACAAACAGAGTGTTTCCAAACTGCTGAAGGAAAAGAAAAGTTAAACTCTGAGAGTTGAACACACACATCGCAGAGCAGTTTCTTAGAATGATTCTGTCTAGTTTTTATACGAAGATATTTCCTTTTCTGCCTTTGGCCCCAAAGCGCTTGAAATCACCACTTGCAAATTCCACAAAAACAGTGTTTCAAATCTGCTCTCTCTAAATGAAAGTTCATCTCTGTCAGTTGAATACACACAACACAAGGAAGTTACTGAGAATTCTTCTGTCTAGCCTTATATGAAAAAAACCCGTTTCCAACGAAGGCCTCAAAGAGGTCTGAATATCCACTTGCAGACTTTACAAACAGAGTGTTTCCTAACTGCTCTATGAAAAGAAATGTTAAACTCTGTGAGTTGAACAGACACATCACAAAGGAGTTTCTGAGAATCATTCTGTCTAGTTTTGAAACGAAGATATTTCCTTTTCTACCATTGACCTCAACGCGGCTGAAAACTCCATTTGCAAATTCCACAAAAAGAGTGTTTCAAATCTGCTCTGTGTAAATGAAAGTTCAACTCTGTGAGTTGAACACACACAACACAAGGAAGTTACTGGGAATTCTTCTGTCTAGCAGAATATGAAGAAATCCCGCTTCCAACGAAGGCCTCAAGGAGGTCTGAATATCCACTTGCAGACTTTACAAACAGAGTGTTTCCTAACTGCTCTATGAACAGAAAGGTTAAACTCTGTGAGTTGAACGAACACATCACAACGCAGTTTGTGGGAATGATTCTGTCTAATTTTGAAACGAAGATATTTCCTTTTCTGCCATTGACCTTAATGCGCTTGAAATCTACACTTGCAAATTGCACAAATAGAGTGTTTCAAATCTGCTCTGTCTAAGGGAACGTTCAACTCTGTGAGTTGAATGCACACAACACAAGGAAGTTACTGGGAATTCTTCTGTCTAGCCTTACATGAAAAAAACCTGTTTCCAACGAAGGCCTCTAAGTGGTCAAATTATCCACGTGCAGACTTTACAAACAGAGTGTTTCCAAACTGCTGAATGAAAAGAAAAGTTAAACTCTGAGAGTTGAACGCACACATCGCAGAGCAGTTTCTGAGAACGATTCTGTCTAGTTTTTATACGAAGATATTTCCTTTTCTGCTTTGGCCCCAAAGCGCTTGAAATCTCCACTTGCAAATTCCACAAAAACAGTGTTTCAAATCTGCTCTCTCTTAATGAAAGTTCAACTCTGTCAGTTGAATACACACAACACAAGGAAGTTACTGAGAATTCTTCTGTCTAGCCTTATATGAAAAAAACCCGTTTCCAACGAAGGCCTCAAAGAGGTATGAGTATCCACTTGCAGACTTTACAAACAGAGTGTTTCCTAACTGCTCTATGAAAAGAAAGGTTAAAATACTGTGAGTTGAACACACACATCACAAAGGAGTTTACTGAGAATCATTCTGTCTAGTCTTTATACGAAGATATTTCCTTTTCTAACATTGACCTCAAAGCGGCTGAAATCTCCACTTGCAAATTCCACAAAAAGAGTGTTTCAAGTCTGCTCTCTGTAAAGGATCGTTCAAATCTGTGAGTTGAATACACACAACACAAGGAAGTTACTGAGAATTATTCTGTCTAGCAGAATATGAAGAAATCCCGTTTCCAACGAAGGCCCCAAGATGTCAGAATATCCACTTACAGAATTTACAACAGAGTGTTTCCTAACTGCTCTATGAAAAGAAAGGTTAAACTCTGTGAGTTGAACGAACACATCACAACGCAGTTTGTGGGAATGATTCTGTCTAGTTTTGAAACGAAGATATTTCCTTTTCTGCCATTGACCTTAAAGCGCTTGAAATCTACACTTGCAAATTGCACAAATAGAGTGTTTCAAATCTGCTCTGTCTAAGGGAACGTTGAACTCTGTGAGTTGACTGCACACAACACAAGGAAATTACTGGGAATTCTTCTGTCTAGCCTTACATGAAAAAAACACGTTTCCAACGAAGGCCTCTAAGTGGTCAAAATATCCATGTGCAGACTTTACAAACAGAGTGTTTCCTAACTGCTCTATGAAAAGAAAGGTTAAACTCTGTGAGTTCAACGCCCACATCACAAAGGAGTTTCTGAGAATCATTCTGTCTAGTTTCTATACGAAGATATTTCCTTTTCTACCATTGACCACAAAGCGGCTGAAATCTCCACTTGCAAATTCCACAAAAAGAGTGTTTCAAGTCTGCTCTGTGTAAAGGATCGTTCAACTCTGTGAGTTGAATACACACAACACAAGGAAGTTTCTGAGAATTCTTCTGTCTAGCATAGTATGAAGAAATCCCGTTTCCAACGAAGGCCTCCAAGAGGTCTGAATATCCACTTGCAGAGTTTACAAACAGAGTGTTTCCTAACTGATCTATGAAAAGAAAGGTTAAACTCGGTGAGTTGAACGCACACATCACAAAGAAGTTTCTGAGAATCATTCTGTCTAGTTTCTATAGGAAGATTTTTCCTATTCTACCATTGAACTCAAAGCGGCTGAAATCTCCACTTGCAAATTCCACAAAAAGAGTGTTTCAAGTCTGCTCTGTGTAAAGGATCATTCAACTCTGTGAGTTGAATACACACAACACAAGGAAGTTACTGAGAATTCTTCTGTCTAGCATAATAGGAAGAAAAGCCGTTTCCAACGAAGGCCTCAAGGAGGTCTGAATATCCACTTGCAGACTTTACAAACAGAGTGTTTCCTATCTGCTCTATGAAAAGAAAGGTTAAACTCTGTGAGTTGTACGCACACATCACAAAGGAGTTTCTCAGAATCATTCTGTCTAGTTTTGAAACGGAGATATTTCCTTTTCTGCCATTGACCTTAAAGCGCTTGAAATCTACACTTGCAAATTACACCAATAGAGTGTTTCAAATCTGCTCTGTCTAAGGGAACGTTCGTCTCTGTGAGTTGAATGCACACAACACAAGGAAGTTACTGGGAATTCTTCTGTCTAGCCTTACATGAAAAAATCCCGTTTCCAACGAAGGCCTCTAAGTGGTCAAAATATCCACGTGCAGACTTTACAAACAGAGTGTTTCCAAACCGCTGAATGAAAAGAAAAGTTAAACTCTGAGAGTTGAACTGCACACATCACACAGCAGTTTCTGAGAATGATTCTGTCTAGTTTTGAAACGAAGATATTTCCTTTTCTGCCTTTGGCCTCAAAGCGCTTGAAATCTCCACTTGCAAATTTCACAAAAAGAGTGTTTCAAATCTGCTCTGTGTAAATGAAAGTTCAACTCTGTGAGTTGAACACACACAACACAAGGAAGTTACTGGGAATTCTTCTGTCTAGCAGAATATGAAGAAATCCCGTTTCTAACGAAGGCCTCAAAGAGGTCTGAATATCCACTTGCAGACTTTACAAACAGAGTGTTTTCTAACTGCTCTATGAAAAGAAAGGTTAAACTCTGTGAGTTGAACGCACACATCACAAAGGAGTTTCTGAGAATCATTCTGTCTGGTTTTTATACGAAGATACTTCCTTTTCTACCATTGACCTCAAAGCGGCTGAAATCTCCACTTGCAAATTCCACAAAAAGAGTGTTTCAAGTCTGCTCTGTGTAAAGGATCGTTCAACTCTGTGTGTTGAATACACACAACACAAGGAAGTTACTGAGAATTCTTCTGTCTAGCATAATATGAAGAAATCTCGTTTCCAACGAGGGCCTAAAAGAGGTCTGAATATCCACTTGAAGACTTTACAAACAGAGTGCTTTCTAACTGCTCTATGAAAAGAAAGGTTAAACCCTGTGAGTTGAACGCACACATCACAAAGAACTTACTGAGAAACATTCTGTATAGTTTTGAAAAGAAGATATTTCCTTTCCTGCCATTGACCTCAAAGTGGCTGAAATCTCCACTTCCAAATTGCACAAAAAGAGTGTTTCAAATCTGCTCTGTCTAACTGAACGTTCAACTCTGTGAGTTGAATACACACAACACAAGGAAGTTACCGGGAATTCTTCTGTCTAGCCTTACATGAAAAAAACCCGTTTCCAACGAAGGCCTCTAAGTGGTCAAATTATCCACGTGCAGACTTTACAAACAGAGTGTTTCCAAACTGCTGAATGAAAAGAAAAGTTAAACTCTGAGAGTTGAACGCACACATCACAGAACAGTTTCTGAGAATGATTCTGTCTAGTTTTGAAACGAAAGATATTTCCTTTTCTGCCTTTGGCCTCAAAGCGCTTGAAATCTCCACTTGCAAATTCCACAAAAAGAGTGTTTCAAATCTGCTCTGTGTAAATGGAAGTTCAACTCTGTGAGTTGAACACACACAACACAAGGAAGTTACTGGGAATTCTTCTGTCTAGCCTTATATGAAAAAAACCCGTTTCCAACGAAGGCCTCAAAGAGGGCTGAATATCCACTTGAAGACTTTACAAGCAGAGTGTTTCCTAACTGCTCTATGAAAAGAAAGGTTAAACTCTGTGAGTTGAACGCACACATCACAAAGGAGTTTCTGAGAATCATTCTGTCTAGTTTTTATACAAAGATATTTCCTTTTCTACCATTGACCTCAAAGCGGCTGAAATCTCCACTTGCAAATTCCACAAAAAGAGTGTTTCAAGTCTGCTCTGTGTAAACGATCGTTCAACTCTGTGAGTTGAATACACACAACCCAAGGAAGTTTCTGAGAATTCTTCTGTCTAGCATAATATGTAGAAATCCCGTTTCCAACGAAGTCCTCAAGGAGTTCTGAATATCCACTTGCAGACTTTACAAACAGAGTGTTTCCTAACTGCTCTATGAAAAGAAAGGTTAAACTCTGTGAGTTGAATGCACACATCACAAAGGAGTTTCTGAGAATCATTCTGTCTAGTTTCTATAGGAAGATATTTCCTGTTCTACCATTGACCTCAAAGCGGCTGAAATCTCCACTTGCAAATTCCACAAAAAGAGTGTTTCAAGTCTGCTCTGTATAAAGGATCGTTCAACTCTGTGAGTTGAATACACACAACACAAAGAAGTTACTGAGAATTCTTCTGTCTAGCAGAATATGAAGAAATCCCGTTTCCAACGAAGGCCACAAGATGTCAGAATATCCACTTACAGACTTTACAAACAGAGTGTTTCCTCACTGCTCTATGAACAGAAAGGTTAAACTCTGTGAGTTGAACGAACACATCACAACGCAGTTTGTGGGAATGATTCTGTCTAGTTTTGAAACGAAGATATTTCCTTTTCTGCCATTGACCTTAAAGCGCTTTAAATCTACACTTGCAAATTGCACAAATAGAGTGTTTCAAATCTGCTCTGTCGAAGGGAACGTTCATCTCTGTGAGTTGAATGCACACAACAAAAGGAAGTTACTGGGAATTCTTCTGTCTAGCCTTACATGAAAAAAAACACGTTTCCAACGAAGGCTTCTAAGTGGTCAAAATATCCACGTGGAGACTTTACAAACAGAGTGTTTCCAAACTGCTGAATGAAAAGAAAAGTTAAACTCTGAGAGTTGAACGCACACATCACAGAGCGGTTTCTGAGAATGATTCTGTCTAGTTTTTATACGAAGAATATTTCCTTTTCTGCCTTTGGCCTCAAAGCGCTTGAAATCTCCACTTGCAAATTCCACAAAAAGAGTGTTTCGAATCTGCTCTGTGTAAATCAAAGTTCAACTCTGTGAGTTGAACACACACAACACAAGGAAGTTACTGGGAATTCTTCTGTCTAGCCCTATATGAAAAAAACCCGTTTCCAACGAAGGCCTCAAAGAGGGCTGAATATCCACTTGCAGACTTTACAAGCAGAGAGTTTCCTAACTGCTCTATGAAAAGAAAGGTTAAACTCTGTGAGTTGAACGCACACATCACAAAGGAGTTTCTGAGAATCATTCTGTCTAGTTTCTATAGGAAGATATTTCCTATTCTACCATTGAGCTCAAAGCGGCTGAAATCTCCACTTGCAAATTCCACAAAAAGAGTGTTTCAAGTCTGCTCTCTGTAAAGGATCGTTCAAGTCTGTGAGTTGAATACACACAACACAAGGAAGTTACTGAGAATTCTTCTGTCCAGCAGAATATGAAGAAATCCCGTTTCCAACGAAGGCCACAAGATGTCAGAATATCCACTTACAGACTTTACAAACAGAGTGTTTCCTAACTGCTCTATGAACAGAAAGGTTAAACTCTGTGAGTTGAACGATCACATCACAACGCAGTTTGTGGGAATGATTCTGTCTAGTTTTGAAACGAAGAATATTTCCTTTTCTGTCATTGACCTTAAAGCGCTTGAAATCTACACTTGCAAATTGCACAAATAGAGTGTTTCAAATCTGCTCTGTCTAAGGGAACGTTCAACTCTGTGAGTTGAATGCACACAACACAAGGAAGTTACTGGGAATTCTTCTGTCGAGCCTTACATGAAAAAAACCCGTTTCCAACGAAGGCCTCTAAGTGGTCAAAATTTCCACGTGCAAACTTTACAAACAGAGTGTTTCCAAACCGCTGAATGAAAAGAAAAGTTAAACTCTGAGAGTTGAACGCACACATCACACAGCAGTTTCTGAGAATGATTCTGTCTAGTTTTATACGAAGATATTTCCTTTTCTGCCTTTGGCCCCAAAGCGCTTGAAATCTCCACTTGCAAATTCCACAAAAACAGTGTTTCAAATCTGCTCTCTCTACATGAAAGTTCAACTCTGTCAGTTGAATACACACAATACAAGGAAGTTACTGAGAATTCTTCTTTCTAGCAGAATATGAAGAAATCCCGTTTCCAACGAAAGCCTCAAGGATGTCTGAATATCCACTTGCAGACATTACAAACAGAGTGTTTCCTAACTGCTCTATGAAAAGAAAGGTTAAACTCTGTGAGTTGAACGCACACATCACAAAGGAGTTTCTGAGAATCATTCTGTCTAGTTTCTATACGAAGATATTTCCTTTTCTACCATTGACCTCAAAGCGGCTGAAATCTCCACTTGCAAATTCCACAAAAAGAGTGTTTCTAATCTGCTCTGTGTAAAGGATCGTTCAACTCTGTGAGTTGAAAGCACACAACACAAGGAAGTTACTGAGAATTCTTCTGTCTAGAGTATGAAGAAATACCGTTTCCAACGAAGGCCTCTAAGAGGTCTGAATATCCACTTGCAGACTTTACAAACAGAGTGTTTCCTAACTGCTCTATGAAAAGAAAGGTTAAACTCTGTGAGTTGAACGCACACATCACAAAGAAGTTTCTGAGAATCATTCTGTCTAGTTTTGAAACGAAGATATTTCCTTTTCTGCCATTGACCTTAAAGCGCTTGAAATCTACACTTGCAAATTGCACAAATAGAGTGTTTCAAATCTGCTCTGTCTAAGGGAACGTTCAACTCTGTGAGTTGAATGCACACAACACAAGGAAGTTACTGGGAATTCTTCTGTCTAGCCTTACATGAAAACAACCCGTTTCCAACGAAGGCCTCTAAGTGGTCAAAATATCCACGTGCAGACTTTACAAACACAGTGTTTCCAAACCGCTGAATGAAAAGAAAAGTTAAACTCTGAGAGTTGAACGCACACATCACGCAGCAGTTTCTGAGAATGATTCTGTCTAGTTTTGAAACGAAGATATTTCCTTTTCTGCCTTTGGCCTCAAAGCGCTTGAAATCTCCATTTGCAAATTCCACAAAAAGAGTGTTTCAAATCTGCTCTGTGTAAATGAAAGTTCAGCTCTGTGAGTTGAACACACACAACACAAGGAAGTTACTGGGAATTCTTCTGTATAGCAGAATATGAAGAAATCCCGTTTCCAACGAAGGCCTCAAGGAGGTCTGAATATCCACTTGCAGACTTTACAAACAGAGTGTTTCCTAACTGCTCTGTGAAAAGAAAGTTTAAACTCTGTGAGTTGAACGCAGACATCACAAAGGAGTTTCTGAGAATCACTCTGTCTAGTTTTTATAGGAAGATATTTCCTTTTCTACCTTTGACTTCAAAGCGGCTGAAATCACCACTTGCAAATTCCACAAAAAGAGTGTTACAAGTCTGCTCTGTGTAAAGGATCGTTCAACTCTGTGAGGTGAATACACACAACACAAGGAAGTTACTGAGAATTCTTCTGTCTAGCAGAATATGAAGAAATCCCGTTTCCAACGAAGACCTCAAGGAGGTCTGAATATCCACTTGCAGACTTTACAAACAGAGTGTTTCCTAACTGCTCTATGAACAGAAAGGTTAAACTCTGTGAGTTGAACGAACACATCACAACGCAGTTTGTGGGAATGATTCTGTCTCGTTTTGAAACGAAGATATTTCCTTTTCTGCCATTGACCTTAAAGCGCTTGAAATCTCCATTTGCCAATTGCACAAAAAGAGTGTTTCAAATCTGCTCTGTCTAAGGGAACGTTCAACTCTGTGAGTTGAATGTACACAACACAAGGAAGTTACTGGGAATTCTTCTGTCTAGCCTTACAGGAAAAAAACCCGTTTCCAACGAAGGCCTCTAAGCGGTCAAAATATCCACGTGCAGACTTTACAAACAGAGTGTTTCCACACTGCTGAATGAAAAGAAAAGTTAAACTCTGAGAGTTGAACGCACACATCGCAGAGCAGTTTCTGAGAATGATTCTGTCTAGTTTCTATAAGAAGATATTTCCTATTCTACCATTGACCTCAAAGCGGCTGAAATCTCCACTTGCAAATTCGACAAAAAGCGTGTTTCAAGCCTGCTCTCTGTAAAGGATCCTTCAACTCTGTGAGTTGAATACACACAACACAAGGAAGTTACTGAGAATTATTCTGTCTAGCCTTATATGAAAAAAACCCGTTTCCAACGAAGGCCTCAAAGAGGTCTGAATATCCTCTTGCAGACTTTACAAACAGAGTGTTTCCTAACTGCTCTATGAAAAGAAAGGTTAAACTCTGTGAGTTGGACACACACATCACAAAGGAGTTTCTGAGAATTATTCTGTCTAGTTTCTATAGGAAGATATTTCCTATTCTACCATTGACCTCAAAGCGGCTGAAATCTCCACTTGCAAATTCCACAAAAAGAGTGTTTCAAGTCTCCTCTCTGTAAAGGATCGTTCAACTCTGTGAGTTGAATACACACAACACAAGGAAGTTACTGAGAATTATTCTGTCTAGCAGAATATGAAGAAATCCCGTTTCCAACGAAGGCCACAAGATGTCAGAATATCCACTTACAGACTTTACAAACAGAGTGTTTCCTAACTGCTCTATGAACACAAAGGTTAAACTCTGTGAGTTGAACGAACACATCACAACGCAGTTTGTGGGAATGATTCTGTCTAGTTTTGAAACGAAGATATTTCCTTTTCTGCCATTGATCTTAAAGCGCTTGAAATCTACAGTTGCGAATTGCACAAATAGAGTGTTTCAAATCTGCTCTGTCTAAGGGAACGTTCAACTATGTGAGTTGAATGCACACAACACAAGGAAGTTACTGTGAATTCTTCTGTCTAGCCTTACATGAAAAAACCCGTTTCCAACGAAGGCCTCTAAGTGGCCAAATTATCCACGTGCAGACTTTACAAACAGAGTGTTTCCAAACTGCTGAAGGAAAAGAAAAGTTAAACTCTGAGAGTTGAACGCACACATCGCAGAGCAGTTTCTGAGAATGATTCTGTCTAGTTTTTATACGAAGATATTTCCCTTTCTGCCTTTGGCCTCAAAGCGCTTGAAATCTCCACTTGCAAATTCCACAAAAAGAGTGTTTCAAATCTGCTCTGTGTAAATGAAAGTTCAACTCTGTGAGTTGAACACACACAACACAAGGAAGTTACTGAGAATTCTGTCTAGCCTTATATGAAAAAAACCCGTTTCCAACGAAGGCCTCAAACAGGTCTGAATATCCACTTGCAGACTTTACAAACAGAGTGTTTCCTAACTGCTCTATGAAAAGAAAGGTTAAACTCTGTGAGTTGAACGCACACATCACAAAGGAGTTTCTGAGAATCATTCTGTCTAGTTTTTATACGAAGATATTTCCTTTTCTACCATTGACCTCAACGCGGCTGAAATCTCCACTTGCAAATTCCACAAAAGGAGTGTTTCAAGTCTGCTCTGTGTAAACGATCGTTCAACTCTGTGAGTTGAATACACACAACACAAGGAAGTTACTGAGAATTCTTCTGTCTAGCAGAATATGAAGAAATCCCGTTTCCAACGAAGGCCACAAGATGTCAGAATATCCACGTACAGAATTTACAAACAGACTGTTTCCTAACTGCTCTATGAAAAGAAAGTTTAAACTCTGTGAGTTGAACGAACACCTCACAACGCAGTTTGTGGGAATGATTCTGTCTAGTTTTGAAACGAAGATATTTCCTTTTCTGCCATTGACCTGAAAGCACTTGAAATCTACACTTGCAAATTGCACAAATAGAGTGTTTCAAATCTGCTCTGTCTAAGGGAACGTTCAACTCTGTGAGTTGAATGCACACAACACAAGGAAGTTACTGGGAATTCTTCTGTCTAGCCTTACATGAAAAAAAACCCGTTTCCAACGAAGGCCTCTAAGTGGTCAAAATATCCACGTGCAGACTTTACAAACAGAGTGTTTCCAAACCGCTAAATGAAAAGAAAAGTTAAACTCTGAGAGTTGAACGCACACATCACGCAGCAGTTTCTGAGAATGATTCTGTCTAGTTTTTCTACGAAGATATTTCCTTTTCTGCCTTTGGCCTCAAAGCGCTTGAAATCTCCATTTGCAAATTCCACAAAAAGAGTGTTTCAAATCTGCTCTGTGTAAATGAAAGTTCAACTCTGTGAGTTGAACACACACAACACAAGGAAGTTACTGGGAATTCTTCTGTATAGCAGAATATGAAGAAATCCCGTTTCCAACGAAGGCCTCAAGGAGGTCTGAATATCCACTTGCAGACTTTACAAACAGAGTGTTTCCTAACTGCTCTATGAAAAGAAAGGTTAAACTCTGTGAGTTGAACACAGACATCACAAAGGAGTTTCTGAGAATCACTCTGTCTAGTTTTTATACGAAGATATTTCCTTTTCTTCCATTGACCTCAAAGCGGCTGAAATCTCCACCCTGCCAATTCCACAAAAAGAGTGTTTCAAGTCTACTCTGTGTAAAGGATCGTTGAACTCTGTGAGTTGAAAACACACAACACAACGAAGTTTCTGAGAATTCTTCTGTCTAACAGAATATGAAGAAATCCATTTCCAACGAAGGCCTCAAAGAGGTCTGAATATCAACTTACAGACTTTACAAACAGAGTGTTTCCTAACTGCTCTATGAACAGAAAGGTTAAACTCTGTGAGTTGAACGAACCCATCACAATGCAGTTTGTGGGAATGATTCTGTCTAGTTTTGAAATGAAGATATTTCCTTTTCTGCCATTGACCTTAAAGCGCTTGAAATCTACACTTGCAAATTGCACAAATAGAGTGTTTCAAATCTGCTCTGTCTAAGGGAACGTTCAACTCTGTGAGTTGAATGCACACAACACAAGGAAATTACTGGGAATTCTTCTGTCTAGCCTTACAGGCAAAAAAACCCGTTTCCAACGAAGGCCTCTAAGTGGTCAAAATATCCACGTGCAGACTTTACAAACAGAGTGTTTTCAAACTGCTGAATGAAAAGAAAAGTTAAACTCTGAGAGTTGAACGCACACATCGCAGAGCAGTTTCTGAGAATGATTCTGTCTAGTTTTTATACGAAGATATTTCCTTTTCTGCCTTTGGCCTCAAAGCGCTTAAAATCTCCACTTGCAAATTCCACAAAAAGAGTGTTTCAAATCTGCTCTGTCTAAATGAAAGTTCAACTCTGTCAGTTGAATACACACAGCACAAGGAAGTTACTGAGAATTCTTCTGTGTAGCATCATATGAAGAAATCCCGTTTCCAACGAAGGCCTCAAAAAGGTCTGAATATCCACTTGCAGACTTTACAAACAGAGTGTTTCCTAACTGCTCTATGAAAAGAAAGGTTAAACTCTGTGAGTTGAACGCACACATCACAAATGAGTTTCTGAGAATCATTCTGTCTAGTTTTTATACGAAGATATTTCCTTTTCTACCATTGACTTCAAAGCGGCTGAAATCTCCACTTGCAAATTCCTCAAAAAGAGTGTTTCAAGTCTGCTCTGTGTAAAGGATCGTTCAACTCTGTGAGTTGAATACACACAATACAAGGAAGTTACTGAGAATTCTTCTGTCTAGCAGAATATGAAGAAATGCCGTTTCCAACGAAGGCCACAAGATGTCAGAATATCCACTTACAGAATTTACAAGCAGACTGTTTCCTAACTGCTCTATGAAAAGAAAGGTTAAACTCTGTGATTTGAACGAACACATCACAACGCAGTTTGTGGGAATGATTCTGTCTAGTTTTGAAACGAAGATATTTCCTTTTCTGCCTTTGACCCTAAAGCGCTTGAAATCTACACTTGCAAATTGCACAAATAGAGTGTTTCAAATCTGCTCTGTCTAAGGGAACGTTCAACTCTGTGAGTTGAATGCACACAACACAAGGAAGTTACTGGGAATTCTTCTGTCTAGCCTTACATGAAAAAATCCCGTTTCCAACGAAGGCCTCTAAGTGGTCAAAATATCCACGTGCAGACTTTAACAAATAGAGTGTTTCCAAACCGCTGAATGAAAAGAAAAGGTAAACTCTGAGAGTTGAACGCACACATCACGCAGCAGTTTCTGAGAATGATTCTGTCTAGTTTTTATACGAAGATATTTCCTTTTCTACCATTGACCTCAAAGCGGCTGAAATCTCCACTTGCAAATTCCACAAAAAGAGTGTTTCAAGTCTGCTCTGTGTAAAGGATCGTTCAACTCTGTGAGTTGAACACACAAAACACAAGGAAGTTTCTGAGAATTCTTCTGTATAGCAGAATATGAAGAAATCCCGTTTCCAACGAAGGCCTCAAGGAGGTCTGAATATGCACTTGCAGACTTTACAAACAGAGTGTTTCCTAACTGCTCTATGAAAAGAAAGGTTAAACTCTGTGAGTTGAACGCAGACATCACAAAGGAGTTTCTGAGAATCACTCTGTCTAGTTTTTATAGGAAGATATTTCCTTTTCTACCTTTGACTTAAAAGCGGCTGAAATCTCCACTTGCAAATTCCACAAAAAGAGTGTTACAAGTCTGCTCTGTGTAAAGGATCGTTCAACTGTGTGAGTTGAATACACACAACACAAGGAAGTTACTGAGAATTCTTCTGTCTAGCAGAATATGAAGAAATCCCGTTTCCAACGAAGGCCTCAAAGAGGTCTGAATATCCACTTGCAGACTTTACAAACAGAGTGTTTCCTAACTGCTCTATGAACAGAAAGGTTAAACTCTGTGAGTTGAACGAACACATCACAACGCAGTTTGTGGGAATGATTCTGTCTAGTTTTTATAGGAAGATATTTCCTTTTCTACCTTTGACTTGAAAGCGGCTGAAATCTCCACTTGCAAATTCCACAAAAAGAGTGTTACAAGTCTGCTCTGTCTAAGGGAACGTTCAACTCTGTGAGTTGAATGTACACAACACAAGGAAGTTAGTGGGAATTCTTCTCTCTAGCCTTACATGAAAAAAACCCGTTTCCAACGAAGGCCTCTAAGTGGTCAAAATATCCACGTGCAGACTTTTCAAACAGAGTGTTTCCAAACCGCTGAATGAAAAGAAAAGTTAAACTCTGAGAGTTGAACGCACACATCACGCAGCAGTTTCTGAGAATGATTCTGTCTAGTTTTGAAACGAAGATATTTCCTTTTCTGCCTTTGGCCTCAAAGCGCTTGAAATCTCCACTTGCAAATTCCACAAAAGGAGTGTTTCAAATCTGCTCTGTGTAAATGAAAGTTCAACTCTGTGAGTTGAACACACACAACACAAGGAAGTTACTGGGAATTCTTCTGTCTAGCCTTATATGAAAAAAACCCGTTTCCAACGAAGGACTCAAAGAGGTCTGAATATCCACTTGCAGACTTTACAAACAGAGTGTTTCCTAACTGCTCTAAGAAAAGAAAGGTTAAACTCTGTGAGTTGAACGTACACATCACAAAGGAGTTTCTGAGAATCATTCTGTCTAGTTTTTCTACGAAGATATTTCCTTTTCTACTATTGACCTCAAAGCGGCTGAAATCTCCACTTGCAAATTCAACAAAAAGAGTGTTTCAAGTCTGCTCTGTGTAAAGGATCAGTTCAACTCTGTGAGTTGAATACACACAACACAAGGAAGTTACTGAGAATTCTTCTGTCTAGCAGAATATGAAGAAATCCCGTTTCCAACGAAGGCCACAAGATGTCAGAATATCCACTTACAGACTTTACAAACAGTGTGTTTCCTAACTGCTCTATGAACGGAAAGGTTAAACTCTGTGAGTTGAACGAACACATCACAACGCAGTTTGTGGGAATGATTCTGTCTAGTTTTGAAACGAAGATATTTCCTTTTCTGCCATTGACCTTAAAGCGCTTGAAATCTACACTTGCAAATTGCACAAATAGAGTGTTTCAAATCTGCTCTCTCTAAGGGAACGTTCAACTCTGTGAGTTGAATGCACACAACACAAGGAAGTTACTGGGAATTCTTCTTTCTAGCAGAATATGAAGAAATCCCGTTTCCAACGAAAGCCTCAAGGATGTCTGAATATCCACTTGCAGACTTTACAAACAGAGTGTTTCCCAACTGCTCTATGAAAAGAAAGGATAAACTCTGTGAGTTGAACGCACACATCACAAAGGAGTTTCTGAGAATCATTCTGTCTAGTTTCTATAGGAAGATATTTCCTATTCTACCATTGACCTCAAAGCGGCTGAAATCTCCACTTGCAAATTCCACAAAAAGAGTGTTTCAAGTCTGCTCTGTGTAAAGGATCGTTCAACTGTGTGAGTTGAATACACACAACACAAGGCAGTTACTGAGAATTCTTCTGTATAGCAGAATATGAAGAAATCCCGTTTCCAACGAAGGCCTCAAGGAGGTCTGAATATCCACTTGCAGACTTTACAAACAGAGTGTTTCCTAACTGCTCTATGAAAAGAAAGTTTAAACTCTGTTAGTTGAACGCAGATATCACAAAGGAGTTTCTGAGAATCACTCTGTCTAGTTTCTATAGGAAGATATTCCCTATTCTACCATTGACCTCAAAGCGGCTGAAATCTCCACTTGCAAATTCCACAAAAAGAGTGTTTCAAGTCTGCTCTCTGTAAAGGATCGTTCAACTCTGTGAGTTGAATACACACAACACAAGGAAGTTATTGAGAATTAATCTGTCTAGCTGAATATGAAGAAATCCCGCTTCCAAGGAAGGCCTCAAAGAAGTCTGAATATCCACTTGCAGATTTTACAAACAGAGTGTTTCCCAACTGCTCTATGAAAAGAAAGGTTGAACTCTGTGAGTTGAACGCACACATCACAAAGGAGTTTCTGAGAATCATTCTGTCTAGTGTCTATAGGAAGATATTTCCTATTCTACCATTGAACTCAAAGCGGCTGAAATCTCCACTTGCAAATTCCACAAAAAGAGTGTTTCAAGTCTGCTCTGTGTAAAGGATCGTTCAACTCTGTGAGTTGAATACACACAACACAAGGAAGTTACTGAGAATTCTTCTGTCTAGCCTTACATGAAAAAAACCCGTTTCCAACGAAGGCCTCTAAGTGGTCAAAATATCCACGTGCAGACTTTACAAACAGAGTGTTTCCAAACCGCTGAATGAAAAGAAAAGTTAAACTCTGAGAGTTGAACGCACACATCACACAGCAGTTTCTGAGAATGATTCTGTCTAGTTTTTATACGAAGATATTTCCTTTTCTGCCTTTGGCCCCAGAGCGCTTGAAATCTCCACTTGCAAATTCCACAAAAACAGTGTTTCAAATCTGCTCTCTCCAAATGAAAGTTCAACTCTGTCAGTTGAATACACACAACACAAGGAAGTTACTGAGAATTCTTCTGTCTAGCATAATATGAAGAAATCCCGTTTCCAACGAAGGCCTCAAGGAGGTCTGAATATCCACTTGCAGACTTTACAAACAGAGTGTTTCCTAACTGCTCTATGAAAAGAAAGGTTAAAGTCTGTGAGTTGAACGCACACATCACAAAGGAGTTTCTGAGAATCATTCTGTCTAGTTTCTATAGGAAGATATTTCCTATTCTACCATTGACCTCAAAGCGGCTGAAATCTCCACTTGCAAATTCCACAAAAAGAGTGTTTCAAGTCTGCTCTGTGTAAAGGATCGTTGAACTCTGTGAGTTGAATACACACAACACAAGGAAGTTACTGAGAATTCTTCTCTCTAGCAGAATATGAAGAAATCCCGTTTCCAACGAAGGCCTCAAAGAGGTCTGAATATCCACTTCCAGACTTTACAAACAGAGTGTTTCCTAACTGCTCTATGAAAAGAAAGGTTAAACTCTGTGAGTTGAACGCACACATCACAAAGGAGTTTCTGAGAATCATTCTGTCTAGTTTTTATACGAAGATATTTCCTTTTCTACCATTGACCTCAAAGCGGCTGAAATCTCCACTTGCAAATTCCACAAAAAGAGTGTTTCAAGTCTGTTCTGTGTAAAAGATCATTCAACTCTGTGAGTTGAATACACACAACACAAGGAAGTTACTGAGAATTCTTCTGTCTAGCCTTACAAGAAAGAAACCCGTTTCCAACGAAGGCCTCTAAGTGGTCAAAATATCCACGTGCAGACTTTACAAACAGAGTGTTTCCAAACTGCTGAATGAAAAGAAAAGTTAAACTCTGAGAGTTGAACGCACACATCGCAGAGCAGTTTCTGAGAATGATTCTGTCTAGTTTTTATACGAAGATATTTCCTTTTCTGCATTTGGCCTCAAAGCGCTTGAAATCTCCACTTGCAAATTCCACAAAAAGAGTGTTTCCAATCTGCTCTGTGTAAATGAAAGTTCAACTCTGTGAGTTGAATACACACAACACAAGGAAGTTACTGGGAATTCTTCTGTCTAGCAGAATATGAAGAAATCCCATTTCCAACGAAGGCCACAAGATGTCAGAATATCCACTTACAGACTTGACAAACAGAGTGTTTCCTAACTGCTCTATGAACAGAAAGGTAAAACGCTGTGAGTTGAACGAACACATCACAACGCAGTTTGTGGGAATGATTATCTGTCTAGTTTTTGTACGAAGATATTTCCTTTTCTACCATTGACCTCAAAGCGGCTGAAATCTCCACTTGCAAATTCCACAAAACGAGTGTTTCAAGTCCGCTCTCTGTAAAGGATCGTTCAACTCTGTGAGTTGAATCCACACAACACAAGGAAGTTACTGAGAATTCTTCTGTCTCGCACAGTATGGAGAAATCCCGTTTCCAACGAAGGCCTCAAAGAGGTCTGAATATCCACTTGCAGAGTTTACAAACAGAGTGTTTCCTAACTGCTCTATGAGAAGAAAGGTTAAACTCTGTGAGTTGAACGCACACATCACAAAGAAGTTTCTTAGAATCATTCTGTCTAGTTTTGAAACGAAGATATTTCCTTTTCTGCCGTTGACCTTAAAGCGCTTGAAATGTACACTTGCAAATTGCACAAATAGAGTGTTTCAAATCTGCTCTGTCTAAGGGAACGTTCAACTCTGTGAGTTGAATGCACACAACACAAGGAAGTTACTGGGAATTCTTCTGTCTAGCCTTACAGGAAAAAAACCCGTTTCCAACGAAGGCCTCTAAGTGGTCAAGTTATCCAGGTGCAGACTTTACAAACAGAGTGTTTCCAAACTGCTGAATGAAAAGAAAAGTTAAACTCTGAGAGTTGAACGCACACATCGCAGAGCAGTTTCTGAGAATGATTCTGTCTAGTTTTGAAACGAAGACATTTCCTTTTCTGCCTTTGGCCTCAAAGCACTTGAAATCTCCATTTGCAAATTCCACAAAAAGAGTGTTTCAAATCTGCTCTGTGTAAATGAAAGTTCAACTCTGTGAGTTGAACACACACAACACAAGGAAGTTACTGGGAATTCTTCTGTCTAGCCTTATATGAAAAAAACCCGTTTCCAACGAAGGCCTCAAAGAGGGCTGAATATCCACTTGCAGACTTTACAAGCAGAGTGTTTCCTAACTGCTCTATGAAAAGAAAGGTTAAACTCTGTGAGTTGAACGCACACATCACAAAGGAGTTTATGAGAATCATTCTGTCTAGTTTCTATAGGAAGATATTTCCTATTCTACCATTGACTTCAAAGCGGCTGAAATCTCCACTTGCAAATTCCACAAAAAGAGTGTTTCAAGACTCTTCTGTGTAAAGGATCATACAACTCTGTGAGGTGAATACACACAACACAAGGAAGTTACTGAGAATTCTTCTGTCTAGCAGAATATGAAGAAATCCCGTTTCCAACGAAGGCCACAAGATGTCAGAATATCCACTTACAGACTTTACAAACAGAGTGTTTCCTAACTGCTCTATGAATAGAAAGGTTAAACTCTGTGAGTTGAACGAACACATCACAACGCAGTTTGTGGGAATGATTCTGTCTAGTTTTGAAACGAAGATATTTCCTTTTCTGCCATTGACCTTAAAGCGCTTGAAATCTACACTTGCAAATTGCACAAATAGAGTGTTTCAAATCTGCTCTGTCTAAGGGAACGTTCAACTCTGTGAGTTGAATGCACACAACACAAGGAAGTTACTGGGAATTCTTCTGTCTAGCCTTACATGAAAAAAACCCGTTTCCAACGAAGGCCTCTAAGTGGTCAAAATTTCCACGTGCAGACTTTACAAACAGAGTGTTTCCAAACCGCTGAATGAAAAGAAAAGTTAAACTCTGAGAGTTGAACGCACACATCACGAAGCAGGTTCTGAGAATGATTCTGTCTAGTTTTTATACGAAGATATTTCCTTTTCTGCCTTTGGCCTCAAAGCGCTTGAAATCTCCACTTGCAAATTCCACAAAAAGAGTGTTTCAAATCTGCTCTGTGTAAACGAAAGTTCAACTCTGTGAGTTGAACACACACAACACAAGGAAGTTACTGGGAATTCTTCTGTCTAGCAGAATATGAAGAAATCCCGTTTCCAACGAAGGCCTCAAAGAGGTCTGAATATCCAATTGCAGACATTATAAACAGAGTGTTTCCTAACTGCTCTATGAAAAGAAAGGTTGAACTCTGTGAGTTGAACGCACACATCACAAAGGAGTTTCTGAGAATCATTCTGTCTAGTTTTTATACGAAGATATTTCCTTTTCTAACATTGACCTCAAAGCGGCTGAAATCCCCACTTGCAAATTCCACAAAAAGAGTGTTTCAAGTCTGCTCTGTGTAAAGGATCGTTGAACTCTGTGAGTTGAATACACAACACAAGGAAGTTACTGAGAATTCTTCTGTCTAGCAGAATATGAAGAAATCCCGTTTCCAACGAAGGCCTAAAAGAGGTCTGAATATCCACTTGCAGACTTTACAAACAGAGTGTTTCCTAACTGCTCTATGAGAAGAAAGGTTAAACTCTGTGAGTTGAACGCACACATCACAAAGGAGTTTCTGAGAATCATTCTGTCTAGTTTTGAAACGAAGATATTTCCTTTTCTGCCATTGACCTTAAAGCGCTTGAAATCTACACTTGCAAATTGCACAAATAGAGTGTTTCAAATCTGCTCTGTCTAAGGGAACTGTTCAACTCTGTGAGTTGAATGCACACAACACAAGGAAGTTACTGGGAATTCTTCTGTCTAGCCTTACATGAAAAAAACCCGTTTCCAACGAAGGCCTCTAAGTGGTCAAAATATCCACGTGCAAACTTTACAAACAGAGTGTTTCCAAACCGCTGAATGAAAAGAAAAGTTAAACTCTGAGAGTTGAACGCAAACATCACGCAGCAGTTTTTGAGAATGATTCTGTCTAGTTTTTATACGAAGATATTTACTTTTCGGCCTTTGGCCCCAAAGCGCTTGAAATCTCCACTTGCAAATTCCACAAAAACAGTGTTTCAAATCTGCTCTCTCTAAATGAAAGTTCAACTCTGTCAGTTGAATACACACAACACAAGGAAGTTACTTAGAATTCTTCTGTCTAGCAGAATATGAAGAAATCCCGTTTCCAACGAAGGCGTCAAAGAGGTCTGAATATCCACTTGCAGACTTTACAAACAGAGTGTTTCCTAACTGCTCTATGAAAAGAAAAGTTAAACTCTGTGAGTTTAACGCACACATCACAAAGGAGTTTCTGAGAATCATTCTGTCTAGTCTTTATACGAAGATATTTCCTTTTCTACCATTGACCTCAAAGCGGCTGAATTCTCCACTTGCAAATTCCACAAAAAGAGTGTTTCAAGTCTGCTCTCTGTAAAGGATCGTTCAACTCTGTGAGTTGAATACACACAACACAAGGAAGTTACTGAGAATTATTCTGTCTAGCAGAATATGAAGAAATCCCGTTTCCAACGAAGGCCACAAGATGTCAGAATATCCACTTACAGAATTTTCAAACAGACTGTTTCCTAACTGCTCTAAGAAAAGAAAGGTTAAACTCTGTGAGTTGAACGAACACATCACAACGCAGTTTGTGGGAGTGATTCTGTCTAATTTTGAAACGAAGATATTTCCTTTTCTGCCATTGACCTTAATGCGCTTGAAATCTACACTTGCAAATTGCACAAATAGAGTGTTTCAAATCTGCTCTGTCTAAGGGAACGTTCAACTCTGTGAGTTGAATGCACACAACACAAGGAAGTTACTGGGAATTCTTCTGTCTAGCCTTACATGAAAAAAACCCGTTTCCAACGAAGGCCTCTAAGTGGTCAAAATTTCCACGTGCAGACTTTACAAACAGAGTGTTTCCAAACCGCTGAATGAAAAGAAAAGTTAAACTCTGAGAGTTGAACCCACACATCACGCAGCAGTTTCTGAGAATGATTCTGTCTAGTTTTTATACGAAGATATTTCCTTTTCTATCATTGACCTCAAAGCGGCTGAAATCTCCACTTGCAATTTCCACAAAAAGAGTGTTTCAAGTCTGCTCTGTGTAAAGGATCGTTCAACTCTGTGAGTTGAATACACACAACACAAGGAAGTTACTGAGAATTCTTCTGTCTAGCCTTATATGAATAAAACCCGTTTCCAACGAAGGCCTCAAAGAGGTCTGAATATCCTCTTGCAGACTTTACAAACAGAGTGTTTCCTAACTGCTCTATGAAAAGAAAGGTTAAACTCTGTGAGTTGAACTCACACATCACAAAGGAGTTTCTGAGAATCATTCTGTCTAGTTTTTATACGAAGATATTTCCTTTTCTACCATTGACCTCAACGCGGCAGAAACCTCCACTTGCAAATTCCACAAAACGAGTGTTTCAAGTCCGCTCTGTGTAAAGGATCGTTCAACTCTGTGAGTTGAATACACACAACACAAGGAAGTTACTGAGAATTCTTCTGTCTAGCAGAATATGAAGAAATCCCGTTTCCAACGAAGGCCAAAAGATGTCAGAATATCCACTTACAGAATTTACAAACAGAGTGTTTCCTAACTGCTCTATGAAAAGAATTGTTAAACTCTGTGAGTTGAACGAACACATCACAACGCAGTTTGTGGGAATGATTCTGTCTAGTTTTGAAACGAAGATATTTCCTTTTCTGCCATTGACCTTAAAGCGCTTGAAATCTCCATTTGCCAACTGCACAAAAAGAGTGTTTCAAATCTGCTCTGTCTAAGGGAACGTTCAACTCTGTGAGTTGAATGTACACAACACAAGGAAGTTACTGGGAATTCTTCTGTCTAGCCTTACAGGAAAAAAACCCGTTTCCAACGAAGGCCTCTAAGTGGTCAAAATATCCAAGTGCAGACTTTACAAAGAGAGTGTTTCCAAACTGCTGAATGAAAAGAAAAGTTAAACTCTGAGAGTTGAACGCACACATCGCAGAGCAGTTTCTGAGAATGATTCTGTCTAGTTTTGAAACGAAGGTATTTCCTTTTCTGCCTTTGGCCTCAAAGCGCTTGACATCTCCACTTGCAAATTCCACAAAAAGAGTGTTTCAAATCTGCTCTGTGTAAATGAAAGTTCAACTCTGTGAGTTGAACACACACAACACAAGGAAGTTACTGGGAATTCTTCTGTCTAGCAGAATATGAAGAAATCCCGCTTCCAACGAAGGCCTCAAAGAAGTCTGAATATCCACTTGCAGACTTTACAAACAGAGTGTTTCCCAACTGCTCTATGAAAAGAAAGGTTGAACTCTGTGAGTTGAACGCCCACATCACAAAGGAGTTTCTGAGAATCATTCTGTCTAGTTTCCATAGGAAGATATTTCCTATTCTACCATTGACCTCAAAGCGGCTGAAATCTCCACTTGCCAATTCCACAAAAAGAGTGTTTCAAGTCTACTCTGTGTAATGGATCGTTTAACTCTGTGAGTTGAAAACACACAACACAAGGAAGTTTCTGAGAATTCTTCTGTCTAGCCTTACATGAAAAAAACCCGTTTCCAACGTAGGCCTCTAAGTGGTCAAATTATCCACGTGCAGACTTCACAAACAGAGTGTTTCCAAACTGCTGAATGAAAAGAAAAGTTAAACTCTGAGAGTTGAACGCACACATCGCAGAGCAGTTTCTGAGAATGATTCTGTCTAGTTTTGAAACCAAGATATTTCCTTTTCTGCCGTTGACCTAAAAGAGCTTGAAAACTACACTTGCAAATTGCACAAATAGAGTGTTTCAAATCTGCTCTGTCTAAGGGAACGTTCAACTCTGTGAGTTGAATGCACACAACACAAGGAAGTTACTGGGAATTCTTCTGTCTAGCCTTACATGAAAAAAACCCGTTTCCAACGAAGGCCTCTAAGTGGTCAAAATTTCCACGTCCAGACTTTACAAACAGAGTGTTTCCAAACCGCTGAATGAAAAGAAAAGTTAAACTCTGAGAGTTGAACGCACACATCACGCAGCAGTTTCTGAGAATGATTCTGACTAGTTTTTATACGAAGATATTTCCTTTTCTGCCTTTGGCCCCAAAGCGCTTGAAATCTCCACTTGCAAATTCCACAAAAACAGTGTTTCAAATCTGCTCTCTCTAAATGAAAGTTCAACTCTGTCAGTTGAATACACACAACACAAGGAAGTTACTGAGAATTCTTCTGTCTAGCAGAATATGAAGAAATCCCGTTTCCAACGAAGGCCTCAAAGGGGTCTGAATATCCACTTGCAGACTTTATAAACAGAGTGTTTACTAACTGCTCTATGAAAAGAAAGGTTAAACTCTGTGAGTTGAACACACACCTCACAAAGGAGTTTGCTGAGAATCATTTCTGTCTAGTTTTTATACGAAGATATTTCCTTTTCTACCATTGACCTCAAAGCGGCTGAAATCTCCACTTGCAAATTCCACAAAAAGAGTGTTTCAAGTCTGCTCTGTGTAAAGGATGGTTCAACTCTGTGAGTTGAATACACACAACACAAGGAAGTTACTGAGAATTCTTCTGTCTAGCATAATAGGAAGAAATCCCGTTTCCAACGAAGGCCTCAAGGAGGTCTGAATATCCACTTGCAGACTTTACAAACAGAGTGTTTCCTAACTGCTCTATGAAAAGAAAGGTTAAACTCTGTGACTTGAACGCACACATCACAAAGGAGTTTCTGAGAATCATTCTGTCTAGTTTTGAAACGAAGATATTTCCTTTTCTGCCATTGACCTTAAAGCGCTTGAAATCTACACTTGCAAATTGCACAAATAGAGTGTTTCAAATCTGCTCTGTCTAAGGGAACGTTCATCTGTGTGAGTTGAATGCACACAACACAAGGAAGTTACTGGGAATTCTTCTGTCTAGCCTTACATGAAGAAAACCCGTTTCCAACGAAGGCCTCTAAGTGGTCAAAATATCCACGTGCAGACTTTACAAACAGAGTGTTTCGAAACTGCTGAATGAAAAGAAAAGTTAAACTCTGAGAGTTGAACGCACACATCACAGAGCAGTTTCTGAGAATGATTCTGTCTAGTTTTTATACGAAGATATTTCCTTTTCTGCCTTTGGCCGCAAAGCGCTTGAAATCTCCACTTGCAAATTCCACAAAAACAGTCTTACAAATCTGCTCTCTCTAAATGAAAGTTCAACTCTGTCAGTTGAATACACACAACACAAGGAAGTTACTGAGAATTCTTCTGTCTAGCAGAATATGGAGAAATCCCGTTTCCAACGAAGGCCTCAAAGAGGTCTGAATATCCACTTGCAGACTTTACAAACAGAGTGTTTCCTAACTGCTCTATGAAAAGAAAGGTTAAACTCTGTGAGTTGAACACACACATCACAAAGGAGTTTCTGAGAATCGTTCTGTCTAGTTTTTATACGAAGATATTTCCTTTTCTACCATTGACCTCAAAGCGGCTGAAATCTCCACTGGCCAATTCAACAAAAAGAGTTTTTCAAGTCTACTCTGTGTAACGGATCGTTGAACTCTGTGAGTTGAAAACACGCAACACCAGGAGGTTTCTGAGAGTTCTTCTGTCTAGCAGAATATGAAGAAATCCCGTTTCCAACGAATGCCACAAGATGTCAGAATATCCACTTACAGAATTGACAAACAGACTGTTTCCTAACTGCTCTATGAAAAGAAAGGTTAAACTCTGTGAGTTGAACGAACACATCACAACGCAGTTTGTGGGAATGATTTCTGTCTAGTTTTGAAACGAAGATATTTCCTTTTCTGCCGTTGACCTTAAAGCGGTTGAAATCTACACTTGCAAATTGCACAAATAGAGTGTTTCAAATCTGCTCTGTCTAAGGGAACGTTCAACTCTGTGAGTTGAATGCACACAACACAAGGAAGTTACTGGGAATTCTTCTATCTAGCCTTACTGAAAAAAACCCGTTTCCAACGAAGGCCTCTAAGTGGTCAAATTATCCACGTGCAGACTTTACAAACAGAGTGTTTCCAAACTGCTGAATGAAAAGAAAAGTTAAACTCTGAGAGTTGAACACACACATCGCAGAGCAGTTTCTGAGAATGATTCTGCCTAGTTTTGAAACGAAGATATTTCCTTTTCTGCCTTTGGCCTCAAAGCGCTTGAAATCTCCACTTGCAAATTCCACAAAAAGAGTGTTTCAAATCTGCTCTGTGTAAATGAAAGTTCAACTCTGTGAGTTGAACACACACAACACAAGGAAGTTACTGGGAATTCCTCTGTCTAGCATAATATGAAGAAATCCCGTTTAAAACGAAGGCCTCAAAGAGGTCTGAATATCCACTTGCAGACTTTACAAACAGAGTGTTTCCTAACTGCTCTATGAAAAGAAAGGTTAAACTCTGTGAGTTGAACGCACACATCACAAAGGAGTTTCTGAGAATCATTCTGTCTAGTTTTTCTACGAAGATATTTCCTTTTCTACTATTGACCTCAAAGCGGCTGAAATCTCCTCTTGCAAATTCCACAAAAAGAGTGTTTCAAGTCTGCTCTGTGTAAAGGATCGTTCAACTCTGTGAGTTGAATACTCACAACACAAGGAAGTTACTGAGAATTCTTCTGTCTAGCAGAATATGAAGAAATCCCGTTTCCAACGAAGGCCACAAGATGTCAGAATATCCACTTACAGAATTTACAAACAGACTGTTTCCTAAGTGCTCTATGAAAAGAAATGTTAAACTCTGTGAGTTGAACGAACACATCGCAACGCAGTTTGTGGGAGTGATTCTGTCTAGTTTTGAAAGGAAGATATTTCCTTTTCTGCCGTTGACCTTAAAGCGCTTGAAATGTACACTTGCAAATTGCACAAATAGGCTGTTTCAAATCTGCTCTGTCTAAGGGAACGTTCAACTCTGTGAGTTGAATGCGCACAACACAAGGAAGTTACTGGGAATTCTTCTGTCTAGCCTTACAGGAAAAAAACCCGTTTCCAACGAAGGCCTCTAAGTGGTCAAAATATCCACGTGCAGACTTTACAAACAGAGTGTTTCCAAACTGCTGAATGAAAAGAAAAGTTTAACTCTGAGAGTTGAACGCACACATCGCAGAGCAGTTTCTGAGAATGATTCTGTCTAGTGCTTATACGAAGATATTTCCTTTTCTGCCTTTGGCCCCAAAGCGCTTGAAATCTCCACTTGCAAATTCCACAAAAACAGTGTTTCAAATCTGCTCTCTCTAAATGAAAGTTCAACTCTGTCAGTTGAATACACACAACACAAGAAAGTTACTGAGAATTCTTCTGTCTAGCACAGTATGAAGAAATCCCGTTTCCAACGAAGGCCTCAAAGAGGTCTGAATATCCACTTGCAGACTTTACAAACAGAGTGTTTCCTAACAGCTCCATGAAAAGAAAGGTTAAACTCTGTGAGTTGAACGCACACATCACAAAGGAGTTTCTGAGAATCATTCTGTCTAGTCTTTATACGAAGATATTTCCTTTTCTACCATTGACCTCAAAGCGGCTGAAATCTCCACTTGCAAATTCCACAAAAAGAGTGTTTCAAGTCTGCTCTGTGTAAAGGATCGTTCAACTCTGTGAGTAGAATACACACAACACAAGGAAGTTACTGAAAATTCTTGTGTCTAGCAGAATATGAAGAAATCCCGTTTCCAACGAAGGCCACAAGATGTCAGAATATCCACTTACAGAATTGACAAACAGACTGTTTCCTAACTGCTCTATGAAAAGAAAGGTTAAACTCTGTGAGTTGAACGAACACATCACAACGCAGTTTGTGGGAATGATTCTGTCTAGTTTTGAAACGAAGATATTTCCTTTTCTGCCGTTGACCTTAAAGCGCTTGAAATCTACACTTGCAAATTGCACAAATAGAGTGTTTCAAATCTGCTCTGTCTAAGGGAAAGTTCAACTCTGTGAGTTGAATGCACACAACACAAGGAAGTTACTGGGAATTCTTCTGTCTAGCCTTACATGAAAAAAACCCGTTTCCAACGAAGGCCTCTAAGTGGTCAACATATCCACGTGCAGACTTTACAAACAGAGTGTTTCCAAACTGCTGAATGAAAAGAAAAGTTAAACTCTGAGAGTTGAACGCACACATCGCAGAGCAGTTTCTGAGAATGATTCTGTCTAGTTTTGAAACGAAGATATTTCCTTTTCTGCCTTTGGTCTCAAAGCGCTTGAAATCTCCACTTGCAAATTGCACAAAAAGAGTGTTTCAAATCTGCTCTGTGTAAATGAAAGTTCAACTCTGTGAGTTGAACACACACAACACAAGGAAGTTACTGGGAATTCTTCTGTCTAGCAGAATATGAAGAAATCCCGTTTCAAACGAAGGCCTCAAGGAGGTCTGAATATCCACTTGCAGACTTTACAAACAGAGTGTTTCCTAACTGCTCTATGAAAAGAAAGGTTAAACTCTGTGAGTTGAACGCACACATCACAAAGGAGTTTATGAGAATCATTCTGTCTAGTTTCTATAGGAAGATATTTCCTATTCTACCATTGACCTCAAAGCGGATGAAATCTCCACTTGCAAATTCCACAAAAAGAGTGTTTCAAGTCTGCTCTGTGTAAAGGATCGTTCAACTCTGTGAGTTGAATACACACAACACAAGGAAGTTACTGAGAATTCTTCTGTCTAGCACATTATGAAGAAATCCCGTTTCCAACGAAGGCCTCAAAGAGGTCTGAATATCCACTTGCAGACTTTACAAACAGAGTGTTTCCTAACTGCTCTATGAAAAGAAAGGTTAAACTCTGTGAGTTGAACGCACACGTCACAATGAAGTTTCTGAGAATCATTCTGTCTAGTTTTTATACGAAGATATTTCCTTTTCTACCATTGACCTCAAAGCGGCTGAAATCACCACTTGCCAATTGCACAAAAAGAGTGTTTCAAATCTGCTCTGTCTAAGGGAACGTTCAACTCTGTGAGTTGAATGTACACAACACAAGGAAGTTCCTGGGAATTCTTCTCTCTAGCCTTACAGGAAAAAAACCCGTTTCCAACGAAGGCCTCTAAGTGGTCAAAATATCGACGTGCAGACTTCACAAACAGAGTGTTTCCAAACTGCTGAATGAAAAGAAAAGTTAAACTCTGAGAGTTGAACGCACACATCGCAGAGCAGTTTCTGAGAATGATTCTGTCTAGTTTTTATACGAAGATATTTCCTTTTCTGCCTTTGGCCTCAAAGCGCTTGAAATCTCCACTTGCAAATTCCACAAAAAGAGTGTTTCAAATCTGCTCTGTGTAAATGAAAGTTCAACTCTGTGAGTTGAACACACACAACACAAGGGAAGTTACTGGGAATTCTTCTGTCTAGCATAATATGAAGAAATCCCGTTTCCAACGAAGGCATCAAGGAGGTCTGAATATCCACTTGCAGACTTTACAAACAGAGTGTTTCCTCACTGCTCTATGAAAAGAAAGGTTAAACTCTGTGAGTTGAACGCACACATCACAAAGTAGTTTCTGAGAATCATTCTGTCTAGTTTTTATACGAAGATATTTCCTTTTCTACCATTGACCTCAAAGCGGCTGAAAACTCCACTTGCAAATTCCACAAAAAGAGTGTTTCAAGTCTACTCTGTGTAAAGCATCGTTCAACTCTGTGAGTTGAAAACACAGAACACAAGGAAGTTTCTGAGAATTCTTCTGTCTAGCAGAATATGAAGAAATCCCGTTTCCAACGAAGGCCACAAGATGTCAGAATATCCACTTACAGACTTTACAAACAGAGTGTTTCCTAACTGCTCTATGAACAGAAAGGTTATACTCTGTGAGTTGAACGAACACATCACAACGCAGTTTGTGGGAATGATTCTGTCTAGTTTTGAAACGAAGATATTTCCTTTTCTGCCATTGACCTCAAAGCGCTTGAAATCTCCACTTGCCAATTGCACAAAAAGAGTGTTTCAAATCTGCTCTGTCTAACGGAACGTTCAACTCTGTGAGTTGAATGTACACAACACAAGGAAGTTACTGGGAATTCTTCTGTCTAGCCTTACATGAAAAAATCCCGTTTCCAACGAAGGCCTCTAAGTGGTCAAATTATCCACGTGCAGACTTTACAAACAGAGTGTTTCCAAACTGCTGAATGAAAAGAAAAGTTAAACTCTGAGAGTTGAACGCACACATCGCAGAGCAGTTTCTGAGAATGATTCTGTCTAGTTTTTATACGAAGATATTTGCTTTTCTGCCTTTGGCCTCAAAGCGCTTGAAATCTCCACTTGCAAATTCCACAAAAAGAGTGTTTCAAATCTGCTCTGTGTAAATGAAAGTTCAACTCTGTGAGTTGAACACACACAACACAAGGAAGTTACTGGGAATTCTTCTGTCTAGCATAATATGAAGAAATCCCGTTTCCAACGAAGGCCTCAAAGGGGTCTGAATATCCACTTGCAGACTTTATAAACAGCGTGTTTCCTAACTGCTCTATGAAAAGAAAGGTTAAACTCTCTGAGTTGAACGCACACATCACAAAGGAGTTTCTGAGAATCATTCTGTCTAGTTTCTATACGAAGATATTTCTTTTTCTACAATTGACCTCAAAGCGGCTGAAATCTCCACTTGCAAATTCCACAAAAAGAGTGTTTCAAGTCTGCTCTGTGTAAAGTATCGTTCAACTCTGTGAGTTGAATACACAGAACACAAGGAAGTTACTGAGAATTCTTCTGTCTAGCATAATATGAAGAAATCCCGTTTCCAACGAAGGCCTGTAGGAGGTCTGAATATCCACTTGCAGACTTTACAAACAGAGTGTTTCCTAACTGCTCTATGGAAAGAAAGGTTAAACTGTGTGAGTTGAACGCACACATCACAAAGGAGTTTCTGAGAATCATCTGTCTAGTTTTGAAACGAAGATATTTCCTTTTCTGCCATTGACCTTAAAGCGCTTGAAATCTCCATTTGCCAATTGCACAAAAAGAGTGTTTCAAATCTGCTCTGTCTAAGGGAACGTTCAACTCTGTGAGTTGAATGTACACAACACAAGGAAGTTACTGGGAATTCTTTCTGTCTAGCCTTACAGGAAAAAGCCCGTTTCCAACGAAGGCCTCTAAGTGGTCAAAATATCCACGTGCAGACTTTACAAACAGAGTGTTTCCAAACTGCTGAATGAAAAGAAAAGTTAAACTCTGAGAGTTGAACGCACACATCGCAGAGCAGTTTCTGAGAATGATTCTGTCTAGTTTTTATACGAAGATATTTCCTTTTCTGCCTTTGGCCTCAAAGCGCTTGAAATCTCCATTTGCAAATTCCAGAAAAAGAGTGTTTCAAATCTGCTCTGTGTAAATGAAAGTTCAACTCTGTGAGTTGAACACACACAACACAAGGAAGTTACTGGGAATTCTTCTGTCTAGCATAATATGAAGAAATCCCGTTTCCAACGAAGGCCTCAAGGAGGTCTGAATATCAACTTGCAGACTTTACAAACAGAGTGTTTCATAACTGCTCTATGAAAAGAAAGGTTAAACTCTGTGAGTTGAACGCACACATCACAAAGGAGTTTCTGAGAATCATTCTGTCTAGTTTTTCTACGAAGATATTTCCTTTTCTACTATTGACCTCAAAGCGGCTGAAATCTCGACTTGCAAATTCCACAAAAAGAGTGTTTCAATTCTGCTCTGTGTAAAGGATCGTTCAACTCTGTGAGTTGAATACACACAACACAAGGAAGTTACTGAGAATTATTCTGTCTAGCAGAATATGAAGAAATCCCGTTTCCAACGAAGGCCACAAGTTGTCAGAATATCCACTTACAGAATTTACAAACAGACTGTTTCCTAACTGCTCTATGAAAAGAAAGGTTAAACTCTGTGATTTGAACGAACACATCACAACGCAGTCTGTGGGAATGATTCTGTCTAGTTTTGAAACGAAGATATTTCCTTTTCTGCCATTGACCTTAAAGCGCTTGAAATCTACAGTTGCAAATTCCACAAAAAGAGTGTTTCAAGTCTGCTCTGTGTAAAGGATCGTTCAACTCTGTGAGTTGAATACACACAACACAAGGAAGTTACTGAGAATTCTTCTGTCTAGCAGAATATGAAGAAATCCCGTTTCCAACGAAGGCCTCAAAGAGGTCTGAATATCCACTTGCAGACTTTACAAACAGAGTGTTTCCTAACTGCTCTATGAAAAGAAAGGTTAAACTCTGTGAGTTGAACAAACACATCACAAAGGACTTTCTGAGAATCATTCTGTCTAGTTTTTATACGAAGATATTTCCTTTTCTACCATTGACCTCAAAGCGGCTGAAATCTCCACTTGCAAATTCCACAAAAAGAGTGTTTCAAATCGGCTCTGTGTAAATGAAAGTTCAACTCTGTGAGTTGAACACACACAACACAAGGAAGTTACTGGGAATTCTTCTGTCTAGCCTTATATGAAAAAAACCCGTTTCCAACGAAGGCCTCAAAGAGGTCTGAATATCCACTTGCAGACTTTACAAACAGAGTGTTTCCTAACTGCTCTATGAAAAGAAAGGTTAAACTCTGTGAGTTGTACGCACACATCACAAAGGAGTTTCTGAGAATCATTCTGTCTACTTTCTATAGGAAGATATTTCCTATTCTACCATTGACCTCAAAGCGGATGAAATCTCCACTTGCAAATTCCACAAAAGGAGTGTTTCAAGTCTGCTCTGTGTAAAGGATCGTTCAACTCTGTGAGTTGAAAACACACAACACAAGGAAGTTTCTGAGAATTCTTCTGTCTAGCAGAATATGAAGAAATCCCGTTTCCAACGAAGGCCACAAGATGTCAGAATATCCACTTACAGACTTTACAAACAGAGTGTTTCCTAACTGCTCTATGAACAGAAAGGTTAAACTCTGTGAGTTGAACGAACACATCACAACGCAGTTTGTGGGAATGATTCTGTCTAGTTTTGAAACGAAGATATTTCCTTTTCTGCCGTTGACCTTAAAGCGCTTGAAATCTACACTTGCAAATTGCACAAATAGAGTGTTTCAAATCTGCTCTGTCTAAGGTAACGTTCAACTCTGTGAGTTGAATGCACACAACACAAGGAAGTTACTGGGAATTCTTCTGTCTAGCCTTAGATGAAAAAAACCCGTTTCCAACGAAGGCCTCTAAGTGGTCAAAATTTCCTCGTGCAGACTTTACAAACAGAGTGTTTCCAAACCGCTGAATGAAAAGAAAAGTTAAACTCTGAGAGTTGAACGCACACATCACGCAGCAGTTTCTGAGAATGATTCTGTCTAGTTTTTATACGAAGATATTTCCTTTTCTGCCTTTGGCCTCAAACCGCTTGAAATCTCCATTTGCAAATTCCACAAAAAGAGTGTTTCAAATCTGCTCTGTGTAAATGAAAGTTCAACTCTGTGAGTTGAACACACACAACACAAGGAAGTTACTGGGAATTCTTCTGTCTAGCAGAATATGAAGAAATCCCGTTTCCAACGAAGGCCTCAAGGAGGTCTGAATATCCACTTGCAGACTTTACAAACAGAGTGTTTCCTAACTGCTCTATGAACAGAAAGGTTAAACTCTGTGAGTTGAACGCACACATCACTAAGGAGTTTCTGAGAATCATTCTGTCTAGTTTCTATACGAAGATATATCCTATTCTACAATTGACCTCAAAGCGGCTGAAATCTCCACTTGCAAATTCCACAAAAAGAGTGTTTCAAGTCTGCTCTGTGTAAAGGATCGTTCAACTCTGTGAGTTGAATACACACAACACAAGGAAGTGACTGAGAATTCTTCTGTCTAGCAGAATATGAAGAAATCCCGTTTCCAACGAAGACCACAAGATGTCAGAATATCCACTTACAGACTTTACAAACAGAGTGTTTCCTAACTGCTCTATGAACAGAAAGGTTAAACTCTGTGAGTTGAACGAACACATCACAACGCAGTTTGTGGGAATGATTCTGTCTAGTTTTTATACGAAGATATTTCGTTTTCTACCATTGACCTCAAAGCGGCTGAAATCACCACTTGCCAATTGCACAAAAAGAGTGTTTCAAATGTGTTCTGTCTAAGGGAACGTTCAACTCTGTGAGTTGAATGTACACAACACAAGGAAGTTACTGGGAATTCTTCTGTCTAGCCTTACATGAAAAAAACCCGTTTCCAACGAAGGCCTCTAAGTGGTCAAATTATCCACGTGCAGACTTTAGAAACAGAGTGTTTCCAAACTGCTGAATGAAAAGAAAAGTTAAACTCTGAGAGTTGAACGCACACATCACAGAGCAGTTTCTGAGAATGATTCTGTCTAGTTTTTATACGAAGATATTTCCTTTTCTGCCTTTGTCCTCAAAGCGCTTGAAATCTCCACTTGCAAATTCCACAAAAAGAGTGTTTCAAATCTGCTCTGTGTAAATGAAAGTTCAACTCTGTGAGTTGAACACACACAACACAAGGAAGTTACTGGGAACTCTTCTGTCTAGCATAATATGAAGAAATCCCGTTTCCAACGAAGGCCTCAAAGGGGTCTGAATATCCACTTGCAGAATTTATAAACAGAGTGTTTACTAACTGCTCTATGAAAAGAAAGGTTAAACTCTGTGAGTTGAACACACACATCACAAAGGAGTTTCTGAGAATCATTCTGTCTAGTTTTTATACGAAGATATTTCCTTTTCTACCATTGACCTCAAAGCGGCTGAAATCTCCACTTGCAAATTCCACAAAAAGAGTGTTTCAAGTCTGCTCTGTGTAAAGGATCGTTCAACTCTGTGAGTTGAATACACACAAGACAAGGAAGTTACTGAGAATTCTTCTGTCTAGCAGAATATGAAGAAATCCCGTTTCCAACGAAGGCCACAAGATGTCAGAATATCCCCTTACAGAATTTTCAAACAGACTGTTTCCTAACTGCTCTATGAAAAGAAAGGTTAAACTCTGTGAGATGAACGAACACATCACAACGCAGTTTGTGGGAATGATTCTGTCTAGTGTTTATAGGAAGATATTTCCTTTTCTACCTTTGACTTCAAAGCGGCTGAAATCTCCACTTGCAAATTCCACAAAAAGAGTGTTACAAGTCTGCTCTGTGTAAAGGATCGTTCAACTCTGTCAGTTGAATACACACAACACAAGGAAGTTACTGAGAATTCTTCTGTCTAGCCTTACATGAAAAAAACCCGTTTCCAACGAAGGCCTCTAAGTGGTCAAGTTATCCACGTGCAGACTTTACAAACAGAGTGTTTCCAAACTGCTGAATGAAAAGAAAAGTTAAACACTGAGAGTTGAACGCACACATCGCAGAGCAGTTTCTGAGAATGATTCTGTCTAGTTTTTATACGAAGATATTTCCTTTTCTGCCTTTGGCCTCAAAGCGCTTGAAATCTCCATTTGCAAATTCCACAAAAAGAGTGTTACAAGTCTGCTCTGTGTAAAGGATCGTTCAACTCTGTGAGTTGAACACACACAACACAAGGAAGTTACTGGGAATTCTTCTGTCTAGCAGAATATGAAGAAATCCCGTTTCCAACGAAGGCCTCAAAGAGGTCTGAATATCCACTTGCACACTTTACAAACAGAGTGTTTCCTAACTGCTCTATGAGAACAAAAGTTAAACTCTGTGAGTTGAACGCACACATCACAAAAGATTTTCTGAGAATCATTCTGCCTAGTTTTTATAGGAAGATATTTCCTTTTCTACCTTTGACGTCAAAGCGGCTGAAATCTCCACTTGCAAATTCCACAAAAAGAGTGTTACAAGTCTGCTCTGTGTAAAGGATCGTTCAACTCTGTGAGTTGAATACACACAACACAAGGAAGTTACTGAGAATTCTTCTGTCTAGCAGAATGTGAAGAAATCCCGTTTCCAACGAAGGCCACAAGATGTCAGAATATCCACTTACAGAGTTTACAAACAGAGTGTTTCCTAACTGCTCTATGAACAGAAAGGTTAAACTCTGTGAGTTGAACGAACACATCACAACGCAGTTTGTGGGAATGATTCTGTCTACTTTTGAAACGAAGATATTTCCTTTTCTGCCATTGACCTCAAAGCGCTTGAAATCTCCACTTGCCAATTGCACAAAAAGAGTGTTTCAAATCTGCTCTGTCTAAGGGAACGTTCAACTCTGTGAGTTGAATGTACACAACACAAGGAAGTTACTGGGAATTCTTCTGTCTAGCCTTACAGGAAAAAAACCCGTTTCCAACGAAGGCCTCTAAGTGGTCAAATTATCCACGTGCAGACTTTACAAACAGAGTGCTTCCAAACTGCTGAATGAAAAGAAAAGTTAAACTCTGAGAGTTGAACACACACATCGCAGAGCACTTTCTGAGAATGATTCTGTCTAGTTTTTATACGAAGATATTTCGTTTTCTGCCTTTGGCCTCAAAGCGCTTGAAATCTCCACCTGCAAATTCCACAAAAAGAGTGTTTCAAATCTGCTCTGTGTAAATGAAAGTTCAACTCTGTGAGTTGAACACACACAACACAAGGAAGTTACTGGGAATTCTTCTGTCTAGGCTTATATGAAAAAAACCCGTTTCCAACGAAGGCCTCAAAGAGGTCTGAATATCCACTTGCAGACTTTACAAACAGAGTGTTTCCTAACTGCTCTATGAAAAGAAAGGTTAAACTCTGTGAGTTGAACGCACACATCACAAAGGAGTTTCTGAGAATCATTCTGTCTAGTTTTTATACAAAGATATTTCCTTTTCTACCATTGACCTCAAAGCGGCTGAAATCTCCAATTGCAAGTTCCACAAAAAGAGTGTTTCTAATCTGCTCTGCGTAAAGGATCGTTCAACTCTGTGATATGAATGCACACAACACAAGGAAGTTACTGAGAATTCTTCTGTCTAGCATAATATGAAGAAATCCCGTTTCCAATGAAGGCCACAAAGAGGTCTGAATATCCACTTGCAGACTTTACAAACAGAGTGTTTCCTAACTACTCTAGGAAAAGAAAGGTTAAACTCTGTGAGTTGAACGCACACATCACAAAGTAGTTTCTGAGAATCATTCTGTCTAGTTTTGAAACGAAGATATTTCCTTTTCTGCCATTGACCTTAAAGCGCTTGAAATCTCCACTTGCCAATTGCACAAAAAGAGTGTTTCAAATCTCCTCTGTCTAAGGGAACGTTCAACTCTGTGAGTTGAATGTACACAACACAAGGAAGTTACTGGGAATTCTTCTGTCTAGCCTTACATGAGAAAAACCCGTTTCCAACGAAGGCCTCTAAGTGGTCAAAATATCCACGTGCAGACTTTACAAACAGAGTGTTTCCAAACCGCTGAATGAAAAGAAAAGTTAAACTCTGAGAGTTGAACGCACACATCACGCAGCAGTTTCTGAGAATGATTCTGTCTAATTTTTACACGAAGATATTTCCTTTTCTGCCTTTGGCCCCAAAGGGCTTGAAATCTCCACTTGCAAATTCCACAAAAACAGTGTTTCAAATCTGCTCTCTCTAAATGAAAGTTCAACTCTGTCAGTTGAATACACACAACACAAGGAAGTTACTGAGAATTCTTCTGTCTAGCCTTATATGAAAAAAACCCGTTTCCAACGAAGGCCTCAAAGAGGTCTGAATATCCACTTGCAGACTTTACAAACAGAGTGTTTCCTAACTGCTCTATGAAAAGAAAGGTTAAACTCTGTGACTTGAACGCACACATCACAAAGGAGTTTCTGAGAATCATTCTGTCTAGTTTCTATAGGAAGATATTTCCTATTCTACCATTGATCTCAAAGAGGCTGAAATCTCCACTTGCAAAATCCACAAAAAGTGTGTTTCAAGTCTGCTCTGTGTAAAGGATCGTTCAACTCTGTCAGTTGAATACACACAACACAAGGAAGTTACTGAGAATTCTTCTGTCTAGCAGAATATGAAGAAATCCCATTTCCAACGATGGCCCCAAAGAGGTCTGAATATCCACTTGCCGACTTTACAAACAGAGTGTTTCCTAACTGCTCTACGAAAAGAAAGGTTAAACTCTGTGAGTTGAACGCACACATCACAAAGGAGTTTCTGAGAATAATTCTGTCTAGTTTTTATACGAAGATATATCCTTTTCTACCATTGACCTCAAAGCGGCTGAAATGTCCACTTGCAAATTCCACAAAAAGAGTGTTTCAAGTCTGCTCTGTGTAAAGGATCGTTGAACTCTGTGAGTTGAATACACACAACAGAAGGAAGTTACTGAGAATTCTTCTGTCTAGCCTTACAGGAAAAAAACCCGTTTCCAACGAAGGCCTCTAAGTGGTCAAAATATCCACGTGCAGACTTTACAAACAGAGTGTTTTCAAACTGTTGAATGAAAAGAAAAGTTAAACTCTGAGAGTTGAACGCACACATCGCAGAGCAGTTTCTGAGAATGATTCTGTCTAGTTTTTATACGAAGATATTTCCTTTTCTGCCATTGGCCTCAAAGCACTTGAAATCTCCACTTGCAAATTCCACAAAAAGAGTGTTTCAAATCTGCTCTGTGTAAATGAAAGTTCAACTCTGTGACTTAAAAAACACACAACACAAGGAAGTTACTGGGAATTCTTCTGTCTAGCATAATATGAAGAAATCCCGTTTCCAATGAAGGCCTCAAAGAGGTCTGAATATCCACTTGCAGACTTTACAAACAGAGTGTTTCCTAACTGCTCTATGAAAACAAAAGTTAAACTCTGTGAGTTGAACGCACACATCACAAAGGATTTTCTGAGAATCATTCTGTCTAGTTTTTATAGGAACTTATTTCCTTTTCTACCTTTGACTTCAAAGTGGCTGAAATCTCCACTTGCAAATTCCACAAAAAGAGTGTTACAAGTCTGCTCTGTGTAAAGGATCGTTCAACTCTGTGAGTTGAATACACACAACACAAGGAAGTTACTCAGAATTCTTCTTTCTAGCAGAATATGAAGAAATCCCGTTTCCAACGAAAGCCTCAAGGATGTCTGAATATCCACTTGCAGGCTTTACAAACAGAGTGTTTCCTAACTGCTCTATGAAAAGAAAGGTTAAACTCTGTGAGTTGAACGCACACATCACAAAGGAGTTTCTGAGAATCATTCTGTCTAGTTTTGAAACGAAGATATTTCCTTTTCTGCCGTTGACCTTAAAGAGCTTGAAAACTACACTTGCAAATTGCAGAAATAGAGTGTTTCAAATCTGCTCTGTCTAAGGGAACGTTCAACTCTGTGAGTTGAATGCACACAACACAAGGAAGTTACTGGGAATTCTTCTGTCTAGCCTTACATGAAAAAATCCCGTTTCCAACGAAGGCCTCTAAGTGGTCAAAATTTCCACGTGCAGACTTTACAAACAGAGTGTTTCCAAACCGCTGAATGAAAAGAAAAGTTAAACTCTGAGAGTTGAACGCACACATCACGCAGCAGTTTCTGAGAATGATTCTGTCTAGTTTTTATACGAAGATATTTCCTTTTCTGCCTTTGGCCCCAAAGCGCTTGAAATCTCCACTTGCAAATTCCACAAAAACAGTGTTTCAAATCTGCTCTACCTAAATGAAAGTTCAACTCTGTCAGTTGAATACACACAACACAAGGAAGTTACTGAGAATTCTTCTGTATAGCAGAATACGAAGAAATCCCGTTTCCAACGAAAGCCTCAAAGATGTCTGAATATCCACTTGCAGACTTTACAAACAGAGTGTTTCCTAACTGCTCTATGAAAAGAAAGGTTAAACTCTGTGAGTTGAACGCACACATCACAAAGGAGTTTCTGAGAATCATTCTGTCTAGTTTTTATACGAAGATATTTACTTTTCTACCATTGACTTCAAAGCGGCTGAAATCTCCACTTGCAAATTCCACAAAAACAGTGTTTCAAGTCTGCTCTGTGTAAAGGATCATTCAACTCTGTGAGTTGAATAAACACAACACAAGGAAGTTACTGAGAATTCTTCTGTCTAGCAGAATATGAATAAATCCCTTTTCCAACGAAGGCCACAAGATGTCAGAATATCCACTTACAGACTTTACAAACAGAGTGTTTCCTAACTGCTCTATGAACAGAATGGTTAAACTCTGTGAGTTGAACGAACACATCACAACGCAGTTTGTGGGAATGATTCTGTCTAGTTTTGAAACGAAGATATTTCCTTTTCTGCCATTGACCTTAAAGCGCTTGAAATCTCCACTTGCCAATTGCACAAAAAGAGTGTTTCAAATCTGCTCTGTCTAAGGGAACGTTCAACTCTGTGAGTTGAATGTACACAACACAAGGAAGTTACTGGGAATTCTTCTATCTAGCCTTACAGGAAAGAAACCCGTTTCCAACGAAGGCCTCTAAGTGGTCAACATATCCACGTGCAGACTTTACAAACAGAGTGTTTCCAAACTGCTGAATGAAAAGAAAAGTTAAACTCTGAGAGTTGAACGCACACATCGCAGAGCAGTTTCTGAGAATGATTCTGTCTAGTTTTCATACGAAGATATTTCCTTTTCTGCCTTTGGCCTCAAAGCGCTTGAAATCTCCATTTGCAAATTCCACAAAAAGAGTGTTTCAAATCTGCTCTGTGTAAATGAAAGTTCAACTCTGTGAGTTGAACACACACAACACAAGGAAGTTACTGGGAAATCTTCTGTCTAGCCTTACATGAAAAAAACCAGTTTCCAACGAAGGCCTCAAAGAGGTCTGAATATCCACTTGCAGACTTTACAAACAGAGTGTTTCCTAACTGCTCTATGAAAAGAAAGGTTAAACTCTGTGAGTTGAACACACACATCACAAAGGAGTTTCTGAGAATCATTCTGTCTAGTCTTTATACGAAGATATTTCCTTTTCTACCATTGACCACAAAGCGGCTGAAATCTCCACTTGCAAATTCCACAAAAAGAGTGTTTCAAGTCTGCTCTGTGTAAAGGATCATTCAACTCTGTGAGTTGAATAAACACAACACAAGGAAGTTACTGAGAATTCTTCTGTCTAGCAGAATATGAAGAAATCCTGTTTCCAACGAAGGCCTCTAGGAGGTCTGAATATCCACTTGCAGACTTTACAAACAGAGTGTTTCCTAACTGCTCTATGAACAGAAAGGTTAAACTCTGTGAGTTGAACGAACACATCACAACGCAGTTTGTGGGAATGATTCTGTCTAGTTTTGAAACGAAGATATTTCCTTTTCTGCCGTTGACCTTAAAGAGCTTGAAAACTACACTTGCAAATTGCACAAATAGAGTGTTTCAAATCTGCTCGGTCTAAGGGAACGTTCAACTCTGTGAGTTGAATGCACACAACACAAGGAAAGTTACTGGGAATTCTTCTGTCTAGCCTTACATGAAAAAAACCCGTTTCCAACGAAGGCCTCTAAGTGGTCAAAATTTCCACGTGCAGACTTTAGAAACAGAGTGTTTCCAAACCGCTGAATGAAAAGAAAAGTTAAACTCTGAGAGTTGAACGCACACATCACGCAGCAGTTTCTGAGAATGATTCTGTCTAGTAGAATATGAAGAAATCCCGTTTCCAACGAAGGCCTCAAGGAGGTCTGAATATCCACTTGCAGACTTTACAAACAGAGTGTTTCCTAACTGCTCTATGAAAAGAAAGGTGAAACTCTGTGAGTTGAATGCACACATCAGAAAGGAGTTTCTGAGAATCATTCTGTCTAGTTTTTCTACGAAGATATTTCCTTTTCTACTATTGACCTCAAAGCGGCTGAAATCTCCACTTGCAAATTTCACAAAAAGAGTGTTTCAAGTCTGCTCTGTGTAAAGGATCGTTCAACTCTGTGAGTTGAATACACACAACACAAGGAAGTTACTGAGAATCCTTCTGTCTAGCAGAATATGAAGAAATCCCGTTTCCAACGAAGGCCACAAGATGTCAGAATATCCACTTAAAGAATTTACAAACAGACTGTTTCCTAACTGCTCTATGAAAAGAAAGGTTAAACTCTGTGAGATGAACGAACACATCACAACGCAGTTTGTGGGAATGATTCTGTCTAGTTTTGAAACGAAGATATTTCCTTTTCTGCCATTGACCTTAAAGCGCTTGAAATCTCCACTTGCCAATTGCACAAAAAGAGTGTTTCAAATCTGCTCTGTCTAAGGGAACGTTCAACTCTGTGAGTTGAATGTACACAACACAAGGAAGTTACTGGGAATTCTTCTGTCTAGCCTTACATGAAAAAAACCCGTTTCCAACGAAGGCCTCTAAGTGGTCAAAATATCCACGTGCAGACTTTACAAACAGAGTGTTTCCAAACCGCTGAATGAAAAGAAAAGTTAAACTCTGAGAGTTGAACGCACACATCACGCAGCAGATTGCTGAGAATGATTCTGTCTAGTTTTTATACGAAGATATTTCCTTTTCTGCCTTTGGCCTCAAAGCGCTTGAAATCTCCACTTGCAAATTCCACAAAAAGAGTGTTTCAAATCTGCTCTGTGTAAATCAAAGTTCAACTCTGTGAGTTGAACACACACAACACAAAGAAGTTACTGGGAATTCTTCTGTCTAGCATAATATGAAGAAATCCCGTTTCCAACGAAGGCCTCAAAGGGGTCTGAATATCCACTTGCAGACTTTATAAACAGAGTGTTTACTAACTGCTCTATGAAAGGAAAGGTTAAACTCTGTGAGTTGAACACACACATCACAAAGGAGTTTCTGAGAATCATTCTGTCTAGTTTTTATATGAAGATATTTCCTTTTCTACCATTGACCTCAAAGCGGCTGAAATCTCCACTTACAAATTCCACAAAAAGAGGGTCTCAAGTCTGCTCTGTGTAAACGATCGTTCAACTCTGTGAGTTGAATACACACAACACAAGGAAGTTTCTGAGAATTCTTCTGTCTAGCAGAATATGAAGAAATCCCGTTTCCAACGAAGGCCACAAGATATCAGAATATCCACTTACAGACTTTACAAACAGAGTGTTTCCTAACTGCTCTATGAACAGAAAGGTTAAACTCTGTGAGTTGAACGAACACATCACAACGCAGTTTGTGGGAATGATTCTGTCTAGTTTTGAAACGAAGATATTTCCTTTTCTGCCATTGACCTTAAGCGCTTGAAATCTCCACTTGCCAATTGCACAAAAAGAGTGTTTCAAATCTGCTCTGTCCAAGGGAACGTTCAACTCTGTAAGTTGAATGTACACAACACAAGGAAGTTACCGGGAATTATTCTGTCTAGCCTTACATGAAAAAATCCCGTTTCCAACGAAGGCCTCTAAGTGGTCAAAATTTCCACGTGCAGACTTTACAAACAGAGTGTTTCCAAACCGCTGAATGAAAAGAAAAGTTAAACTCTGAGAGTTGAACGCACACATCACGCAGCAGTTTCTGAGAATGATTCTGTCTAGTTTTTATACGAAGATATTTCCTTTTCTGCCTTTGGCCCCGAAGCGCTTGAAATCTCCACTTGCAAATTCCACAAAAAGAGTGTTTCAAGTCTGCTCTGTGTAAAGGATCGTTCAACTCTGTGAGTTGAATACACACAACACAAGGAAGTTACTGAGAATTCTTCTGTCTAGCAGAATATGAAGAAATCCCGTTTCCAACGAAGGCCACAAAGAGGTCTGAATATCCACTTTCAGACTTTACAAACAGAGTGTTTCCTAACTGCTCTATGAAAAGAAAAGTTAAACTCTGTGAATTGAACGCACACATCACAAAGGAGTTTCTGAGAATCATGCTGTCTAGTTTTTATACGAAGATATTTCCTTTTCTACCATTGACCTCAACGCGGCTGAAATCTCCACTTGCAAATTCCACAAAAAGAGTGTTTCAAATCTGCTCTGTGTAAACCATCGTTCAACTGTGTGAGTTGAATACACACAACACAAGGAAGATTCTGAGAATTCTTCGGTCTAGCAGAATATGAAGAAATCCCGTTTCCAACGAAGGCCTCAAGGAGGTCTGAATATCCACTTGTAGACTTTACAAACAGAGTGTTTCCTAACTGCTCTATGAACAGAAAAGTTAAACTCTGTGAGTTGAACGAACACATCACAACGCAGTTTGTGGGAATGATTCTGTCTAGTTTTGAAACGAAGATATTTCCTTTTCTGCCATTGACCTTAAAGCGCTTGAAATCTACACTTGCAAATTGCACAAATAGAGTGTTTCAAATCTGCTCTGTCTAAAGGAAAGTTCAACTCTCTGAGTTGAATGCACACAACACAAGGAAGTTACTGGGAATTCTTCTGTCTAGCCTTACATGAAAAAAACCCGTTTCCAACGAAGGCCTCTAAGTGGTCAAATTATCCACGTGCAGACTTTACAAACAGAGTGTTTCCAAACTGCTGAATGAAAAGAAAAGTTAAACTCTGAGAGTTGAACGCACACATCACAGAGCAGTTTCTGAGAATGATTCTGTCTAGTTTTCATACGAAGATATTTCCTTTTCTGCCTTTGGCCACAAAGCGCTTGAAATCTGCACTTGCAAATTCCACAAAAACAGTGTTTCTAATCTGCTCCCTCTAAATGAAAGTTCAACTCTGTCAGTTGAATACACACAACACAAGGAAGTTACTGAGAATTCTTCTGTCTAGCATAATATGAAGAAATCCGTTTCCAAAGAAGACCACAAAGGGGTCTGAATATCCACTTGCAGACTCTATAAACAGAGTGTTTCCTAACTGCTCTATGAAAAGAAAGGTTAAACTCTCAGAGTTGAACACACACATCACAAAGGAGTTTCTGAGAATCATTCTGTCTAGTTTTTATACGAAGATATTTCCTTTTCTACCATTGACCTCAAAGCGGCTGAAATCTCCACTTGCAAATTCCACAAAAAGAGTGTTTCAAGTCTGCTCTGTGTAAAGGGTCGTTCAACTCTGAGAGTTGAATACACACAACACAAGGAAGTTTCTGAGAATTCTTCTGTGTAGCAGAATATGAAGAAATCCTGTTTCCAACGAAGGCCACAAGATGTCAGAATATCCACTTACAGAATTTACCAACAGAGTGTTTCCTAACTGCTCTATGAAAAGAAAGGTTAAACTCTGTGAGTTGAACGAACACATCACAACGCAGTTTGTGGGAATGATTCTGTCTAGTTTTGAAACGAAGATATTTCCTTTTCTGCCATTGACCTTAAAGCGCTTGAAATCTCCACTTGCCAATTGCACAAAAAGAGTGTTTCAAATCTGCTCTGTCTAAGGGAACGTTGAACTCTGTGAGTTGAATGTACACAACACAAGGAAGTTACTGGGAATTCTTCTGTCTAGCCTTACATGAAAAAAACCCGTTTCCAACGAAGGCCTCTAGGTGGTCAAAATATCCACGTGCAGACTTTACAAACAAAGTGTTTCCAAACCGCTGAATGAAAAGAAAAGTTAAACTCTGAGAGTTGAACGCACACATCACGCAGTAGTTTCTGAGAATGATTCTGTCTGGTTTTTATACGAAGATATTTCCTTTTCTGCCTTTGGCCTCAAAGCGCTTGAAATCTCCATTTGCAAATTCCACAAAAAGAGTGTTTCAAATCTGCTCTGTGTAAATGAAAGTTCAACTCTGCGAGTTGAACACACACAACACAAGGAAGTTACTGGGAATTCTTCTGTGTAGCATAGTATGAAGAAATCCCGTTTCCAACGAAGGCCTCAAAGAGGTCTGAATATCCACTTGCAGAGTTTACAAACAGAGTGTTTCCTAACTGCTCTATGAAAAGAAAGGTTAAACTCTGTGAGTTGAACGCACACATCACAAAGAAGTTTCTGAGAATCATTCTGTCTAGTTTCTATAGGAAGATATTTCCTATTCTACCATTGACCTCAAAGCGGCTGAAATCTCCACTTGCAAATTCCACAAGAAGAGTGTTTCAAGTATGCTCTGTGTAAAGCATCGTTCAACTCTGTGAGTTGAATACACACAACACAAGGAAGTTACTGAGAATTCTTCTGTCTAGCAGAATATGAAGAAATCCCGTTTCCAACGAAGGCCACAAGATGTCAGAATATCCACTTACAGACTTTACAAACAGAGCGTTTCCTAACTGCTCTATGAACAGAAAGGTTAAACTCTGTGAGTTGAACGAACACATCACAACGCAGTTTGTGGGAATGATTCTGTCTAGTTTTGAAACGAAGATATTTCCTTTTCTGCCATTGACCATAAAGCGCTTGAAATCTACACTTGCAAATTGCACAAATAGAGTGTTTCAAATCTGCTCTGTCCAAGGGAACGTTCAACTCTGTGAGTTGAATGCACACAACACAAGGAAGTTACTGGGAATTCTTCTGTCTAGCCTTACATGAAAAAAACCCGTTTCCAACGAAGGCCTCTAAATGGTCAAGTTATCCACGCGCAGACTTTACAAACAGAGTGTTTCCAAACTGCTGAATGAAAAGTTAAACTCTGAGAGTTGAACGCACACATCGCAGAGCAGTTTCTGAGAATGATTCTGTCTAGTTTTTATACGAAGATATTTCCTTTTCTGCCTTTGGCCCCAAAGCGCTTGAAATCTCCACTTGCAAATTCCACAAAAACAGTGTTTCAAATCTGCTCTCTCTAAATGAAAGTTCAACTCTGTCACTTGAATACACACAACACAAGGAAGTTACTGAGAATTCTTCTGTCTAGCCTTATATGAAAAAAACCCGTTTCCAACGATGGCCTCAAAGAGGGCTGAATATCCACTTGCAGACTTTACAAGCAGAGTGTTTCCTAACTGCTCTATGAAAAGAAAGGTTAAACTCTGTGAGTTGAACGCACACATCACAAAGGAGTTTCTGAGAATCATTCTGTCTAGTTTTTATACGAAGATATTTCCTTTTCTACCATTGACCTCAACGCGGCTGAAATCTCCACTTGCAAATTCCACAAAAAGTTTGTTTCAAGTCCGCTCTGTGTAAAGGATCGTTCAACTCTGTGAGTTGAATACACACAACACAAGGAAGTTACTGAGAATCTTCTGTCTAGCAGAATATGATAAAATCCCGTTTCCAACGAAGGCCACAAGATGTCAGAATATCCACTTACAGAATTTACAAACAGACTGTTTCCTAACTGCTCTATGAAAAGAAAGGTTAAACTCTGTGAGTTGAACGAACACATCACAACGCAGTTTGTGGGAATGATTCTGTCTACTTTTGAAACGAAGGTATTTCCTTTTCTGCCGTTGACCTTAAAGCGCTTGAAATCTACACTTGCAAATTGCACAAATAGAGTGTTTCAAATCTGCTCTGTCTAAGGGAACGTTCAACTCTGTGAGTTGAATGCACACAACACAAGGAAGTTACTGGGAATTCTTCTGTCTAGCCTTACATGAAAAAAACCGTTTCCAACGAAGGCCTCTAAGTGGTCAAAATATCCACGTGCAGACTTTACAAACAGAGTGTTTCCAAACTGCTGAATGAAAAGAAAAGTTAAACTCTGAGAGTTGAACGCACACATCGCAGAGCAGTTTCTGAGAATGATTCTGTCTAGTTTTTATACGAAGATATTTCCTTTTCTGCCTTTGGCCCGAAAGCGCATGAAATCTCCACTTGCAAATTCCACAAAAACAGTGTTTCAAATCTGCTCTCTCTAAATGAAAGTTCAACTCTGTCAGTTGAATACACACAACACAAGGAAGTTACTGAGAATTCTTCTGTCTAGCAGAATATGAAGAAATCCCGTTTCCAACGAAGGCCTCAAAGAGGTCTGAATATCGACTTGCAGACTTTACAAACAGAGTGTTTCCTAACTGCTCTATGAAAAGAAAGGTTAAACTCTGTGAGTTGAACGCACACATCACAAAGGAGTTTATGAGAATCATTCTGTCTAGTTTTTATACGAAAATATTTCCTTTTCTACCATTGACCTCAAAGCGGCTGAAATCTCCACTTGCAAATTCCACAAAAAGAGTGTTTCAAGTCTGCTCTGTGTAAAGGATCGTTCAACTCTGTGAGTTGAATACACACAACACAAGGAAGATTCTGAGAATTCTTCTGTCTAGCAGAATATGAAGAAATCCCGTTTCCAACGAAGGCCACTAGAGGTCAGAATATCCACTTACAGAATTGACAGACTGTTTCCTAACTGCTCTATGAAAAGAAAGGTTAAACTCTGTGAGTTGAACGAACACATCACAACGCAGTTTGTGGGAATGATTCTGTCTAGTTTTGAAACGAAGATATTTCCTTTTCTGCCATTGAACTTAAAGCGCTTGAAATCTCCATTTGCCAATTGCACAAAAAGAGTGTTTCAAATCTGCTCTGTCTAAGGGAACGTTCAACTCTGTGAGTTGAATGTACACAACACAAGGAAGTTACTGGGAATTCTTCTGTGTAGCCTTACATGAAAAAAACCCGTTTCCAACGAAGGCCTCTAAGTAGTCAAATTATCCACGTGCAGACTTTACAAACAGAGTGTTTCCAAACTGCTGAATGAAAAGAAAAGTTGAACTCTGAGAGTTGAACGCACACATCGCAGAGCAGTTTCTGAGAATGATTCTGTCTAGTTTTTATACGAAGATATTTCCTTTTCTGCCTTTGGCCTCAAAGCGCTTGAAATCTAAACTTGCAAATTCCACAAAAAGAGTGTTTCAAATCTGCTCTGTGTAAATGAAAGTTCAACTCTGTGAGTTGAACACACACAACACAAGGAAGTTACTGGGAATTCTTCTGTTTAGCGTTATATGTAAAAAACCCGTTTCCAACGAAGGCCTCAAAGAGGTCTGAATATCCACTTGCAGACTTTACAAACAGAGTGTTTCCTAACTGCTCTATGAAAAGAAAGGTTAAACTCTGTGAGTTGAACGCACACATCACAAAGGAGTTTCTGAGAATCATTCTGTCTAGTTTTTATAGGAAGATATTTCCTTTTGTACCTTTGACTTCAAAGCCCCTGAAATCTCCACTTGCAAATTCCACAAAAAGAGTGTTACAAGTCTGCTCTGTGTAAAGGATCGTTCAACTCTGTGAGTTGAATACACACAACACAAGGAAGTTACTGAGAATTCTTCTGTCTAGCATAATATGAAGAAATCCCGTTTCCAACGAAGGCCACAAGATGTCAGAATATCCACTTACAGACTTTACAAACAGAGTGTTTCCTAACTGCTCTATGAACAGAAAGCTTAAACTCTGTGAGTTGAAGGAACACATCACAACGCAGTTTGTGGGAATGATTCTGTCTAGTTTTGAAACGAAGATATTTCCTTTTCTGCCATTGACCTTAAAGCGCTTGAAATCTCCACTTGCAAATTCCACAAAAACAGTGTTTCAAATCTCCTCTCTCTAAATGAAAGTTCAACTCTGTCAGTTGAATACACACAACACAAGGAAGTTACTGAGAATTCTTCTGTCTAGCCTTACAGGAAAAAAACCCGTTTCCAACGAAGGCCTCTGATTGGTCAAAATATCCACGTGCAGACTTTACAAACAGAGTGTTTCCAAACTGCTGAATGAAAAGAAAAGTTAAACTCTGAGAGTTGAACGCACACATCGCAGAGCAGTTTCTGAGAGTGATTCTGTCTAGTTTTTATACGAAGATATTTCCTTTTCTGCCTTTGGCCTCAAAGCGCTTGAAATCTCCACTTGCAAATTCCACAAAAAGTGTGTTTCAAATCTGCTCTGTGTAAACCATCGTTCAACTCTGTGAGTTGAATACACACAACACAAGGAAGATTCTGAGAATTCTTCTGTCTAGCATAATATGAAGAAATCCCGTTTCCAACGAAGGCCTCAAAGGGGTCTGAATATCCACTTGCAGACTTTATAAACAGAGTGTTTACTAACTGCTCTATGAAAAGAAAGGTTAAACTCTGCGAGTTGAACACACACATCACAAAGGAGTTTCTGAGAATCATTCTGTCTAGTTTTTATAGGAAGATATTTCCTTTTCTACCATTGACCTCAAAGCGGCTGAAATCTCCACTTGCAAATTCCACAAAAAGAGTGTTTCAAGTCTGCTCTGTGTAAAGGATCGTTCAACTCTGTGAGATGCATACACACAACACAAGGAAGTTACTGAGAATTCTTCTGTCTAGCAGAATATGAAGAAATCCCGTTTCCAACGAAGGCCACAAGATGTCAGAATATCCACTTACAGAATTTACAAACAGACTGTTTCCTAAGTGCTCTATGAAAAGAAAGGTTAAACTCTGTGAGTTGAACGAACACATCGCAACGCAGTTTCTGGGAATGATTCTGTCTAGTTTTTATAGGAAGATATTCCCTTTTCTACCTTTGACTTCAAAGCGGCTGAAATCTCCACTTGCAAATTCCACAAAAAGAGTGTTACAAGTCCGCTCTCTGTAAAGGATCGTTCAACTGTGTGAGTTGAATACACACAACACAAGGAAGTTACTGAGAACTCTTCTGTCTAGCCTTACATGAAAAAAACCCGTTTCCAACGAAGGCCTCTAAGTGGTCAAAATATCCACTTGCAGACTTTACAAACAGAGTGTCTCCAAACCGCTGAATGAAAAGAAAAGTTAAACTCTGAGAGTTGAACGCACACATCACGCAGCAGTTTCTGAGAATGATTCTGTCTAGTTTTTATACGAAGATATTTCCTTTTCTGCCTTTGGCCCCAAAGCGCTTGAAATCTCCAATTGCAAATTCCACAAAAACAGTGTTTCAAATCTGCTCTCTCTAAATGAAAGTTCAACTCTGTCAGCTGAATACACACAACACAAGGAAGTTACTGAGAATTCTTCTGTCTAGCATAATATGAAGAAATCCCGTTTCCAACGAAGGCCTCAAACAGGTCTGAATATCCACTTGCAGACTTTACAAACAGAGTGTTTCCTAACTGCTCTATGAGAAGAAAAGTTAAACTCTGTGAGTTGAAAGCACACATCACAAAAGATTTTCTGAGAATCATTCTGTCTAGTTTCTATAGGAAGATATTTCCTATTCTACCATTGACCTCAAAGCGGCTGAAATCTCCACTTGAAATTCCACAAAAAGAGTGTTTCAAGTCTGCTCTGTGTAAAGGATCGTTCAACTCTGTGAGTTGAATACACACAACACAAAGAAGTTACTGAGAATTCTTCTGTCTAGCAGAAAATGAAGAAATCCCGTTTCCAAAGAAGGCCTCAAAGAGGTCTGAATATCCACTTGCAGACTTTACAAACAGAGTGTTTCCTAACTGCTCTATGAATTGGAAGGTTAAACTCTGTGAGTTGAACGCACACATCACAAAGGAGTTTCTGAGAATCATTCTGTCTAGTTTCTATAGGAAGATATTTCCTATTCTACCATTGACCTCAAAGCGGCTGAAATCTCCACCTGCAAATTCCACAAAAAGAGTGTTTCAAGTCTGCTCTGTGTAAAGGATCGTTCAACTCTGTGAGTTGAATACACACAACACAAGGAAGTTACTGAGAATTCTTCTGTCTAGCCTTACATGAAAAAAACCCGTTTCCAACGAAGGCCTCTAAGTGGTCAAATTATGCACGTGCAGACTTTACAAACAGAGTGTTTCCAAACTGCTGAATGAAAAGAAAAGTTAAACTCTGAGAGTTGAACGCACACATCGCAGAGCAGTTTCTGAGAATGATTCTGTCTAGTTTTTATACGAAGATATTTCCTTTTCTGCCTTTGGCCCCAAAGCGCTTGAAATCTCCACTTGCAAATACCACAAAAACAGTGTTTCAAATCTGCTCTCTCTAAATGAAAGTTCAACTCTGTCAGTTGAATACACACAACACAAGGAAATTACTGAGAATTCTTCTGTCTAGACTTATATGAAAAAAACCCGTTTCCAACGAAGGCCTCAAGGAGGACTGAATATCCACTTGCAGACTTTACAAACAGAGTGTTTCCTAACTGCTCTATGAAAAGAAAGGTTAAACTCTGTGAGTTGAACGCACACATCACAAAGGAGTTTCTGAGAATCATTCTGTCTAGTTTTTCTACGAAGATATTTCCTTTTCTACTATTGACCTCAAAGTGGCTGAAATCTCCACTTGCAAATTCCACAAAAAGAGTGTTTCAAGTCTGCTCTGTGTAAAGAATCGTTCAACTCTGTGAGTTGAATACACACAACACAAGGAAGTTACTGAGAATTCTTCTGTCTAGCATAATATGAAGAAATCCCGTTTCCAACGAAGGCCACAAGATGTCAGAATATCCACTTACAGACTTTACAAACAGAGTGTTTCCTAACTGCTCTATGAACGGAAAGGTTAAACTCTGTGAGTTGAACGAACACATCACAACGCAGTTTGTGGGAATGATTCTGTCTAGTTTTTATACGAAGATATTTCCTTTTCTGCCTTTGGCCTCAAAGCGCTTGAAATCTCCACTTGCCAATTGCACAAAAAGAGTGTTTCAAATCTGCTCTGTCTAAGGGAACGTTCAACTCTGTGAGTTGAATGTACACAACACAAGGAAGTTACTGGGAATTCTTCTGTCTAGCCTTACAGGAAAGAAACCCGTTTCCAACGAAGGCCTCTAAGTGGTCAAAATATCCACGTGCAGACTTTACAAACAGAGTGTTTCCAAACTGCTGAATGAAAAGAAAAGTTAAACTCTGAGAGTTGAACGCACACATCGCAGAGCAGTTTCTGAGAATGATTCTGTCTAGTTTTTATACGAAGATATTTCCTTTTCTGCCTTTGGCCCCAAAGCGCTTGAAATCTCCACTTGCAAATTCCACAAAAACAGTGTTTCAAATCTGCTCTCTCCAAATGAAAGCTCAACTCTGTCAGTTGAATACACACAACACAAGGAAGTTACTGAGAATTCTTCTTTCTAGCAGAATATGAAGAAATCCCGTTTCCAACGAAAGCCTCAAGGATGTCTGAATATCCACTTGCAGACTTTACAAACAGAGTGTTTCCTAACTGCTCTATGAAAAGAAAGGTTAAACTCTGTGAGTTGAACGCTCACATCACAAAGGAGTTTCTGAGAATCATTCTGTCTAGTTTCTATAGGAAGATATTTCCTAATCTACCACTGACCTCAAAGCGGCTGAAATCTCCACTTGCAAATTCCACAAAAGGAGTGTTTCAAGTCTGCTCTGTGTAAAGGATCGTTCAACTCTGTGAGTTGAAAACACACAACACAAGGAAGTTTCTGAGAATTCTTCTGTCTAGCAGAATATGAAGAAATCCCTTTTCCAACGAAGGCCTCAAGGAGGTCTGAATATCCACTTGCAGACTTTACAAACAGAGTGTTTCCTAACTGCTCTATGAACAGAAAGGTTAAACTCTGTGAGTTGAACGAACACATCACAACGCAGTTTGTGGGAATGATTCTGTCTAGTTTTGAAACGAAGATATTTCCTTTTCTGTCATTGACCTTAAAGCGCTTGAAATCTACACTTGCAAATTGAACAAATAGAGTGTTTCAAATCTGCTCTGTCTAAGGGAACGTTCAACTCTGTGAGTTGAATGCACACAACACAAGGAAGTTACTGGGAATTCTTCTGTCTATCCTTACAGGAAAAAAACCCGTTTCCAACGAAGGCCTCTAAGTGGTCAAAATATCCACGTGCAGACTTTACAAACAGAGTGTTTCCAAACTGCTGAATGAAAAGAAAAGTTAAACTCTGAGAGTTGAACGCACACATCGCAGAGCAGTTTCTGAGAATGATTCTGTCTAGTTTTGAAACGAAGATATTTCCTTTTCTGCCTTTGGCCTCAAAGCGCTTGAAATCTCCACTTGCAAATTCCACAAAAAGAGTGTTTCAAATCTGCTCTGTGTAAATGAAAGTTCAACACTGTGAGTTGAACACACACAACACAAGGAAGTTACTGGGAATTCTTCTGTCTAGCAGAATATGAAGAAATCCCGTTTCCAACGAAGGCCTCAAGGAGGTCTGAATATCCACTTGCAGACTTTACAAACAGAGTGTTTCCTAACTGCTCTATGAAAAGAAAGGTTAAACTCTGTGAGTTGAACGCACACATCACAATGGAGTTTCTGAGAATCGTTCTGTCTAGTTTTTATACGAAGATATTTCCTTTTCTACCATTGACCTCAAAGCGGCTGAAATCTCCACCCTGCCAATTCCACAAAAAGAGTGTTTCAAGTCTACTCTGTGTAAAGGATCGTTGAACTCTGTGAGTTGAAAACACACAACACAACGAAGTTTCTGAGAATTCTTCTGTCTAGCAGAATATGAAGAAATCCCGTTTCCAACGAAGGCCACAAGATGTCAGAATATCCACTTACAGAATTGACAAACAGACTGTTTCCTAACTGCTCTATGAACAGAAAGGTTAAACTCTGTGAGTTGAACGAACACATCACAACGCAGTTTGTGGGAATGATTCTGTCTAGTTTTGAAACGAAGATATTTCCTTTTCTGCCATTGACCTTAAAGCGCTTGAAATCTCCATTTGCCAATTGCACAAAAAGAGTGTTTCAAATCTGCTCTGTCTGAGGGAACGTTCAACTCTGTGAGTTGAATGTACACAACACAAGGAAGTTACTGGGAATTCTTCTGTCTAGCCTTACATGAAAAAAACCCGTTTCCAACGAAGGCCTCTAAGTGGTCAAATTATCCACGTGCAGAGTTTACAAACAGAGTGTTTCCAAACTGCTGAATGAAAAGCAAAGTTAAACTCTGAGAGTTGAACGCACACATCGCAGAGCAGTTTCTGAGAATGATTCTGTCTATTTTTTATACGAAGATATTTGCTTTTCTACCATTGACCTCAACGCGGCTGAAATCTCCACTTGCAAATTCCACAAAAAGTGTGTTTCAAGTCCGCTCTGTGTAAAGGATCGTTCAACTCTGTGAGTTGAATACACACAACACAAGGAAGTTACTGAGAATTCTTCTGTCTAGCACAGTATGAAGAAATCCCGTTTCCAACGAAGGCCTCAAAGAGGTCTGAATATCCACTTGCAGACTTTACAAACAGAGTGTTTCCTAACTGCTCTATGAAAAGAAAGGTTAAACTCTGTGAGTTGAACGCACACATCCCAAAGGAGTTTCTGAGAATCATTCTGTCTAGTTTTTCTACGAAGATATTTCCTTTTCTACGATTGACCTCAAAGCGGCTGAAATCTCCACTTGCAAATTCCACAAAAAGAGTGTTTCAAGTCTGCTCTGTGTAAAGGATCGTTCAACTCTGTGAGTTGAATACACACAACAAAAGGAAGTTACTGAGAATTCTTCTGTCTAGCAGCATATGAAGAAATCCCGTTTCCAACGAAGGCCACAAGATGTCAGAATATCCACTTACAGAATTTACAAACAGACTGTTTCCTAACTGCTCTATGAAAAGAAAGGTTAAACTCTGTGAGTTGAACGAACACATCACAGCGCAGTTTGTGGGAATGATTCTGTCTAGTTTTTATACGAAGATATTTCCTTTTCTACCATTGACCTCAAACCGGCTGAAATCACCACTTGCCAATTGCACAAAAAGAGTGTTTCAAATCTGCTCTGTCTAAGGGAACGTTCAACTCTCTGAGTTGAATGTACACAACATAAGGAAGTTCCTGGGAATTCTTCTGTCTAGCCTTACAGGAAAAAAAACCCGTTTCCAACGAAGGCCTCTAAGTGGTCAAGTTATCCACGTGCAGACTTTACAAACAGAGTGTTTCCAAACTGCTGAATGAAAAGAAAAGTTAAACTCTGAGAGTTGAACGCACACATCGCAGAGCAGTTTCTGAGAATGATTCTGTCTAGTTTTTATACGAAGATATTTCCTTTTCTGCCTTTGGCCCCAAAGCGCATGAAATCTCCACTTGCAAATTCCACAAAAACAGTGTTTCAAATCTGCTCTCTCTAAATGAAAGTTCAACTCTGTCAGTTGAATACACACAACACAAGGGAAGTTACTGAGAATTCTTCTGTCTAGCAGAATATGAAGAAATCCCGTTTCCAACGAAGGCCTCAAAGAGGTCTGAATATCCACTTGCAGACTTTACAAACAGAGTGTTTCCTAACTGCTCTAAGAAAAGAAAGGTTAAACTCTGTGAGTTGAACGCTCACATCACAAAGGAGTTTCTGAGAATCGTTCTGTCTAGTTTCTATAGGAAGATATTTCCTATTCTACGATTGACCTCAAAGCGGCTGAAATCTCCACTTGCAAATTCCACAAAAAGAATGTTTCTAGTCTGCTCTGTGTAAAGGATCGTTCAACTCTGTGAGTTGAATACACAAAACACAAGGAAGTTACTGAGAATTCTTCTGTCTAGCATAATATGAAGAAATCCCGTTTCCAACGAAGGCCACAAGATATCAGAATATCCACTTACAGACTTTACAAAGAGAGTGTTTCCTAACTGCTCTATGAACAGAAAGGTTAAACTCTGTGAGTTGAACGAACACATCACAACGCAGTTTGTGGGAATGATTCTGTCTAGTTTTGAAACGAAGATATTTCCTTTCCTGCCATTGACCTTAAAGCGCTTGAAATCTCCATTTGCCAATTGCACAAAAAGAGTGTTTCAAATCTGCTCTGTCTAAGGGAACGTTCAACTCTGTGAGTTGAATGTACACAACACAAGGGAAGTTACTGGGAATTCTTCTGTCTAGCCTTACATGAAAAAAACCCGTTTCCAACGAAGGCCTCTAAGTGGTCAAAATTTCCACGTGCAGACTTTACAAACAGAGTGTTTCCAAACCGCTGAATGAAATGAAAAGTTAAACTCTGAGAGTTGAACGCACACATCACGCAGCAGTTTCTGAGAATGATTCTGTCTAGTTTTGAAACGAAGATATTTACTTTTCTGCCTTTGGCCTCAAAGCGCTTGAAATCTCCACTTGCAAATTCCACAAAAAGAGTGTTTCAAATCTGCTCTGTGTAAATGAAAGTTCAACTCTGTGAGTTGAACACACACAACACAAGGAAGTTACTGGGAATTCTTCTTTCTAGCAGAATATGAAGAAATCCCGTTTCCAACGAAAGCCTCAAGGATGTCTGAATATCCACTTGCAGACTTTACAAACAGAGAGTTTCCTAACTGCTCTATGAAAAGAAAGGTTAAACTCTGTGAGTTGAACGCACACATCACAAAGGAGTTTCTGAGAATCATTCTGTCTAGTTTCTATAGGAAGATATTTCCTATTCTACCATTGACCACAAAGCGGCTGAAATCTCCACTTGCAAATTCCACAAAAAGAGTGTGTCAAGTCTGCTCTCTGTAAAGGATCGTTCAACTCTGTGAGTTGAATACACACAACACAAGGAAGTTACTGAGAATTCTTCTTTCTAGCAGAATATGAAGAAATCCCGTTTCCAACGAAAGCCTCAAGGATGTCTGAATATCCACATGCAGACTTTACAAACAGAGTGTTTCCCAACTGCTCTAGGAAAAGAAAGGTTGAACTCTGTGAGTTGAACGCACACATCACAAAGGAGTTTCTGAGAATCATTCTGTCTAGTTTTGAAACGAAGATATTTCCTTTTCTGCCATTGACCTTAAAGCGCTTGAAATCTACACTTGCAAATTGCACAAATAGAGTGTTTCAAATCTGCTCTGTCTAAGGGAACGTTCAACTCTGTGAGTTGAATGCACACAACACAAGGAAGTTACTGGGAATTCTTCTGTCTAGCCTTACATGAAAAAAACCCGTTTCCAACGAAGGCCTCTATGTGGTCAAATTATCCACGTGCAGGCTTTACAAACAGAGTGTTTCCAAACTGCTGAATGAAAAGAAAAGTTAAACTCTGATAGTTGAACGCACACATCGCAGAGCAGTTTCTGAGAATGATTCTGTCTAGTTTTGAAACGAAGATATTTCCTTTTCTGCCTTTGGCCTCAAAGCGCTTGAAATCTCCACTTGCAAATTCCATAAAAAGCGTGTTTCAAATCTGCTCTGTGTGAATGAAAGTTCAACTCTGTGAGTTGAATACACACAACACAAGGAAGTTACTGAGAATTCTTCTGTCAGGCATAATATGAACAAATCCCGTTTGCAACGAAGGCCTCAAAGAGGTCTGAATATCCACTTGCAGAGTTTACAAACAGAGTGTTTCCTAACTGCTCTATGAAAAGAAAAGTTAAACTCTGTGAGTTGAACGCACACATCATAAAAGAGTTTCTGAGAATCATTCTGTCTATTTTCTATAGGAAGATATTTCCTATTCTACCATTGACCTCAAAGCGGCTGAAATCTCCACTTGCAAATTCCACAAAAAGAGTGTTTCAAGTCTGCTCTGTGTAAAGGATCGTTCAACTCTGTGAGTTGAATACACACAACACAAGGAAGTTACTGAGAATTCTTCTGTCTAGCAGAATATGAAGAAATCCCGTTTCCAACGAAGGCCACAAGATGTCAGAATATCCACTTACAGACTTTACAAACAGAGTGTTTCCTAACTGCTCTATGAACAGAAAGGTTAAACTCTGTGATTTGAACGAACACATCACAACGCAGTTTGTGGGAATGATTCTGTCTAGTTTTGAAACGAAGATATTTCCTTTTCTGCCATTGAACTTAAAGCGCTTGAAATCTCCATTTGCCAATTGCACAAAAAGAGTGTTTCAAATCTGCTCTGTCTAAGGGAACGTTCAACTCTGTGAGTTGAATGTACACAACACAAGGAAGTTACTGGGAATTCCTCTGTGTAGCCTTACAGGAAAAAAACCCGTTTCCAACGAAGGCCTCTAAGTGGTCAAAATATCCACGTGCAGACTTTACAAACAGAGTGTTTCCAAACTGCTGAATGAAAAGAAAAGTTAAACTCTGAGAGTTGAACGCACACATCGCAGAGCAGTTTCTGAGAATGATTCTGTCTAGTTTTTCTACGAAGATATTTCCTTTTCTACTATTGACCTCAATGCGGCTGAAATCTCCACTTGCAAATTCCACAAAAAGAGTGTTTCAAGTCTGCTCTGTGTAAAGGATCGTTCAACTCTGCGAGTTCAATACACACAACACAAGGAAGTTACTGAGAATTCTTCTGTCTAGCATAATATGAAGAAATCCCGTTTCCAACGAAGGCCACAAAGGGGTCTGAATATCCACTTGCAGACTTTATAAACAGAGTGTTTCCTAACTGCTCTATGAAAAGAAAGTTTAAACTCTGTGAGTTGAACACACACATCAGAAAGGAGTTTCTGAGAATCATTCTGTCTAGTTTCTATAGGAAGATATTTCCTATTCTACCATTGACCTCAAAGCGGCTGAAATCTCCAATTGCAAATTCCACAAAAAGAGTGTTTCAAGTCTGCTCTGTGTAAAGGATCGTTCAACTCTGTGAGTTGAATACACACAACACAAGGAAGTTACTGAGAATTATTCTTTCTAGCAGAATATGAAGAAATCCCGTTTCCAAAGAAAGACTCAAGGATGTCTGAATATCCACTTGCAGACTTTACAAATAGAGTGTTTCCTAACTGCTCTATGAAAAGAAAGGTTAAACTCTGTGAGTTGAACGCACACATCACAAAGGAGTTTCTGAGAATCATTCTGTCTGGTTTTGAAACGAAGATATTTCCTTTTCTACCATTGACCTCAAAGCGGCTGAAATCACCACTTGCCAATTGCACAAAAAGAGTGTTTCAAATCTGCTCTGTCTAAGGGAACGTTCAACTCTGTGAGTTGAATGTACACAACACAAGGAAGTTCCTGGGAATTCTTCTGTCTAGCCTTACAGGAAAAAAACCCGTTTCCAACGAAGGCCTCTAAGTGGTCAAGTTATCCACGTGCAGACTTTACAAACAGAGTGTTTCCAAACTGCTGAATGAAAAGAAAAGTTAAACTCTGAGAGTTGAACGCACACATCGCAGAGCAGTTTCTGAGAATGATTCTGTCTAGTTTTGAAACGAAGATATTTCCTTTTCTGCCTTTGGCCTCAAAGCGCTTGAAATCTCCACTTGCAAATTCCACAAAAAGAGTGTTTCAAATCTGCTCTGTGTAAATGAAAGTTCAACTCTGTGAGTTGAATACACACAACACAAGGAAGTTACTGAGAATTCTTCTGTCTAGCATAATATGAAGAAATCCCGTTTCCAACGAAGGCCTCAAAGAGGTCTGAATATCCACTTGCAGACTTTACAAACAGAGTGTTTCCTAACTGCTCTATGAAAAGAAAGGTTAAACTCTGTGAGTTGAACGCACACATCACAAAGGAGGTTCTGAGAATCATTCTGTCTAGTTTTTATATGAAGATATTTCCCTTTCTACCATTGACCTCAAAGCGGCTGAAATCTCCACTTACAAATTCCACAAAAAGAGTGTCTCAAGTCTGCTCTGTGTAAACGATCGTTCAACTCTGTGAGTTGAATACACACAACACAAGGAAGTTTCTGAGAATTCTTCTGTATAGCAGAATATGAAGAAATCCCGTTTCCAACGAAGGCCTCAAGGAGGTCTGAATATCCACTTGCAGACTTTACAAACAGAGTGTTTCCTAACTGCTCTATGAAAAGAAAGGTTAAACTCTGTGAGTTGAATGCACACATCACAAAGGAGTTTCTGAGAATCATTCTGTCTAGTTTTGAAACGAAGATATTTCCTTTTCTGCCATTGACCTTAAAGCGCTTGAAATCTCCACTTGCCAATTGCACAAAAAGAGTGTTTCAAATCTGCTCTGTCTAAGGGAACGTTCACCTCTGTGAGTTGAATGTACACAACACAAGGAAGTTACTGGGAATTCTTCTGTCTAGCCTAACATGAAAAAAACCCGTTTCCAACGAAGGCCTCTAAGTGGTCAAAATATCCACGTGCAGACTTTACGAACAGAGTGTTTCCAAACCGCTGAATGAAAAGAAAAGTTAAACTCTGAGAGTTGAACGCACACATCACGCAGCAGTTTCTGAGAATGATTCTGTCTAGTTTTTATACGAAGATATTTCCTTTTCTGCCTTTGGCCCCAAAGCGCTTGAAATCTCCACTTGCAAATTCCACAAAAACAGTGTTTCAAATCTGCTCTCTCTAAATGAAAGTTCAACACTGTCAGTTGAATACACACAACACAAGGAAGTTACTGAGAATTCTTCTGTCTAGCATAATATGAAGAAATCCCGTTTCTAACGAAGGCCTCAAAGAGGTCTGAATATCCACTTGCAGACTTTACAAACAGAGTGTTTCCTAACTGCTCTATGAAAAGAAAGGTTAAACTCTGTGAGTTGAACGCACACATCACAAAGGAGTTTCTGAGAATCATTCTGTCTAGTTTTTATACGAAGATATTTCCTTTTCTACCATTGACCTCAAAGCGGCTGAAATCTCCACTTGCAAATTCCAGAAAAAGAGTGTTTCAAGTCTGCTCTGTGTAAAGGATCGTTCAACTCTGTGAGTTGAATACACACAACACAAGGAAGTTACTGAGAATTCTTCTGTCTAGCAGAATATGAACAAATCCCGTTTCCAACGAAAGCCTCAAGGAGGTCTGAATATCCACTTGCAGACTTTACAAACAGAGTGTTTCCTAACTGCTCTATGAACAGAAAGGTTAAACTCTGTGAGTTGAACGAACACATCACAACGCAGTTTGTGGGAATGATTCTGTCTAGTTTTTATACGAAGATATTTCCTTTTCTACCATTGACCTCAAAGCGGTTGAAATCACCACTTGCCAATTGCACAAAAAAAGTGTTTCAAATCTGCTCTGTCTAAGGGAACGTTCAACTCTGTGAGTTGAATGTACACAACACAAGGAAGTTACTGGGAATTCTTCTGTCTAGCATAATATGAAGAAATCCCGTTTCCAACGAAGGCCTCAAAGAGGTCTGAATATCCACTTGCAGACTTTACAAACAGAGTGTTTCCAAACCGCTGAATGAAAAGAAAAGTTAAACTCTGAGAGTTGAACGCACACATCACGCAGCAGTTTCTGAGAATGATTCTGTCTAGTTTTGAAACGAAGATATTTCCTTTTCTGCCTTTGGCCTTAAAGCGCTTGAAATCTCCACTTGCAAATTCCACAAAAAGAGTGTTTCAAATCTGCTCTGTGTAAATGAAAGTTCAACTCTGTGAGTTGAACACACACAACACAAGGAAGTTACTGGGAATTCTTCTGTCTAGCATAATATGAAGAAACCCCGTTTCCAACGAAGGCCACAAAGGGCTCTGAATATCCACTTGCAGACTTTATAAACAGAGTGTTTACTAACTGCTCTATGAAAAGAAAGGTTAAACTCTGTGAGTTGAACACACACATCACAAAGGAGTTTCTGAGAATCATTCTGTCTAGTTTCTATAGGAAGATATTTCCTAGTTCTACCATTGACCTCAAAGCGGCTGAAATCTCCACTTGCAAATTCCACAAAAAGAGTGTTTCAAGTCTGCTCTCTGTAAAGGATCGTACAACTCTGAGTTGAATACACACAACACAAGGAAGTTACTGAGAATTATTCTGTCTAGCATAATATGAAGAAATCCCTTTTCCAACGAAGGCCTCAAAGAGGTCTGAATATCCACCTGCAGACTTTACAAACAGAGTGTTTCCTAACTGCTCTATGAAAAGAAAACTTAAACTCTGTGAGTTGAACGCACACATCACAAAGGAGTTTCTGAGAATCATTCTGTCTAGTTTTGAAACGAAGATATTTCCTTTTCTGCCATTGACCTCAAAGCGCTTGAAATCTCCACTTGCCAATTGCACAAAAAGAGTGTTTCAAATCTGCTCTGTCTAAGGGAACGTTCAACTCTGTGAGTTGAATGTACACAACACAAGGAAGTTACTGGGAATTCTTCTGTCTAGCCTTACAGGAAAAAAACCCGTTTCCAACGAAGGCCTCTAAGTGGTCAAAATATCCACGTGCAGACTTTACAAACAGTGTGTTTCCAAACTGCTGAATGAAAAGAAAAGTTAAACTCTGAGAGTTGAACGCACACATCGCAGAGCAGTTTCTGAGAATGATTCTGCCTAGTTTTTATACGAAGATATTTCCTTTTCTGCCTTTGGCCTGAAAGCGCTTGAAATCTCCACTTGCAAATTCCACAAAAAGAGTGTTTCAAATCTGCTCTGTGTAAATGAAAGTTCAACTCTGTGAGTTGAACACACACAACACAAGGGAAGTTACTGGGAATTCTTCTGTCTAGCAGAATATGAAGAAATCCCGTTTCCAACGAAGGCCTCAAAGAGGTCTGAATATCCACTTGCAGACTTTACAAACAGAGTGTTTCTTAACTGCTCTATGAAAAGAAAGGTTAAACTCTGTGAGTTGAACGCACACATCACAAAGGAGTTTCTGAGAATCATTCTGTCTAGTTTTTATACGAAGATATTTCCTTTTCTACCATTGACCTCAAAGCGGCTGAAATCTCCACTTGCAAATTCCACAAAACGAGTGTTTCAAGTCTGCTCTGTGTAAAGGATCGCTCAACTCTGTGAGTTGAATACACACAACACAAAGAAGTTACTGAGAATTCTTCTGTCTAGCAGAATATGAAGAAATCCCGTTTCCAACGAAGGCCACAAGATATCAGAATATCCACTTACAGAATTTACAAACAGACTGTTTCCTAACTGCTCTATGAAAAGAAAGGTTAAACTCTGTGAGTTGAACGAACACATCACAACGCAGTTTGTGGGAATGATTCTGTCTAGTTTTGAAACGAAGATATTTCCTTTTCTGCCATTGACCTTAAAGCGCTTGAAATCTACACTTGCAAATTGCACAAATAGAGTGTTTCAAATCTGCTCTGTCTAAGGGAACGTTCAACTCTGTGAGTTGAATGCACATAACACAAGGAAGTTACTGGGAATTCTTCTGTCTAGCCTTACATGAAAAAAACCCGTTTCCAACGAAGGCCTCTAAGTGGTCAAAATTTCCACGTGCAGACTTTACAAACAGAGTGTTTCCAAACTGCTGAATGAAAAGAAAAGTTAAACTCTGAGAGTTGAACGCACACATCACGCAGCAGTTTCTGAGAATGATTCTGTCTACTTTTTATACGAAGATATTTCCTTTTCTGCCTTTGGCCCCAAAGCGCTTGAAATCTCCACTTGCAAATTCCACAAAAACAGTGTTTCAAATCTGCTCTCTCTAAATGAAAGTTCAACTCTGTCAGTTGAATACACACAACACAAGGAAGTTACTGAGAATTCTTCTGTCTAGCATAATATGAAGAAATCCCGTTTCCAACGAAGGCCACAAAGAGGTCTGAATATCCACTTGCAGACTTTACAAACAGAGTGTTTCCTAACTGCTCTATGAAAAGAAAAGTTAATCTCTGTGAGTTGAACGCACACATCACAAACGAGTTTCTGAGAATCATTCTGTCTAGTTTTTATAGGAAGATATTTCCTTTTCTACCATTGACCTCAAAGCGGCTGAAATCTCCACTTGCAAATTCCACAAAAAGAGTGTTTCAAATCTGCTCTGTGTAAAGGATCGTTCAACTCTGTGAGTTGAATACACACAACACAAGGAAGATTCTGAGAATTCTTCTGTCTAGCAGAATATGAAGAAATCCCGTTTCCAACGAAGGCCACAAGATGTCAGAATATCCACTTACAGAATTTTCAAACAGACTGTTTCCTAACTGCTCTATGAAAAGAAAGGTTAAACTCTGTGAGTTGAACGAACACATCACAACGCAGTTTGTGGGAGTGATTCTGTCTAGTTTTAAAACGAAGATATTTCCTTTTCTACCATTGACCTTAAAGCGCTTGAAATCTACACTTGCAAATTGCACAAATAGAGTGTTTCAAATCTGCTCTGTCTAAGGGAACGTTCAACTCTGTGAGTTGAATGCACACAACACAAGGGAAGTTACTGGGAATTCTTCTGTCTATCCTTACATGAAAAAAACCCGTTTCCAACGAAGGCCTCTAAGTGGTCAAATTATCCACGTGCAGACTTTACAAACAGAGTGTTTCCAAACTGCTGAATGAAAAGAAAAGTTAAACTCTGAGAGTTGAACGCACACATCGCAGAGCAGTTTCTGAGAATGATTCTGTCTAGTTTTTATACGAAGTATATTTCCTTTTCTGCCTTTGGCCTCAAAGCGCTTGAAATCTCCACCTGCAAATTCCACAAAAAGAGTGTTTCAAATCTGCTCTGTGTAAATGAAAGTTCAACTCTGTGAGTTGAACACACACAACACAAGGAAGTTACTGGGAATTCTTCTGTCTAGCCTTATATGAAAAATCCCGTTTCCAAAGAAGGCCTCAAAGAGGTCTGAATATCCACTTGCAGACTTTACAAACAGAGTGTTTCCTAACTGCTCTATGAAAAGAAAGGTTAAACTCTGTGAGTTGAACACACACATCACAAAGGAGTTTCTGAGAATCATTCTGTCTAGTTTCTATAGGAAGATATTTCCTATTCTACCATTGACCTCAAAGCGGCTGAAATCTCCACTTGCAATTTCGACAAAAAGAGTGTTTCAAGCCTGCTCTCTCTAAAGGATCCTTCAACTCTGTGAGTTGAATACACACAAAACAAGGAACTTACTGAGAATTATTCTGTCTAGCAGAATATGAAGAAATCCCGTTTCCAACGAAGGCCACAAGATGTCAGAATATCCACTTACAGAATTTACAAACAGACTGTTTCCTAAGTGCTCTATGAAAAGAAAGGTTAAACTCTGTGAGTTGAACGAACACATCACAACGCAGTTTGTGGGAATGATTCTGTCTAGTTTTTATACGAAGATATTTCCTTTTCTACCATTGACGTCAAAGCGGCTGAAATCACCACTTGCCAATTGCACAAAAAGAGTGTTTCAAATCTGCTCTGTCTAAGGGAACGTTCAACTCTGTGAGTTGAATGTACACAACACAAGGAAGTTCCTGGGAATTCTTCTGTCTAGCCTTACATGAAAAAAAACCCGTTTCCAACGAAGGCCTCTAAGTGGTCAAAATATCCACGTGCAGTCTTTACAAACAGAGTGTTTCCAAACCGCTGAATGAAAAGAAAAGTTAAACTCTGAGACTTGAACGCACACATCACGCAGCAGTTTCTGAGAATGATTCTGTCTAGTTTTTATACGAAGATATTTCCTTTTCTGCCTTTGGCCTCAAAGCGCTTGAAATCTCCACTTGCAAATTCCACAAAAAGAGTGTTTCAAATCTGCTCTGTCTAAGGGAACGTTCAACTCTGTGAGTTGAACACACACAACACATGGAAGTTACTGGGAATTCTTCTGTCTAGCAGAATATGAAGAAAGCCCGCTTCCAACGAAGGCCTCAAAGAAGTCTGAATATCCACTTGCAGACTTTACAAACAGAGTGTTTCCCAACTGCTCTATTAAAAGAAAGGTTGAACTCTGTGAGTTGAACGCACACATCACAAAGGAGTTTCTGAGAATCATTCTGTCTAGTTTTTATAGGAAGATATTTCCTTTCTAACTTTGACCTCAAAGCGGCTGAAATCTCCACTTGCAAATTCCACAAAAAGAGTGTTTCAAGTCTGCTCTGTGTAAAGGATCGTTCAACTCTGTGAGTTGAATACACGCAACACACGGAAGTTACTGAGAATTCTTCTGTCTAGCAGAATATGAAGAAATCCCGTTTCCAACGAAGGCCTCAAAGAGGTCTGAATATCCACTTGCAGACTTTAGAAACAGAGTGTTTCCTAACTGCTCTATGAAAAGAAAAGTTAAACTCTGTGAGTTGAAGGCACACATCACAAAGGAGTTTCTGAGAATCATTCTGTCTAGTTTTGAAACGAAGATATTTCCTTTTCTGCCATTGACCTTAAAGCGCTTGAAATCTACACTTGCCAATTGCACAAATAGAGTGTTTCAAATCTGCTCTGTCTAAGGGAACGTTCAACTCTGTGAGTTGAATGCACACAACACAAGGAAAGTTACTGGGAATTCTTCTGTCTAGCCTTCCAGGAAAAAAACCCGTTTCCAACAAAGGCCTCTAAGTGGTCAAAATATCCACGTGCAGACTTTACAAACAGAGTGTTTCCAAACTGCTGAATGAAAAGAAAAGTTAAACTCTGAGAGTTCAACGCACACATCGCAGAGCAGTTTCTGAGAATGATTCTGTCTAGTTTTGAAACGAAGATATATCCTTTTCTACCGTTGACCTCAACGCGGCTGAAATCTCCATTTGCAAATTCCACAAAAAGAGTGTTTCAAATCTGCTCTGTGTAAATGAAAGTTCAACTCTGTGAGTTGAACACACACAACACAAGGAAGTTACTGGGAATTCTTCTCTCTAGCCTTATATGAAAAAAACCCGTTTCCAACGAAGGCCTCAAAGAGGTCTGAATATGAACTTGCAGACTTTACAAACAGAGTGTTTCCTAACTGCTCTATGAAAAGAAAGGTTAAACTCTGTGAGTTGAACGCACACATCACAAAGGAGTTTCTGAGAATCTTTCTGTCCAGTTTCTATAGGAAGATATTTCCTTTTCTACCATTGACCTCAAAGCGGCTGAAATCTCCACTTGCAAATTCCACAAAAAGAGTGTTTCAAGTCTGCTCTGTGTAAAGGATCGTTCAACTCTGTGAGTTGAATACACACAACACAAGGAAGTTACTGAGAATTTTTCTGTCTAGCAGAATATGAAGAAATCCCGTTTCCAACGAAGGCCACAAGATGTCAGAATATCCACTTACAGAATTTACAAACAGAGTGTTTCCTAACTGCTCTATGAAAAGAAAGGTTAAACTCTGTGAGATGAACGAACACATCACAACGCAGTTTTTGGGAATGATTCTGTCTAGTTTTGAAACGAAGATATTTCCTTTTCTGCCATTGACCTTAAAGCGCTTGAAATCTCCACTTGCCAATTGCACAAAAAGAGTATTTCAAATCTGCTCTGTCTAAGGGAACGTTCAACTCTGTGAGTTGAATGTACACAACACAAGGAAGTTACTGGGAATTCTTCTGTCTAGCCTTACATGAAAAAAACCCGTTTCCAACGAAGGCCTCTAAGTGGTCAAAATATCCACGTGCAGACTTTACAAACAGAGTGTTTCCAAACCGCTGAATGAAAAGAAAAGTTAAACTCTGAGAGTTCAACGCACACATCACGCAGCAGTTTCTGAGTATGATTCTGTCTAGTTTTTATACGAAGATATTTCCTTTTCTGCCTTTGGCCCCAAAGCGCTTGAAATCTCCACTTGCAAATTCCACAAAAACTGTGTTTCAAATCTGCTCTCTCTAAATGAAAGTTCAACTCTGTGAGTTGAATACACACAACACAAGGAAGTTACTGAGAATTCTTCTGTCTAGCATAATAAGAAGAAATCCCGTTTCCAAAGAAGGCCTCAAGGAGGTCCGAATATCCACTTGCAGACTTTACAAACAGAGTGTTTCCTAACTGCTCTATGAAAAGAAAGGTTAAACTCTGTGAGTTGAACGCACACATCACAAAGGAGTTTCTGAGAATCATTCTGTCAAGTTTTTATACGAAGATATTTCCTTTTCTACCATGGACCTCAAAGCGGCTGAAATCTCCACTTGCAAATTCCACAAAACGAGTGTATCAAGTCTGCTCTGTGTAAAGTATCGTTCAACTCTGTGAGTTGAATAAACACAACACAAAGAAGTTACTGAGAATTCTTCTTTCTAGCAGAATATGAAGAAATCCCGTTTCCAACGAAAGCCTCAAGGATGTCTGAATATCCACTTGCAGACTTTACAAACAGAGTGTTTCCTAACTGCTCTATGAAAAGAAAGGTTCAACTCTGTGAGTTGAACGCACACATCACAAAGGAGGTTCTGAGAATCATTCTGTCTAGTTTTGAAACGAAGATATTTCCTTTTCTGCCATTGACCTTAAAGCGCTTGAAATCTCCACTTGCCAATTGCACAAAAAGAGTGTTTCAAATCTGCTTTGTCTAAGGGAACGTTCAACTCTGTGAGTTGAATGTACACAACACAAGGAAGTTACTGGGAATTCTTCTGTCTAGCCTTACATGAAAAAAAACCCGTTTCCAAGGAAGGCCTCAAAGAGGTCTGAATATCCACTTGCAGACTTTACAAACAGAGTGTTTCCAAACTGCTGAATGAAAAGAAAAGTTAAACTCTGTGAGTTGAACGCACACATCACAAAGAAATTTCTGAGAATCATTCTGTCTAGTTTTTATACGAAGATATTTCCTTTTCGGCCTTTGGCCTCAAAGCGCTTGAAATCTCCACTTGCAAATTCCACAAAAAGAGTATTTCAAATCTGCTCTGTGTAAATGAAAGTTCAACTCTGTGAGTTGAACACACACAACACAAGGAAGTTACTGGGAATTCTTCTCTCTAGCCTTATATGAAAAAAACCCGTTTCCAACGAAGGCCTCAAAGAGGTCTGAATATCCACTTGCAGACTTTAGAAACGGAGTGTTTCCTAACTGCTCTATGAAAAGAAAGGTTAAACTCTGTGAGTTGAACGCACACATCACAAAGGAGTTTCTGAGAATCATTCTGTCTAGTTTTTATACGAAGATATTTCCTTTTCTACCATTGACCTCAACGCGGCTGAAATCTCCACTTGCAAATTCCACAAAAAGAGTGTTACAAGTCTGCTCTGTGTAAAGGATCGTTCAACTCTGTGAGTTGAATACACACAACACAAGGAAGTTACTGAGAATTCTTCTGTCTAGCATAGTATGAAGAAATCCCGTTTCCAACGATGGCCTCAAAGAGGTCTGAATATCCACTTGCAGACTTTACAAACAGAGTGTTTCCTAACTCCTCTATGAAAAGAAAGGTTAAACTCTGTGAGTTGAACGCACACATCACAAAGAAGTTTCTGAGAATCATTCTGTCTAGTTTTGAAACGAAGATATTTCCTTTTCTGCCATTGACCTTAAAGCGCTTGAAATCTCCACTTGCCAATTGCACAAAAAGAGTGTTTCAAATCTGCTCTGTGTAAATGAAAGTTCAACTCTGTGAGTTGAACACACACAACACAAGGAAGTTACTGGGAATTCTTCTGTCTAGCCTTACAGGAAAAAAACCCGTTTCCAACGAAGGCCTCTAAGTGGTCAAAATATCCACGTGCAGACTTTCCAAACAGAGTGTTTCCAAACTGCTGAATGAAAAGAAAAGTTAAACTCTGAGAGTTGAACGCACACATCGCAGAGCAGTTTCTGAGAATGATTCTTTCTAGTTTTTATACGAAGATATTTCCTTTTCTGCCTTTGGCCCCAAAGCGCTTGAAATCTCCACTTGCAAATTCCACAAAAACAGTGTTTCAAATCTGCTCTCTCCAAATGAAAGTTCAACTCTGTCAGTTGAATACACACAACACAAGGAAGTTACTGAGAATTCTTCTGCCTAGCAGAATATGAAAAAATCCCGTTTCCAACGAAAGCCTCAAAGATGTCTGAATATCCACTTGCAGACTTTACAAACAGAGTGTTTCCTAACTGCTCTATGAAAAGAAAGGTTAAACTCTGTGAGTTGCACGCACACATCACAAAGGAGTTTCTGAGAATCATTCTGTCTAGTTTTTATACGAAGATATTTCCTTTTCTACCATTGACCTCAAAGAGGCTGAAATCTCCACTTGCAAATTCCAGAAAAAGAGTGTTTCAAGTCTGCTCTGTGTAAAGGATCGTTCAACTCTGTGAGTTGAATACACACAACACAAGGAAGTTACTGAGAATTCTTCTGTCTAGCATAATATGAAGAAATCCCATTTCCTACGAAGGCCTCAAAGAGGTCTGAATATCCACTTGCAGACTTTACAAACAGAGTGTTTCCTAACTGCTCTATGAAAAGAAAGGCTAAACTCTGTGAGTTGAGTGCACACATCACAAAGGAGTTTCTGAGAATCATTCTGTCTAGTTTTGAAACGAAGATATTTCCTTTTCTGCCATTGACCTTAAAGCGCTTGAAATCTCCACTTGCCAATTGCACAAAAAGAGTGTTTCAAATCTGCTCTGTCTAAGGGAACGTTCAACTCTGTGAGTTGAATGTACACAACACAAGGAAGTTATTGGGAATTCTTCTGTCTAGCCTTACAGGAAAAAAACCCGTTTCCAACGAAGGCCTCTAAGTGGTCAAAATATCCACGTGCAGACTTTAAAAAACAGAGTGTTTCCAAACTGCTGAATGAAAAGAAAAGTTAAACTCTGAGAGTTGAACGCACACATCGCAGAGCAGTTTCTGAGAATGATTCTGTCTAGTTTCTATAGGAAGATATTTCCTATTCTACCATTGAACTCAAAGCGGCTGAAATCTCCACTTGCAAATTCCACAAAAAGAGTGTTTCAAGTCTGCTCTGTGTAAAGGATCGTTCAACTCTGTGAGTTGAATACACACAACACAAGGAAGTTACTGAAAATTCTTCTGTCTAGCATAATATGAAGAAATCCCGTTTCCAACGAAGGCCTCAAGGAGGTCTGAATATCCACTTGCAGACTTTACAAACAGAGTGTTTCCTAACTGCTCTATGAAAAGAAAGGTTAAACTCTGTGAGTTGAATGCACACATCACAAAGGAGTTTCTCAGAATCATTCTGTCTAGTTTCTATAGGAAGATATTTCCTATTCTACCATTGACCTCAAAGCGGCTGAAATCTCCACTTGCAAATTCCACAAAAAGAGTGTTTGAAGTCTGCTCTGTGTAAAGGATCGTTCAACTCTGTGAGTTGAATACACACAACACAAGGAAGTTACTGAGAATTCTTCTGTCTAGCAGAATATGAAGAAATCCCGTTTCCAACGAAGGCCACAAGATGTCAGAATATCCACTTACAGACTTTACAAACAGAGTGTTTCCTAACTGCTCTATGAACAGAAAGGTTAAACTCTGTGAGTTGAACGAACACATCACAACGCAGTTTGTGGTAATGATTCTGTCTAGTTTTTATAGGAAGTTATTTCCTTTTTTACCATTGACCTCAAAGCGGCTGAAATCACCACTTGCCAATTGCACAAAAAGAGTGTTTCAAATCTGCTCTGTCTAAGGGAACGTTCAACTCTGTGAGTTGAATGTACACAACACAAGGAAGTTCCTGGGAATTCTTCTGTCTAGCCTTACAGGAAAAAAACCCGTTTCCAACGAAGGACTCTAAGTGGTCAAAATATCCACGTGCAGACTTTACAAACAGAGTGTTTCCAAACTGCTGAATGAAAAGAAAAGTTAAACTCTGAGAGTTCAACGCACACATCGCAGCGCAGTTTCTGAGAATGATTCTGTCTAGTTTTTATACGAAGATATTTCCTTTTCTGCCTTTTGCCCCAAAGCGCTTGAAATCTCCACTTGCAAATTCCACAAAAACAGTGTTTCAAACCTGCTCTCTCTAAATGAAAGTTCAACTCTGTCAGTTGAATACACACAACACAAGGAAGTTACAGAGAATTCTTCTGTCTAGCAGAATATGAAGAAATCCCGTTTCCAACGAAGGCCTCAAGGTGGTCTGAATATCCACTTGCAGACTTTTCAAACAGAGTGTTTCCTAACTGCTCTATGAAAAGAAAGGTTAAACTCTGTGAGTTGAACGCACACATCACAAAGGAGTTTATGAGAATCATTCTGTCTAGTTGTTATACGAAGATATTTCCTTTTCTACCATTGACCTCAATGCGGCTGAAATCTCCACTTGCAAATTCCACCAAATGAGTGTTTCAAATCTGCTCTGTGTAAACCATCGTTCAACTCTGTGAGTTGAATACACACAACACAAGGAAGATTCTGAGAATTCTTCTGTCTAGCAGAATATGAAGAAATCCCGTTTCCAACGAAGGCCTCAAGGAGGTCTGAATATCCACTTGCAGACTTTACAAACAGAGTGTTTCCTAACTTCTCTATGAAAAGAAAGGTTAAACTCTGTGAGTTGAACGAACACATCACAACGCAGTTTGTGGGAATGATTCTGTCTAGTTTTAAAACGAAGAAATTTCCTTTTCTGCCATTGACCTTAAAGCGCTTGAAATCTACACTTGCAAATTGCACAAATAGAGTGTTTCAAATCTGCTCTGTCTAAGGGAACGTTCAACTCTGTGAGTTGAATGCACACAACACAAGGAAGTTACTGGGAATTCTTCTGTCTAGCCTTACATGCAAAAAACCCGTTTGCAACGAAGGCCTCTAAGTGGTCAAAATATCCACGTACAGACTTTACAAACAGAGTGTTTCCAAACCGCTGAATGAAAAGAAAAGTTAAACTCTGAGAGTTGAACGCACACATCACGCAGCAGTTTCTGAGAATGATTCTGTCTAGTTTTTATACGAAGATATTTCCTTTTCTGCCTTTGGCCCCAAAGCGCTTGAAATCTCCACTTGCAAATTCCACAAAAACAGTGTTTCAAATCTGGTCTCTCTAAATGAAAGTTCAACTCTGTCAGTTGAATACACACAACACAAGAAAGTTACTGAGGAATTCTTCTGTCTAGCAGAATATGAAGAAATCCCGTTTCCAACGAAGGCCTCAAAGAGGTCTGAATATCCACTTGCAGACTTTACAAACAGAGTGTTTCCTAACTGCTCTATGAAAAGAAAGGTTAAAGTCTGTGAGTTGAACGCACACATCACAAAGGAGTTTCTGAGAATCGTTCTGTCTAGTTTTTATACGAAGATATTTCCTTTTCTACCATTGACCTCAACGCGGCTGAAATCTCCACTTGAAAATTCCACAAAAAGAGTGTTCCAAGTCTGCTCTGTGTAAAGGATCGTTCAACTCTGTGAGTTGAATACACACAACACAAGGAAGTTACTGAGAATTCTTCTGTCTAGCAGAATATGAAGAAATCCCGTTTCCAACGAAGGCCTCAAGGAGGTCTGAATATCCACTTGCAGACTTTACAAACAGAGTGTTTCCTAACTGCTCTATGAAAAGAAAGGTTAAACTCTGTGAGTTGAACACACACATCACAAAGGAGTTTCTGAGAATCATTTCTGTCTAGTTTTGAAACGGAAATATTTCCTTTTCTGCCATTGACCTTAAGCGCTTGAAATCTCCACTTGCCAATTGCACAAAAAGAGTGTTTCAAATCTGCTCTGTCTAAGGGAACGTTCAACTCTGTGAGTTGAATGTACACAACACAAGGGAGTTACTGGGAATTCTTCTGTCTAGCCTTACATGACAAAAACCCGTTTCCAACGAAGGCCTCTAAGTGGTCAAAATATCCACGTGCAGACTTTAGAAACAGAGTGTTTCCAAACTGCTGAATGAAAAGAAAAGTTAAACTCTGAGCGCTGAAGGCACACATCGCAGAGCAGTTTCAGAGAATGATTCTGTCTAGTTTTTATACGAAGATATTTCCTTTTCTGCCTTTGGCCTCAAAGCGCTTGAAATCTCCATTTGCAATTTCCACAAAAAGAGTGTTTCAAATCTGCTCTGTGTAAATGAAAGTTCAACTCTGTGAGTTGAACACACACAACACAAGGAAGTTACTGGGAATTCTTGTGTCTAGCATAGTATGAAGAAATCCCGTTTCCAACGAAGGCCTCAAAGAGGTCTGAATATCCACTTGCAGACTTTACAAACAGAGTGTTTCCTAACTGCTCTATGAAAAGAAAGGTTAAACTCTGTGAGTTGAACGCACACATCACAAAGAAGTTTCTGAGAATCATTCTGTCTAATTTTTCTACGAAGATAGTTTCCTTTTCTACCTTTGACCTCAAAGCGGCTGAAATCTCCAGTTGCAAATTCCACAAAAAGAGTGTTTCAAGTCTGCTCTGTGTAAAGGATCGTTCAACTCTGTGAGTTGAATACACACAACACAAGGAAGTTACTGAGAATTCTTCTGTCTAGCCTTACATGAAAAAAACCCGTTTCCAACGAAGGCCTCTAAGTGGTCAAAATATCCACGTGCAGACTTTACAAAAAGAGTGTTTCCAAACTGCTGAATGACAAGAAAAGTTAAACTCTGAGAGTTGAACGCACACATCGCAGAGCAGTTTCTGAGAATGATTCTGTCTAGTTTTGAAACGAAGATATTTCCTTTTCTGCCTTTGGCCTCAAAGCGCTTGAAATCTCCATTTGCAAATTCCACAAAAAGAGTGTTTCAAATCTGCTCTGTGTAAATGAAAGTTCAACTGCTGTGAGTTGAACACACACAACACAAGGAAGTTACTGGGAATTCTTCTGTCTAGCCTTATATGAAAAAAACCCGTTTCCAACGAAGGCCTCAAAGAGGTCTGAATATCCTCTTGCAGACCTTACAAACAGAGTGTTTCCTAACTGCTCTATGAAAAGAAAGGTTAAACTCTGTGAGTTGAACACACACATCACAAAGGAGTTTCTGAGAATCATTCTGTCAAGTTTTTATACGAAGTTATTTCCTTTTCTGCCTTTGGCCCCAAAGCGCTTGAAATCTCCACTTGCAAATTCCACAAAAACAGTGTTTCAAATCTGCTCTCTCTAAATGAAAGTTCAACTCTGTCAGTTGAATACACACAACACAAGGAAGTTACAGAGAATTCTTCTGTCTAGCAGAATATGAAGAATTCCCGTTTCCAACGAAGGCCTCAAAGAGGTCTGAATATCCACTTGCAGACTTTACAAACAGAGTGTTTCCTAACTGCTCTATGAACAGAAAGGTTAAACTCTGTGAGTTGAACGCACACATCACAAAGGAGTTTCTGAGAATCATTCTGTCTAGTTTTTCTACGAAGATATTTACTTTTCTACTATTGACCTCAAAGCGGCTGAAATCTCCACTTGCAAATTCCACAAAAAGAGTGTTTCAAGTCTGCTCTGTGTAAAGGATCGTTCAACTCTGTGAGTTGAATACACACAACACAAGGAAGTTACTGAGAATTCTTCTGTCTAGCAGAATATGAAGAAATCCCGTTTCCAACGAAGGTCACAAGATGTCAGAATATCCACTTACAGAATTGACAAACAGACTGTTTCCTAACTGCTCTATGAAAAGAAAGGTTAAACTCTGTGAGTTGAACGAACACATCACAACGCAGTTTGTGGGAATGATTCTGTCTAGTTTTGAAACGAAGATATTTCCTTTTATGCCATTGACCTTAAAGCGCTTGAAATCTCCACTTGCCAATTGCACAAAAAGTGTGTTTCAAATCTGCTCTGTCTAAGGGAACGTTCAACTCTGTGAGTTGAATGTACACAACACAAGGAAGTTACTGGGAATTCTTCTGTCTAGCCTTACAGGAAAAAAACCCGTTTCCAACGAAGGCCTCTAAGTGGTCAAAATATCCACGTGCAGACTTTACAAACAGAGTGTTTCCAAACTGCTGAATGAAAAGAAACGTTAAACTCTGAGAGTTGAACGCACACATCGCAGAGCAGTTTCTGAGAATGATTCTGTCTAGTTTTTATACGAAGATATTTCCTTTTCTGCCTTTGGCCCCAAAGCGCTTGAAATCTCCACTTGCAAATTCCACAAAAAGAGTGTTTCAAGTCTGCTCTGTGTAAAGGATCGTTCAACTCTGTGAGTTGAATACACACAACACAAGGAAAGTTACTGAGAATTCTTCTGTCTAGCAGAATATGAAGAAATCCCGCTTCCAACGAAGGCCTCAAAGAAGTCTGAATATCCACTTGCAGAGTTTACAAACAGAGTGTTTCCCAACTGCTCTATGAAAAGAAAGGTTGAACTCTGTGAGTTGAACGCACACATCACAAAGGAGTTTCTGAGAATCATTCTGTCTAGTTTTTATAGGAAGATATTTCCTTTTCTACCTTTGACTTCAAAGCGGCTGAAATCTCCACTTGCAAATTCCACAAAAAGAGTGTTACAGGTCTGCTCTGTGTAAAGGATCGTTCAACTCTGTGAGTTGAATACACACAACACAAGGAAGTTACTGAGAATTCTTCTGTCTAGCAGAATATGAAGAAATCCCGTTTCCAATGAAGGCCTCTAGGAGGTCTGAATATCCACTTGCAGACTTTACAAACAGAGTGTTTCTTAACTGCTCTATGAACAGAAAGGTTAAAGTCCGTGAGTTGAACGAACACATCACAACGCAGTTTGTGGGAATGATTCTGTCTAGTTTTGAAACGAAGATATTTCCTTTTCTGCCGTTGACCTTAAAAGCGCTTGAAATCTACACTTGCAAATTGCACAAATAGAGTGTTTCAAATCTGCTCTGTCTAAGGGAACGTTCAACTCTGTGAGTTGAATGCACACAACACAAGGAAGTTACTGGGAATTCTTCTGTCTAGCCTTACATGAAAAAAACCCGTTTCCAACGAAGGCCTCTAAGTGGTCAAGTTATCCACGTGCAGACTTTACAAACAGAGTGTTTCCAAACTTCTGAATGAGAAGAAAAGTTAAACTCTGAGAGTTGAACGCACACATCGCAGAGCAGTTTCTGAGAATGATTCTGTCTAGTTTTTATACGAAGATATTTCCTTTTCTGCCTTTGGCCTCAAAGCGCTTGAAACCTCCATTTGCAAATTCCACAAAAAGAGTGTTTCAAATCTGCTCTGTGTAAATGAAAGTTCAACTCTGTGAGTTGAACACACACAACACAAGGGAGTTACTGGGAATTCTTCTGTCTAGCATAATATGAAGAAATCCCGTTTCCAACGAAAGCCTCAAGGATGTCTGAATATCCACTTGCAGACTTTACAAACAGGGTGTTTCCTAACTGCTCTATGAAAAGAAAGGTTAAACTCTGTGAGTTGAACGCACACATCACAAAGGAGTTTCTGAGAATCATTCTGTCTAGTTTCTATAGGAAGATATTTCCTATTCTACCATTGACCTCAAAGCGGCTGAAATCTCCACTTGCAAATTCCACAAAAAGAGTGTTTCAAGCCTGCTCTCTGTAAAGGATCGTTCAACTCTGTGAGTTGAATGCACACAACACAAGGAAGTTACTAGGTATTCTTCTGTCTAGCAGAATATGAAGAAATCCCGTTTCCAACGAAGGCCTTCAAGAGGTCTGAATATCCACTTGCAGACTTTACAAACAGAGTGTTTCCTAACTGCTCTATGAACAGAAAGGTTAAACTCTGTGAGTTGAACGAACACATCACAACGCAGTTTGTGGGAATGATTCTGTCTAGTTTTGAAACGAAGATATTCCCTTTTCTGCCATTGACCTTTAAAGCGCTTGAAATCTACACTTGCAAATTGCACAAATAGAGTGTTTCAAATCTGCTCTGTCTAAGGGAACGTTCAACTCTGTGAGTTGAATGCACACAACACAAGGAATTTACTGGGAATTCTTCTGTCTAGCCTTACAGGAAAGAAACCCGTTTCCAACGAAGGCCTCTAAGTGGTCAAAATATCCACGTGCAGACTTTACAAACAGAGTGTTTCCAAACTGCTGAATGAAAAGAAAAGTTAAACTCTGAGAGTTGAACGCACACATCGCAGAGCAGTTTCTGAGAATGATTCTGTCTAGTTTTTATACGAAGATATTTCCTTTTCTGCCTTTGGCCCCAAAGCGCTTGAAATCTCCACTTGCAAATTCCACAAAAACAGTGTTTCAAATCTGCTCTCTCTAAATGAAAGTTCAACTCTGTCAGTTGAATACACACAACACAAGGAAGTTACTTGAGAATTCTTCTGTCTAGCCTTATATGAAAAAAACCCGTTTCCAACGAAGGCCTCAAAGAGGTCTGAATATCCACTTGCAGACTTTACAAACAGAGTGTTTCCTAACTGCTCTATGAAAAGAAAGGTTAAACTCTGTGAGTTGAGAGCACACATCTCAAAGGAGTTTCTGAGAATCATTCTGTCTAGTTTCTATAGGAAGATATTTCCTATTCTACCATTGACCTCAAAGCGGCTGAAATCTCCACTTGCCAATTCCACAAAAAGAATGTTTCAAGTCTGCTCTGTGTAAAGGATCGTTCAACTCTGTGAGTTGAATACACACAACACAAGGAAGTTACTTGAGAATTCTTCTGTCTAGCAGAATATGAAGAAATCCCGTTTCCAACGAAGGCCACAAGATGTCAGAATATCCACTTACAGAATTTACAAACATAGTGTTTCCTAACTGCTCTATGAAAAGAAAGGTTAAACTCTGTGAGATGAACGAACACATCACAACACAGTTTGTGGGAATGATTCTGTCTAGTTTTGAAACGAAGATATTTCCTTTTCTGCCATTGACCTTAAAGCGCTTGAAATCTACACTTGCAAATTGCACAAATAGAGTGTTTCAAATCTGCTCTGTCTAAGGGAACGTTCAACTCTGTGAGTTGAATGCACACAACACAAGGAAGTTACTGGGAATTCTTCTGTCTAGCCTTACATGCAAAAAACCCGTTTCCAACGAAGGCCTCTAAGTGGTCAGAATATCCACGTGTAGACTTTACAAACAGAGTGTTTCCAAACCGCTGAATGAAAAGAAAAGTTAAACTCTGAGAGTTGAACGCACACATCACGCAGCAGTTTCTGAGAATGATTCTGTCTAGTTTTTATACGAAGATATTTCCTTTTCTGCCTTTGGCCCCAAAGCGCTTGAAATCTCCACTTGCAAATTCCACAAAAACAGTGTTTCAAATCTGCTGTCTCTAAATGAAAGTTCAACTCTGTCAGTTGAATACACACAACACAAGGAAGTTACTGAGAATTCTTCTGTCTAGCAGAATATGAAGAAATCCCGTTTCCAACGAAGGCCTCAAAGAGGTCTGAATATCCACTTGCAGACTTTACAAACAGAGTGTTTCCTAACTGCTCTAAGAAAAGAAAGGTTAAACTCTGTGAGTTGAACGCACACATCACAAAGGAGTTTATGAGAATCATTTTGTCTAGTTTCTATAGGAAGATATTTCCTATTCTACCATTGACCTCAAAGCGGCTGAAATCTCCACTTGCAAATTCCACAAAAAGAGTGTTTCAAGTCTGCTCTGTGTAAAGGATCGTTCAACTCTGTGAGTTGAATACACACAACACAAGGAATGTTACTGAGAATTCTTCTGTCTAGCAGAATATGAAGAAATCCCGTTTCCAACGAAGGCCACAAGATGTCAGAATATCCACTTACAGAATTTTCAAACAGACTGTTTCCTAACTGCTCTATGAAAAGAAAGGTTAAACTCTGTGAGTTGAACGAAAACATCACAACGCAGTTTGTGGGAGTGATTCTGTCTAGTTTTGAAACGAAGATATTTCCTTTTCTGCCGTTGACCTTAAAGCGCTTGAAATCTACACTTTCAAATTGCACAAATAGAGTGTTTCAAATCTGCTCTGTCTAAGGGAACGTTCAACTCTGTGAGTTGAATGCACACAACACAAGGGAAGTTACTGGGAATTCTTCTGTCTAGCCTTACATGAAAAAAAACCCGTTTCCAACGAAGGCCTCTAAGTGGTCAAAATATCCACGTGCAGACTTTACAAACAGAGTGTTTCCAAACCGCTGAATGAAAAGAAAAGTTAAACTCTGAGAGTTGAACGCACACATCACGCAGCAGTTTCTGAGAATGATTCTGTCTATTTTCTATAGGAAGATATTTCCTATTCTACCATTGACCTCAAAGCGGCTGAAATCTCCACTTGCAAATTCCACAAAAAGAGTGTTTCAAGACTGCTCTGTGTAAAGGATCATTCAACTCTGTGAGTTGAATAAACACAACACAAGGAAGTTACTGAGAATTCTTCTGTCTAGCATAATATGAAGAATTCCCGTTTCCAACGAAGGCCTCAAAGAGGTCTGAATATCCACTTGCAGACATTACAAACAGAGTGTTTCCTAACTGCTCTATGAAAAGAAAAGTTAAACTCTGTGAGTTGAACGCACACATCACAAAGGAGTTTCTGAGAATCATTCTGTCTAGTCTTTATACGAAGATATTTCCTTTTCTACCATTGACCTCAAAGCGGCTGAAATCTCCACTTGCAAATTCCACAAAAAGAGTGTTTCAAGTCTGCTCTGTGTAAAGGATCGTTCAGCTCTGTGAGTTGAATACACACAACACAAGGAAGTTACTGAGAATTCTTCTGTCTAGCAGAATATGAAGAAATCCCGTTTCCAACGAAGGCCACAAGATGTCAGAATATCCACTTACAGACTTTACAGAGTATTTCCTAACTGCTCTATGAACAGAAAGGTTAAACTCTGTGAGTTGAACGAACACATCACAACGCAGTTTGTGGGAATGATTCTGTCTAGTTTTGAAACGAAGATATTTCCTTTTCTGCCATTGACCTTAAAGCGCTTGAAATCTCCACTTGCCAATTGCACAAAAAGAGTGTTTCAAATCTGCTCTGTCTAAGGGAACGTTCAACTCTGTGAGTTGAACCGTACACAACACAAGGAAGTTACTGGGAATTCTTCTGTCTAGCCTTACATGAAAAAAACCCGTTTCCAACGAAGGCCTCTAAGTGGTCAAATTATCCACGTGCAGACTTTACAAACAGAGTGTGTCCAAACTGCTGAATGAAAAGAAAAGTTAAACTCTGAGAGTTGAACGCACACATCGCAGAGCAGTTTCTGAGAATGATTCTGTCTAGTTTTTATACGAAGATATTTCCTTTTCTGCCTTTGGCCTCAAAGCGCTTGAAATCTCCACTTGCAAATTCCACAAAAAGAGTGTTTCAAATCTGCTCTGTGTAAAGGAAAGTTCAACTCTGTGAGTTGAACACACACAACACAAGGAAGTTACTGGGAATTCTTCTGTCTAGCAGAATATGAAGAAATCCCGTTTCCAACGAAGGCCTCAAGGAGGTCTGAATATCCACTTGCAGACTTTACAAACAGAGTGTTTCCTAACTGCTCTATGAAAAGAAAGGTTAAACTCTGTGAGTTGAACGCACACATCACAAAGGAGTTCATGAGAATCATTCTGTCTAGTTTCTATAGGAAGATATTTCCTATTCTACCATGGACCTCAAAGCGGCTGAAATCTCCACTTGCACATTCCACAAGAAGAGTGTTTCAAGTATGCTCTGTGTAAAGGATCGTTCAACTCTGTGAGTTGAATACACACAACACAAGGAAGTTACTGAGAATTCTTCTGTCTAGCAGAATATGAAGAAATCCCGTTTCCAGCGAAGGCAACAAGATGTCAGAATATCCACTTACAGACTTTACAAACAGAGTGTTTCCTAACTGCTCTATGAACAGAAAGGTTAAACTCTGTGTGTTGAACGCACACATCACAAAGGAGTTTATGAGAATCATTCTGTCTAGTTTTGAAACGAAGATATTTCTTTTACTGCCATTGACCTTAAAGCGCTTGAAATCTCCACTTGCCAATTGCACAAAAAGAGTGTTTCAAATCTGCTCTAAGGGAACGTTCAACTCTGTGAGTTGAATGTACACAACACAAGGAAGTTACTGGGAATTCTTCTGTCTAGCCTTACAGGAAAAAAACCCGTTTCCAACGAAGGCCTCTAAGTGGTCAAGTTATCCACGTGCAGACTTTACAAACAGAGTGTTTCCAAACTGCTGAATGAAAAGAAAAGTTAAACTCTGAGAGTTGAACGCACACATCGCAGAGCAGTTTCTGAGAATGATTCTGTCTAGTTTTTATACGAAGATATTTCCTTTTCTGCCTTTGGCCCCAAAGCGCTTGAAATCTCCACTTGCAAATTCCGCAAAAACCGTGTTTCAAATCTGCTCTCTCTAAATGAAAGTTCAACTCTGTCAGTTGAATACACACAACACAAGGAAGTTACTGAGAATTCTTCTGTCTAGCAGAATATGAAGAAATCCCGTTTCCAACGAAGGCCTCAAAGAGGTCTGAATATCCACTTGCAGACTTTACAAAGAGAGTGTTTCCTAACTGCTCTATGAAAAGAAATGTTAAACTCTGTGAGTTGAACGCACACATCACAAAGGATTTTCTGAGAATCATTCTGTCTAGTTTCTATAGGAAGATATTTCCTATTCTACTATTGACCACAAAGCGGCTGAAATCTCCACTTGCAAGTTCCACAAAACGAGTGTTTCAAGTCTGCTCTGTGTAAAGGATCGTTCAACTCTGTGAGTTGAATTCACACAACACAAGGAAGTTACTGAGAATTCTTCTGTCTAGCAGAATATGAAGAAATCCCGTTTCCAACGAAGGCCTCAAAGTGGTCTGAATATCCACTTGCAGACTTTACAAACAGAGTGTTTCTTAACTGCTCTATGAAAAGAAAGGTTAAACTCTGTGAGTTGAACGCACACATCACAAAGGAGTTTCTGAGAATCGTTCTGTCTAGTTTTGAAACGAAGATATTTCCTTTTCTGCCATTGACCTTAAAGCGCTTGAAATCTACACTTGCAAATTGCACAAATAGAGTGTTTCAAATCTGCTCTGTCTAACGGAACGTTCAACTCTGTGAGTTGAATGCACACAACACAAGGAAGTTACTGGGAAATCTTCTGTCTAGCCTTACAGGAAAAAAACCCGTTTCCAACGAAGGCCTCTAAGTGGTCAAAATATCCACGTGCAGACTTTACAAACAGAGTGTTTCCAAACTGCTGAATGAAAAGAAAAGTTAAACTCTGAGAGTGGAACGCACACATCGCAGAGCAGTTTCTGAGAATGATTCTGTCTAGTTTTGAAACGAAGATATTTCCTTTTCTGCCTTTGGCCTCAAAGCGCGTGAAATCTCCACTTGCAAATTCCACAAAAAGAGTGTTTCAAATCTGCTCTGTGTAAATGAAAGTTCAACTCTGTGAATTGAACACACACAACACAAGGAAGTTACTGAGAATTCTTCTGTCTAGCCTTATATGAAAACAACCCGTTTCCAACGAAGGCCTCAAAGAGGTCTGAATATCCACTTGCAGACTTTACAAACAGAGTGTTTCCTAACTGCTCTATGAAAAGAAAGGTTAAACTCTGTGAGTTGAACACACACATCACAAAGGAGTTTCTGAGAATCATTTCTGTCTAGTTTCTATAAGAAGATATTTCCTATTCTACCATTGACCTCAAAGCGGCTGAAATCTCCACTTGCAAATTCGACAAAAAGAGTGTTTCAAGCCTGCTCTCTGTAAAGGATCCTTCAACTCTGTGAGTTGAATACACACAACACAAGGAAGTTACTGAGAATTCTTCTGTCTAGCAGAATAGGAAGAAATCCCGTTTCCAACGAAGGCCACAAGATGTCTGAATATCCACTTACAGACTTTACAAACAGAGTGTTTCCTAACTGCTCTATGAACAGAAATGTTAAACTCTGTGAGTTGAACGAACACATCACAACGCAGTTTGTGGGAATGATTCTGTCTAGTTTTGAAACGAAGATATTTCCTTTTCTGCCATTGACCTTAAAGCGCTTGAAATCTCCACTTGCCAATTGCACAAATAGAGTGTTTCAAATCTGCTCTGTCTAAGGGAACGTTCAACTCTGTGAGTTGAATGCACACAACACAAGGAAGTTACTGGGAATTCTTCTGTCTAGCCTTACATGAAAAATACCCGTTTCCAACGAAGGCCTCTAAGTGGTCAAAATATCCACGTGCAGACTTAACAAACAGAGTGTTTCCAAACCGCTGAATGAAAAGAAAAGTTAAACTCTGAGAGTTGAACGCACACATCACAAAGGAGATTCTGAGAATCATTCTGTCTAGTTTTGAAACGAAGATATTTCCTTTTCTGCCTTTGGCCTCAAAGCGCTTGAAATCTCCACTTGCAAATTCCACAAAAAGAGTGTTTCAAATCTGCTCTGTGTAACTGAAAGTTCAACTCTGTGAGTTGAACACACACAACACAAGGAAGTTACTGGGAATTCTTCTGTCTAGCCTTATATGAAAAAACCCCGTTTCCAACGAAGGCCTCAAAGAGGTCTGAATATCCACTTGCAGACTTTACAAACAGAGTGTTTCCTAACTGCTCTATGAAAAGAAAGGTTAAACTCTGTGAGTTGAACGCACACATCACAAACGAGTTTCTGAGAATCATTCTGTCTAGTTTTTATACGAAGATATTTCCTTTTCTACCTATGACTTCAAAGCGGCTGAAATCTCCACTTGCAAATTCCACAAAAAGAGTGTTACAAGTCTGGTCTGTGTAAAGGATCGTTCAACTCTGTGAGTTGAATACACACAACACAAGGAAGTTACTGAGAATTCTTCTGTCTAGCAGAATATAAAGAAATCCCGTTTCCAACGAAGGCCACAAGCTGTCAGAATATCTACTTACAGAATTTTCAAACAGACTGTTTCCTAACTGCTCTATGAAAAGAAAGGTTAAACTCTGTGAGTTGAACGAACACATCACAACGCAGTTTGTGGGAATGATTCTGTCTAGTTTTGAAACGAAGATATTTCCTTTTCTGCCATTGACCTTAAAGCGCTTGAAATCTCCACTTGCCAATTGCACAAAAAGAGTGTTTCAAATCTGCTCTGTCTAAGGGAACGTTCAACCCTGTGAGTTGAATGTACACAACACAAGGAAGTTACTGGGAATTCTTCTGTCTAGCCTTACAAGAAAAAAACCCGTTTCCAACGAAGGCCTCTAAATGGTCAAAATATCCACGTGCAGACTTTACAAACAGAGTGTTTCCAAACTGCTGAATGAAAAGAAAAGTTAAACTCTGAGAGTTGAACGCACACATCGCAGAGCAGTTTCTGAGAATGATTCTGTCTAGTTTTTATACGAAGATATTTCCTTTTCTGCCTTTGGCCCCAAAGCGCTTGAAATCTCCACTTGCAAATTCCACAAAAACACTGTTTCAAATCTGCTCTCTCTAAATGAAAGTTCAACTCTGTCACTTGAATACACACAACACAAGGAAGTTACTGAGAATTCTTCTGTCTAGCATAATATGAAGAAATGCCGTTTCCAACGAAGGCCTCAAAGGGGTCTGAATATCCACTTGCAGACTTTATAAACAGAGTGTTTACTAACTGCTCTATGAAAAGAAAGGTTAAACTCTGTGAGTTGAACACACACATCACAAAGGAGTTTCTGAGAATCATTCTGTCTAATTTCTATAGGAAGATATTTCCTATTCTACCATTGACCTCAAAGCGGCTGAAATCTCCACTTGCAAATTCCACAAAAAGAATGTTTCAAGTCTGCTCAGTGTAAAGGATCGTTCAACTCTGTGAGTTGAATACACACAACACAAGGAAGTTACTGAGAATTCTTCTGTCTAGCAGAATATGAAGAAATCCCGTTTCCAACGAAGACCACAAGATGTCAGAATATCCACTTACAGAATTGACAAACAGACTGTTTCCTAACTGCTCTATGAAAAGAAAGGTTAAACTCTGTGAGTTGAACGAACACATCACAACGCAGTTTGTGGGAATGATTCTGTCTAGTTTTGAAACGAAGGTATTTTCTTTTCTGCCATTGACATTAAAGCGCTTGAAATCTCCAATTCCAAATTGCACAAAAGGAGTTTTTCAAATCTGCTCTGTCTAAGGGAACGTTCAACTCTGTGAGTTGAATGCACACAACACACGGGAAGTTACTGGGAATTTTTCTGTCTAGCCTTGCAGGAAAAAAACCCGTTTCCAACGAAGGCCTCTAAGTGGTCAAAATATCCACGTGCAGACTTTACAAACAGAGTGTTTCCAAACTGCTGAATGAAAAGAAAAGTTAAACTCTGAGAGTTGAACGCACACATCGCAGAGCAGTTTCTGAGAATGATTCTGTCTAGTTTTTATACGAAGATATTTCCTTTTCTGCCTTTGGCGTCAAAGCGCTTGAAATCTCCATTTGCAAATTCCACAAAAAGAGTGTTTCAAATCTGCTCTGTGTAAATGAAAGTTCAACTCTGTGAGTTGAACACACACAACACAAGGAAGTTACTGGGAATTCTTCTGTCTAGCAGAATATGAAGAAATCCCGTTTCCAACGAAGGCCTCAAAGAGGTCTGAATATCCACTTGCAGACTTTACAAACAGAGTGTTTCCTAACTGCTCTATGAGAAGAAAAGTTAAACTCTGTGAGTTGAACGCACACATCACAAAAGATTTTGTGAGAATCATTCTGTCTAGTTTCTATAGGAAGATATTTCCTATTCTACCATTGAACTCAAAGCGGCTGAAATCTCCACTTGCAAATTCCACAAAAAGAGTGTTTCAAGTCTGCTCTGTGTAAAGGATCGTTCAACTCTGTGAGTTGAACACACACAACACAAGGAAGTTACTGAGAATTCTTCTGTGTAGCAGAATATGAAGAAATCCCGTTTCCAACGAAGGCCACAAGATGTCAGAATATCCACTTACAGAATTTACCAACAGAGTGTTTCCTAACTGCTCTATGAAAAGAAAGGTTAAACTCTGTGAGTTGAACGAACACATCACAATGCAGTTTGTGGGAATGATTCTGTCTAGTTTTTATAGGAAGACATTTCCTTTTCTACCTTTGACTTCAAAGCGGCTGAAATCTCCACTTGCAAATTCCACAAAAAGAGTGTTACAAGTCTGCTCTGTGTAAAGGATCGTTCAACTCTGTGAGTTGAATACACACAACACAAGGAAGTTACTGAGAATTCTTCTGTCTAGCCTTACATGAAAAAAACCCGTTTCCAACGAAGGCCTCTAAGTGGTCAAATTATCCACGTGCAGACTTTACAAACAGAGTGTTTCCAAACTGCTGAATGAAAAGAAAAGTTAAACTCTGAGAGTTGAACGCACACATTGCAGAGCAGTTTCTGAGAATGATTCTGTCTAGTTTTTATACGAAGATATTTCCTTTTCTGCCTTTGGCCTCAAAGCGCTTGAAATCTCCATTTGCAAATTCCACAAAAAGAGTGTTTCAAATCTGCTCTGTGTAAATGAAAGTTCAACTCTGTGAGTTGAACACACACAACACAAAGAAGTTACTGGGAATTCTTCTGTCTAGCCTTATATGAAAAAACCCGTTTCCAACGAAGGCCTCAAAGAGGTCTGAATATCCACTTGCAGACTTTACAAACAGAGTGTTTCCTAACTGCTCTATGAAAAGAAAGGTTAAACTCTGTGAGTTGAACGCACACATCACAAAGGAGTTTCTGAGAATCATTCTGTCTAGTTTCTATAGGAAGATATTTCCTATTCTACCGTTGACCTCAAAGCTGCTGAAATCTCCACTTGCAAATTCCACAAAAAGAGTGTTTCAAGTCTGCTCTCTGTAAAGGATCGTACAACTCTGTGAGTTGAATACACACAACACAAGGAAGTTACTGAGAATTATTCTGTCTAGCAGAATATGAAGAAATCCCGTTTCCACCGAAGGCCTCAAGGAGGTCTGAATATCCACTTGCAGACTTTACAAACAGAGTGTTTCCTAACTGCTCTATGAACAGAAAGGTTAAACTCTGTGTGTTGAACGCACACATCACAAAGGAGTTTATGAGAATCATTCTGTCTAGTTTTGAAACGAAGATATTTCCTTTTCTGCCATTGACCTTAAAGCGCTTGAGATCTACACTTGCAAATTGCACAAATAGAGTGTTTCAAATCTGCTCTGTCTAAGGGAACGTTCAACTCTGTGAGTTGAATGCACACAACACAAGGAAGTTACTGGGAATTCTTCTGTCTAGCCTTACATGCAAAAAACCCGTTTCCAACGAAGGCCTCTAAGTGGTCAAAATATCCACGTGCAGACTTTACAAACAGAGTGTTTCCAAACCGCTGAATGAAAAGAAAAGTTAAACTCTAAGAGTTGAACGCACACATCACGCAGCAGTTTCTGAGAATGATTCTGTCTAGTTTTTATACGAAGATATTTCCTTTTCTGCCTTTGGCCCCAAAGCGCTTGAAATCTCCACTTGCAAATTCCACAAAAACAGTGTTTCAAATCAGCTCTCTCTAAATGAAAGTTCAACTCTGTCAGTTGAATACACACAACACAAGGAAGTTACTGAGAATTCTTCTGTCTAGCCTTCTATGAAAAAAACCCGTTTCCAACGAAGGCCTCAAAGAGGTCTGAATATCCACTTGCAGACTTTACAAACAGAGTGTTTCCTAACTGCTCTATGAAAAGAAAGGTTAAACTCTGTGAGTTGAACGCACGCATCACAAAGGAGTTTCTGAGAATCATTCTGTCTAGTTTTTATAGGAAGATATTTCCTTTTCTACCTTTGATTTCAAAGCGGCTGAAATCTCCACTTGCAAATTCCACAAAAAGAGTGTTACAAGTCTGCTCTGTGTAAAGGATCGTTCAACTCTGTGAGTTGAATACACACAACACAAGGAAGTTAATGAGAATTCTTCTGTCTAGCAGAATATGAAGAAAATCCTCGTTTCCAACGAAGGCCACAAGATGTCAGAATATCCACTTACAGACTTTACAAACAGAGTGTTTCCTAACTGCTCTATGAAAAGAAAAGTTAAACTCTGTGAGTTGAACGAACACATCACAACGCAGTTTGTGGGAATGATTCTGTCTAGTTTTGAAATGAAGATATTTCCTTTTCTGGCGTTGACCTTAAAGCGCTTGAAATCTACACTTGCAAATTGCACAAATAGAGTGTTTCAAATCTGCTCTGTCTAAGGGAACGTTCAACTCTGTGAGTTGAATGCGCACAACACAAGGAAGTTACTGGGAATTCTTCTGTCTAGCCTTACATGAAAAAAACCCGTTTCCAACGAAGACCTCTAAGTGGTCAAATTATCCACGTGCAGACTTTACAAACAGAGTGTTTCCAAACTGCTGAATGAAAAGAAAAGTTAAACTGCTGAGAGTTGAACGCACACATCGCAGAGCAGTTTCTGAGAATGATTTCTGTCCAGTTTTTATAGGAAGTTATTTCCTTTTCTACCTTTGACTTCAAAGCGGCTGAAATCTCCACTTGCAAATTCCACAAAAAGAGTTTTACAAGTCTGCTCTGTGTAAAGGATCGTTCAACTCTGTGAGTTGAATACACACAACACAAGGAAAGTTACTGAGAATTCTTCTGTCTAGCCTTATATGAAAAAAAACCGTTTCCAACGAAGGCCTCTAAGAGGTCTGAATATCCACTTGCAGACTTTACAAACAGAGTGTTTCCTAACTGCTCTATGAAAAGAAAGGTTAAACTCTGTGAGTTGAACGCACACATCACAAAGGAGTTTCTGAGAATCATTCTGTCTAGTTTTTATAGGAACATATTTCCTTTTCTACCTTTGACTTCAAAGCGGCTGAAATCTCCACTTGCAAATTCCACAAAAAGAGTGTTACAAGTCTGCTCTGTGTAAAGGATCGTTCAACTCTGTGAGTTGAATACACACAACACGCGGAAGTTACTGAGAATTCTTCTGTCTAGCAGAATATGAAGAAATCCCGTTTCCAACGAAGGCCACTAGATGTCAGAATATCCACTTACAGACTTTACAAACAGAGTGTTTCCTAACTGCTCTATGAACAGAAAGGTTAAACTCTGTGAGTTGAACGAACACATCACAACGCAGTTTGTGGGAATGATTCTGTCTAGTTTTGAAACGAAGATATTTCCTTTTCTGCCATTGACCTTAAAGCGCTTGAAATCTACACTTGCAAATTGCACAAATACAGTGTTTCAAATCTGCTCTGTCTAAGGGAACGTTCAACTCTGTGAGTTGAATGCAAACAACACAAGGAAGTTACTGGGAATTCTTCTGTCTAGCCTTACATGAAAAAAACCCGTTTCCAACGAAGGCCTCTAAGTGTTCAAAATATGCACGTGCAGACTTTACAAACAGAGAGTTTCCAAACTGCTGAATGAAAAGAAAAGTTAAACTCTGAGAGTTGAACGCACACATCACAGAGCAGTTTCTGAGAATGATTCTGTCTAGTTTTGAAACGAAGATATTTCCTTTTCTGCCTTTGGCCTCAAAGCGCTTGAAATCTCCACTTGCAACTTCCACAAAAAGAGTGTTTCAAATCTGCTCTGTGTAAATGAAAGTTCAACTCTGTGAGTTGAACACACACAACACAAGGAAGCTACTGGGAATTCTTCTGTCTAGCCTTATATGAAAAAAACCCGTTTCCAACGAAGGCCTCAAAGAGGTCTCAATATCCACTTGCAGACTTTACAAACAGAGTGTTTCCTAACTACTCTATGAAAAGAAAGGTTAAACTCTGTGAGTTGAACGTACACATCACAAAGGAGTTTCTGAGAATCATTCTGTCTAGTTTTTATAGGAAGATATTTCCTTTTCTACCTTTGACTTCAAAGCGGCTGAAATCTCCACTTGGAAATTCCACAAAAAGAGTGTTACAAGTCTGCTCTGTGTAAAGGATCGTTCAACTCTGTGAGTTGAATACACACAACACAAGGAAAGTTACTGAGAATTCTTCTGTCTAGCAGAATATGAAGAAATCCCGTTTCAAACGAAGGCCACAAGATGTCAGAATATCCACTTACAGAATTTACAAACAGAGTGTTTCCTAACTGCTCTATGAAAAGAAAGGTTAAACTCTGTGAGTTGAACGAACACATCACAACGCAGTTTGTGGGAATGATTCTGTCTAGTTTTGAAACGCAGATATTTCCTTTTCTGCCATTGACCTTAAAGCGCTTGAAATCTCCACTTGCCAATTGCACAAAAAGAGTATTTCAAATCTGCTCTGTCTAAGGGAACGTTCAACTCTGTGAGTTGAATGTACACAACACAAGGAAGTTACTGGGAATTCTTCTGTCTAGCCTTACAGGAAAAAAACCCGTTTCCAACGAAGGCCTCTAAGTGGTCAAATTATCCACGTGCAGACTTTACAAACAGATTGTTTCCAAACTGCTGAATGAAAAGAAAAGTTAAACTCTGAGAGTTGAACGCACACATCGCAGAGCAGTTTCTGAGAATGATTCTGTCTAGTTTTTATACGAAGATATTTCCTTTTCTGCCTTTGGCCTCAAAGCGCTTGAAATCTCCACTTGCAAATTCCACAAAAAGAGTGTTTCAAATCTGCTCTGTGTAAATGAAAGTTCAACTCTGTGAGTTGAATACACACAACACAAGGAAGTTACTGGGAATTCTTCTGTCTAGCATAATATGAAGAAATTCCGTTTCCAACGAAGGCCTCAAAGAGGTCTGAATATCCACTTGCAGACTTTACAAACAGAGTGTTTCCTAACTGCTCTATGAAAAGAAAAGTTAAACTCTGTGTGTTGAACGCACACATCACAAAGGAGTTTCTGAGAATCATTCTGTCTAGTTTTTATAGGAAGATATTTCCTTTTCTACCTTTGACTTCAAAGCGGCTGAAATCTCCACTTGCAAATTCCACAAAAAGAGTGTTACAAGTCCGCTCTGTGTAAAGGATCGTTCAACTCTGTGAGTTGAATACACACAACACAAGGAAGTTACTGAGAATTCTTCTGTCTTGGAGTATATGAAGAAATGCCATTTCCAACCAAGGCCACAAAATGTCAGAATATCCACTTACAGACTTTACAAACAGAGTGTTTCCTAACTGCTCTATGAACAGAAAGGTTAAACTCTGTGAGTTGAACGAACACATCACAACGCAGTTTGTGGGATTGATTCTGTCTAGTTTTGAAACGAAGATATTTCCTTTTCTGCCATTGAACTTAAAGCGCTTGAAATCTCCATTTGCCAATTGCACAAAAAGAGTGTTTCAAATCTGCTCTGTCTAAGGGAACGTTCAACTCTGTGAGTTGAATGTACACAACACAAGGAAGTTCCTGGGAATTCTTCTGTCTAGCCTTACAGGAAAAAAACCCGTTTCCAACGAAGGCCTCTAAGTGGTCAAAATATCCACGTGCAGACTTTACAAACAGAGTGTTTCCAAACTGCTGAATGAAAAGAAAAGTTAAACTCTGAGAGTTGAGCGCACACATCGCAGAGCAGTTTCTGAGAATGATTTTGTCTAGTTTTTATACGAAGATATTTCCTTTTCTGCCTTTGGCCCCAAAGCGCTTGAAATCTCCACTTGCAAATTCCACAAAAACAGTGTTACAAATCTGCTCTCTCTAAATGAAAGTTCAACTCTGTCAGTTGAAAACACACAACACAAGGAAGTTACTGAGAATTCTTCTTTCTAGCAGAACATGAAGAAATCCCGCTTCCAACGAAGGCCTCAAAGAAGTCTGAATATCCACTTGCACACTTTACAAACAGAGTGTTTCCCAACTGCTCTATGAAAAGAAAGGTTGAACTCTGTGAGTTGAACGCACACATCACAAAGGAGTTTCTGAGAATCATTCTGTCTAGTTTCTACAGGAAGATATTTCCTATTCTACCATTGAACTCAAAGCGGCTGAAATCTCCACTTGCAAATTCCACAAAAAGAGTGTTTCAAGTCTGCTCTGTGTAAAGGATCGTTCAACTCTGTGAGTTGAATACACACAACACAAGGAAGTTACTGAGAATTCTTCTGTCTAGCAGAATATGAAGAAATTCCGTTTCCAACGAAGGCCACAAGATGTCAGAATATCCACTTACAGACTTTACAAACAGAGTGTTTCCTAACTGCTCTATGAACAGAAAGGTTAAACTCTGTGAGTTGAACGAGCACTTCACAACGCAGTTTGTGGGAATGATTCTGTCTAGTTTTGAAACGAAGATATTTCCTTTTCTGCCATTGACCTTAAAGCGCTTGAAATCTACACTTGCAAATTGCACAAATAGAGTGTTTGAAATCTGCTCTGTCTAAGGGAACGTTCATCTCTGTGAGTTGAATGCACACAACACAAGGAAGTTACTGGGAATTCTTCTGTCTAGCCTTACATGAAAAAAACCCGTTTCCAAAGAAGACCTCTAAGTGGTCAAAATGTCCACGTGCAGACTTTACAAACAGAGTGTTTCCAAACCGGTGAATGAAAAGAAAAGTTAAACTCTGAGAGTTGAACGCACACATCACGCAGCAGTTTCTGAGAATGATTCTGTCTAGTTTTTATACGAAGATATTTCGTTTTCTGCCTTTGGCCCCAAAGCGCTTGAAATCTCCACTTGCAAATTCCACAAAAACAGTGTTTCAAATCTGCTCTCTCTAAATGAATGTTCAACTCTGTCAGTTGAATAAGCACAACACAAGGAAGTTACTGAGAATTCTTCTGTCTAGCATAGTATGAAGAAATCCCGTTTCCAACGAAGGCCTCAAAGAGGTCTGAATATCCACTTGCAGAGTTTACAAACAGAGTGTTTCCTAACTGCCCTATGAAAAGAAAGGTTAAACTCTGTGAGTTGAACGCACACATCACAAAGAAGTTTCTGAGAATCATTCTGTCTAGTGTTTCTACGAAGATATTTCCTTTTCTACTATTGACCTCAAAGCGGCTGAAATCTCCACTTGCAAATTCCACAAAAAGAGTGTTTCAAGTCTGCTCTGTGTAAAGGATCGTTCAACTCTGAGAGTTGAATACACACAACACAAGGAAGTTACTGAGAATTCTTCTGTCTAGCAGAATATGAAGTAATCCCGTTTCCAGCGAGGCCACAAGATGTCAGAATATCCACTTACAGAATTTACAAACAGACTGTTTCCTAACTGCTCTATGAAAAGAAAGGTTAAACTCTGTGAGTTGAACAAACGCATCACAACGCAGTTTGTGGGAATGATTCTGTCTAGTTTTGAAACGAAGATATTTCCTTTTCTGCCGTTGACCTTAAAGCGGTTGAAATCTACACTTGCAAATTGCACAAATAGAGTGTTTCAATTCTGCTCTGTCTAAGGAAACGTTCAACTCTGTGACTTGAATGCACACAACACAAGGAAGTTACTGGGAATTCTTCTGTCTAGCCTTACATGAAAAAAACCCGTTTCAAATGAAGGCCTCTAAGAGGTCAAATTATCCACGTGCAGACTTTACAAACAGAGTGTTTCCAAACTGCTGAATGAAAAGAAAAGTTAAACTCTGAGAGTTGAACGCACACATCGCAGAGCAGTTTCTGAGAATGATTCTGTCTAGTTTTTATACGAAGATATTTCCTTTTCTGCCTTTGGCACCAAAGCGCTTGAAATCTCCATTTGCAAATTCCACAAAAACAGTGTTTCAAATCTGCTCTCTCTAAATGAAAGTTCAACTCTGTCAGTTGAATACACACAACACAAGGAAGTTACTGAGAATTCTTCTGTCTAGCATAATATGAAGAAATCCCGTTTCCAACGAAGGCCTCAAAGGGGTCTGAATATCCACTTGCAGACTTTATAAACAGAGTGTTTACTAACTGCTCTATGAAAAGATAGGTTAAACTCTGTGAGTTGAACACACACATCACAAAGGAGTTTCTGAGAATCATTCTGTCTAGTTTTTATACGAAGATATTTCCTTTTCTACCATTGACCTCAAAGCGGCTGAAATCTCCACTTGCAAATTACACAAAAAGAGTGTTTCAAGTCTACTCTGTGTAAAGCATCGTTCAACTCCGTGAGTTGAAAACACACAACACAAGGAAGTTTCTGAGAATTCTTCTGTCTAGCAGAATATGAAGAAATCCCGTTTCCAACGAAGGCCTCAAAGACGTCTGAATATCCACTTGCAGACTTTACAAACAGAGTGTTTCCTAACGGCTCTATGAAAAGAAAGGTTAAACTCTGTGAGCTGAACGCACACAGCACAAAGGAGTTTCTGAGAATCATTCTGTCTAGTTTCTATAGGAAGATATTTCCTATTCTACCATTGACCTCAAAGCGGCTGAAATCTCCAATTGCAAGTTCCACAAAAGGAGTGTTTCAAGCCTGCTCTGAGTAAAGGATCGTTCAACTCTGTGAGTTGAATACACACAACACAAGGAAGTTACTGAGAATTCTTCTGTCTAGCCTTACATGAAAAAAACCCGTTTCCAACGAAGGCCTCTAAGTGGTCAAAATATCCACGTGCAGACTTTACAAACAGAGTGTTTCCAAACGGCTGAATGAAAAGAAAAGTTAAAGTCTGAGAGTTGAACGCACACATCACGCAGCAGTTTTTGAGAATGATTCTGTCTAGTTTTTCTACGAAGATATTTCCTTTTCTACTATTGACCTCAAAGAGGCTGAAATCTCCACTTGCAAATTCCACAAAAAGAGTGTTTCAAGTCTGCTCTGTGTAAAGGATCGTTCAACTCTGTGAGTTGAATACACACAACACAAGGAAGTTACTGAGAATTCTTCTGTCTAGCAGAATATGAAGAAATCCCGTTTCCAACGAAGGCCTCAAAGAGGTCTGAATATCCACTTGCAGACTTTACAAACAGAGTGTTTCCTAACTCCTCTATGAAAAGAAAAGTTAAACTCTGTGAGTTGAACGCACACATCACAAAGGAGTTTATGAGAATCATTCTGTCTAGTTTTTAGACGAAGATATTTCCTTTTCTACCATGGACCTCAAAGCGGCTGAAATCTCCACTTGCAAATTCCACAAAAAGAGTGTTTCAAGTCTGCTCTGTGTAAAGGATCGTTCAACTCTGTGAGTTGAATACACACAACACAAGGAAGATTCTGAGAATTCTTCTGTCTAGCAGAATATGAAGAAATCCCGTTTCCAACGAAGGCCACAAGATGTCAGAATATCCACTTACAGACTTTACAAACAGAGTGTTTCCTAACTGCTCTATGAACAGAAAGGTTAAACTCTGTGAGTTGAACGCACACATCACAAAGGAGTTTATGAGAATCATTCTGTCTAGTTTTTATACGAAGATATTTCCTTTTCTACCATTGACCTCAAAGCGGCTGAAATCACCACTTGCCAATTGCACAAAAAGAGTGTTTCAAATCTGCTCTGTCTAAGGGAACGTTCAACTCTGTGAGTTGAATGTACACAACACAAGGAAGTTACTGGGAATTCTTCTGTCTAGCCTTACATGAAAAAAAACCCGTTTCCAACGAAGGCCTCTAAGTGGTCAAATTATCCACGTGCAGACTTTACAAACAGAGTGTTTCCAAACTGCTGAATGAAAAGAAAAGTTAAACTCGGAGAGTTGAACGCACACATCGCAGAGCAGTTTCTGAGAATGATTCTGTCTAGTTTTTATACGAAGATATTTCCTTTTCTGCCTTTGGCCTCAAAGCGCTTGAAATCTCCATTTGCAAATTCCACAAAAAGAGTGTTTCAAATCTGCTCTGTGTAAATGAAAGTTCAACTCTGTGAGTTGAATACACACAACACAAGGAAGTTACTGGGAATTCTTCTGTCTAGCATAATATGAAGAAATCCCGTTTCCAACGACGGCCTCAAAGAGGTCTGAATATCCACTTGCAGACTTTACAAACAGAGTGTTCCCTAACTGCTCTATGAAAAGAAAGGTTAAACTCTGTGTGTTGAACGCACACATCACAAAGGAGTTTCTGAGAATCATTCTGTCTAGTTTCTATAGGAAGATATTTCCTATTCTACCTTTGACCTCAAAGCGGCTGAAATCTCCACTTGCAAATTCCAGAAAAAGAGTGTTTCAACTCTGCTCTGTGTAAGAGATCGTTCAACTCTGTGAGTTGAATACACACAACACAAGGAAGTTACTGAGAATTCTTGTGTATAGCATAATATGAAGAAATCCCGTTTCCAAAGAAGGCCTCAAAGAGGTCTGAATATCCACTTGCAGACTTTGCAAACAGAGTGTTTCCTAACTGCTCTATGAAAAGAAAGGTTAAACTCTGTGAGTTGAACGCACACATCACAAAGGAGTTTCTGAGAATCATTCTGTCTAGTTTTGAAACGAAGATATTTCCTTTTCTGCCATTGACCTTAAGCGCTTGAAATCTCCACTTGCCAATTGCACAAAAAGAGTGTTTCAAATCTGCTCTGTCCAAGGGAACGTTCAACTCTGTAAGTTGAATGTACACAACACAAGGAAGTTACTGGGAATTATTCTGTCTAACCTTACATGACAAAAACCCGCTTCCAACGAAGGCCTCTAAGTGGTCAAAATATACACGTGCAGACTTTACAAACAGAGTGTTTCCAAACTGCTGAATGAAAAGAAAAGTTAAACTCTGAGCGCTGAAGGCACACATCGCAGAGCAGTTTCTGAGAATGATTCTGTCTAGTTTTTATACGAAGATATTTCCTTTTCTGCCTTTGGCCCCAAAGCGCTTGAAATCTCCACTTGCAAATTCCACAAAAAGAGTGTTTCAAATCTGCTCTCTCTAAATGAAAGTTCAACTCTGTCAGTTGAATACACACAACACAAGGAAGTTACTGAGAATTCTTCTGTCTAGCATAGTATGATGAAATCCCGTTTCCAACGAAGGCCTCAAAGAGGACTGAATATCCACTTGCAGAGATTACAAGCAGAGTGTTTCCTAACTGCTCTATGAAAAGAAAAGTTAAACTCTGTGAGTTGAACGCACACATCACAAAGAAGTTTCTGAGAATCATTCTGTCTAGTTTCTATAGGAAAATATTTCCTATTCTACCATTGACCTCAAAGCGGCTGAAATCTCCACTTGCAAATTCCACAGAAAGAATGTTTCAAGTCTGCTCTGTGTAAAGGATCGTTCAACTCTGTGAGTTGAATACACACAACACAAGGAAGTTACTGAGAATTCTTCTGTCTAGCATAATATGAAGAAATCCCGTTTCCAACGAAGGCCTCAAAGAGGTCTGAATATCCACTTGCAGACTTTACAAACAGAGTGTTTCCTAACGGCTCTATGAAAAGAAAAGTTAAACTCTGTGAGTTGAACGCACACATCACAAAGGAGTTTCTGAGAATGATTCTGTCTAGTTTTGAAACGAAGATATTTCCTTTTCTGCCGTTGACCTTAAACCGCTTGAAATCTACACTTGGAGATTGCACAAATAGAGTGTTTCAAATCTGCTCTGTCTAAGGGAACGTTCAACTCTGTGACTTGAATGCACACAACACAAGGAAGTTACTGGGAATTCTTCTGTCTAGCCTTAAATGAAAAAAACCCGTTTCCAACGAAGGCCTCTAAGTGGTCAAAATATCCACGTGCAGACTTTACAAACAGAGTGTTTCCAAACTGCTGAATGAAAAGAAAAGTTAAACTCTGAGAGTTGAACGCACACATCGCAGAGCAGTTTCTGAGAATGATTCTGTCTAGTTTTTATACGAAGATATTTCCTTTTCTGCCTTTGGCCTCAAAGCGCTTGAAATCTCCACTTGCAAATTCCACAAAAAGAGTGTTACAAGTCTGCTCTGTGTAAAGGATCGTTCAACTCTGTGAGTTGAATACACACAACACAAGGAAGTTACTGAGAATTCTTCTGTCTAGCCTTATATGAAAAAAACCCGTTTCCAACGAAGGCCTCAAAGAGGTCTGAATATCCACTTGCAGACTTTCCAAACAGAGTGTTTCCTAACTGCTCTATGAAAAGAAAGGTTAAACTCTGTGAGTTGAACGCACACATCACAAAGGAGTTTCTGAGAATCATTCTGTGTAGTTTCTATAGGAAGATATTTCCTATTCTACCATTGAACTCAAAGCGGCTGAAATCTCCACTTGCAAATTCCACAAAAAGAGTGATTCAAGTCTGCTCTGTGTAAAGGATCGTTCAACTCTGTGAGTTGAATACACACAACACAAGGAAGTTACTGAGAATTCTTCTGTCTAGCAGAATATGAAGAAATCCCGTTTCCAACGAAGGCCACAAGATGTCAGAATATCCACTCACAGACTTTACAAACAGAGTGTTTCCTAACTGCTCTATGAACAGAAAGGTTAAACTCTGTGAGTTGAACGAACACATCACAACGCAGTTTGTGGGAATGATTCTGTCTAGTTTTGAAACGAAGATATTTCCTTTTCTGCCGTTGACCTTAAAGCGCTTGAAATCTACACTTGCAAATTGCACAAATAGAGTGTTTCAAATCTGCTCTGTCTAAGGGAACGGTTCAACTCTGTGAGTTGAATGCACACAACACAAGGAAGTTACTGGGAATTCTTCTGTCTAGCCTTACATGAAAAAAACCCGTTTCCAACGAAGGCCTCTAAGTGTTCAAAATATCCACGTGCAGACTTTACAAACAGAGTGTTTCCAAACTGCTAAATGAAAAGAAAAGTTAAACTCTGAGAGTTGAACGCACACATCACAGAGCGGTTTCTGAGAATGATTCTGTCTAGTTTTTATACGAAGATATTTCCTTTTCTGCCTTTGGCCTCAAAGCGCTTGAAATCTCCACTTGCAAATTCCACAAAAAGAGTGTTTCAAATCTGCTCTGTGTAAATGAAAGTTCAACTCTGTGAGTTGAACACACACAACAGAAGGAAGTTACTGGGAATTCTTCTGTCTAGCAGAATTTGAAGAAATCCCGCTTCCAACGAAGGCCTCAAAGAAGTCTGAATATCCACTTGCAGACTTTACGAACAGAGTGTTTCCCAACTGCTCTATGAAAAGAAAGGTTGAACTCTGTGAGTTGAACGCACACATCACAAAGGAGTTTCTGAGAATCATTCTGTCTAGTTTCTATAGGAAGATATTTCCTATTCTACCATTGAACTCAAAGCGGCTGAAATCTCCACTTGCAAATTTCACAAAAAGAGTGTTTCAAGTCTGCTCTGTGTAAAGAATCGTTCAACTCTGTGAGTTGAATACACACAACACAAGGAAGTTACTGAGAATTCTTCTGTCTAGCAGAATATGAAGAAATCCCGTTTCCAACGAAGGCCACAAGATGTCAGAATATCCACTTACAGACTTTACAAACAGAGTGTTTCCTAACTGCTCTATGAACAGAAAGGTTAAACTCTGTGAGTTGAACGAACACATCACAACGCAGTTTTTGGGAATGATTCTGTCTAGTTTTGAAACGAAGATATTTCCTTTTCTGCCACTGACCTTAAAGCGCTTGAAATCTCCACTTGCCAATTGCACAAAAAGAGTGTTTCAAATCTGCTCTGTCTAAGGGAACGTTCAACTCTGTGAGCTGAATGTAAGCAACAGAAGGAAGTTACTGGGAATTCTTCTGTCTAGCCTTACATGAAAAAAACCCGTTTCCAACGAAGGCCTCTAAGTGGTCAAAATATCCACGTGCAGACTTTACAAACAGAGTGTCTCCAAACCGCTGAATGAAAAGAAAAGTTAAACTCTGAGAGTTGAACGCACACATCACGCAGCAGTTTCTGAGAATGATTCTGTCTAGTTTATATACGAAGATATTTCGTTTTCTGCCTTTGGCCCCAAAGCGCTTGAAATCTCCACTTGCAAATTCCACAAAAACAGTGTTTCAAATCTGCTCTCTCTAAATGAAAGTTCAACTCTGTCAGTTGAATACACACAACACAAGGAAGTTACTGAGAATTCTTCTGTCTAGCAGAATATGAAGAAATCCCGTTTCCAACGAAGGCCTCAAAGAGGTCTGAATATCCACTTGCAGACTTTATAAACAGAGTGTTTCCTAACTGCTCTATGAAAAGAAAGGTTAAACTCTGTGAGTTGAACGCACACATCACAAAGGAGTTTCTGAGAATCATTCTGTCTAATCTTTATACGTAGATATTTCCTTTTCTACCATTGACCTCAAAGCGGCTGAAATCTCCACTTGCAAATTCCACAAAAAGAGTGTTTCAAGTCTGCTCTGTGTAAAGGATCATTCCACTCTGTGATTTGAATACACACAACACAAGGAAGTTACTGAGAATTCTTCTGTCTAGCAGAATATGAAGAAATCCCGTTTCCAACGAAGGCCACAAGATGTCAGAATATCCACTTACAGACTTTACAAACAGAGTGTTTCCTAACTGCTCTATGAACAGAAAGGTTAAACTCTGTGAGTTGAACGAAAACATCACAACGCAGTTTGTGGGAATGATTCTGTCTAGTTTTGAAACGAAGAAATTTCCTTTTCTGCCATTGACCTTAAAGCGCTTGAAATCTACACTACAAATTGCACAAATAGAGTGTTTCAAATCTGCTCTGTCTAAGGGAACGTTCAACTCTGTGAGTTGAATGCACACAACACAAGGAAGTTACTGGGAATTCTTCTGTCTAGCCTTACAGGAAAAAAACCCGTTTCCAACGAAGGCCTCTAAGTGGTCAAAATATCCACGTGCAGACTTTACAAACAGAGTGTTTCCAAACGGCTGAATGAAAAGAAAAGTTAAAGTCTGAGAGTTGAACGCACACATCACGCAGCAGTTTCTGAGAATGATTCTGTCTAGTTTTTATACGAAGATATTTCCTTTTCTGCCTTTGGCCGCAAAGCGCTTGAAATCTCCACTTGCAAATTCCACAAAAACAGTGTTTCAAATCTGCTCTCTCTAAATGAAAGTTCAACTCTGTCAGTTGAATACACACAACACAAGGAAGTTACTGAGAATTCTTCTGTCTAGCAGAATAGGAAGAAATCCCGTTTCCAACGAAGGCCTCAAGGAGGTCTGAATATCCACTTGCAGACTTTACAAACAGAGTGTTTCCTAACTGCTCTATGAACAGAAAGGTTAAACTCTGTGAGTTTAACGCACACATCACAAAGGAGTTTCTGAGAATCATTCTGTCTAGTTTCTATAGGAAGATATTTCCTATTCTATCATTGACCTCAAAGCGGCTGAAATCTCCACTTGCGAATTCCACAAAAAGAGTGTTTCAAGTCTGCTCTCTGTAAAGGATCGTTCAACTCTGTGAGTTGAATACACACAACACAAGGAAGTTACTGAGAATTCTTCTCTCTAGCAGAATATGAAGAAATCCCGTTTCCATCGAAGGCCACAAGATGTCAGAATATCCACTTACAGAATTGACAAACAGACTGTTTCCTAACTGCTCTATGAAAAGAAATGTTAAACTCTGTGAGTTGAACGAACACATCACAACGCAGTTTGTGGGAATGATTCTGTCTAGTTTTGAAACGAAGATATTTCCTTTTCTGCCATTGACTTTAAAGCGCTTGAAATCTCCACTTGCCAATTGCACAAAAAGAGTGTTTCAAATCTGCTCTGTCTAAGGGAACGTTCAACTCTGTGAGTTGAATGTACACAACACAAGGAAGTTACTGGGAATTCCTCTGTCTAGCCTTACATGAAAAAAACCCGTTTCCAACGAAGGCCTCTAAGTGGTCAAGTTATCCACGTGCAGACTTTACAAACAGAGTGTTTCCAAACTGCTGAATGAAAAGAAAAGTTAAACTTCTGAGAGTTGAACGCACACATCGCAGAGCAGTTTCTCAGCATGATTCTGTCTAGTTTTTATACGAAGATATTTCCTTTTCTGCCTTTGGCCTCAAAGCGCTTGAAATCTCCACTTGCAAATTCCACAAAAAGAGTGTTTCAAATCTGCTCTGTGTAAATGAATGTAGAACTCTGTGAGTTGAACACACACAACACAAGGAAGTTACTGGGAATTCTTCTGTCTAGCCTTATATGAAAAAACCCGTTTCCAACGAAGGCCTCAAAGAGGTCTGAATATTCACTTGCAGACTTTAGAAACAGAGTGTTTCCTAACTGCTCTATGAAAAGAAAGGTAAAACTCTGTGAGTTGAACGCACACATCACAAAGGAGTTTCTGAGAATCATTCTGTCTAGTTTTGAAACGAAGATATTTCCTTTTCTGCCTTTGGCCTCAAAGCGCTTGAAATCTCCACTTGCAAATTCCACAAAAAGAGTGTTACAAGTCTGCTCTGTGTAAAGGATCGTTCAACTCTGTGAGTTGAATACACACAACACAAGGAAGTTACTGAGAATTCTTCTGTCTAGCATAATATGAAGAAATCCCGTTTCCAACGAAGGCCTCAAAGAGGTCTGAATATCCACTTGCAGAGTTTACAAACAGAGTGATTCCTAACTGCTCTATGAACAGAAAGGTTAAACTCTGTGAGTTGAACGAACACATCACAACGCAGTTTGTGGGAATGATTCTGTCTAGTTTTGATACGAAGATATTTCCTTTTCTGCCATTGACCTTAAAGCGCTTGTAATCTCCACTTGCCAATTGCCCAAAAAGAGTGTTTCAAATCTGCTCTGTCTAAGGGAACGTTCAACTCTGTGAGTTGAATGTACACAACACAAGGAAGTTACTGGGAATTCTCCTGTCTAGCCTTACATGAAAAAAACCCGTTTCCAACGAAGGCCTCTAAGTGGTCAAAATATCCACGTGCAGACTTTACAAACAGAGTGTTTCCAAACTGCTGAATGAAAAGAAAAGTTAAACTCTGAGAGTTGAACGCACACATCACAGAGCAGTTTCTGAGAATGATTCTGTCTAGTTTTGAAACGAAGATATTTCCTTTTCTGCCTTTGGCCTCAAAGCGCTTGAAATCTCCACTTGCAAATTCCACAAAAAGAGTGCTTCAAATCTGCTCTGTGTAAATGAAAGTTCAACTCTGTGAGTTGAACACACACAACACAAGGAAAGTTACTGGGAATTCTTCTGTCTAGCCTTATATGAAAAAAACCCGTTTCCAACGAAGGCCTCAAAGAGGTCTGAATATCCACTTGCAGACTTTACAAACAGAGTGTTTCCTAACTGCTCTATGAAAAGAAAAGTTAAACTCTGTGAGTTGAACGTACACATCACAAAGGAGTTTCTGAGAATCATTCTGTCTACTTTCTATAGGAAGATATTTCCTATTCTACCATTGACCTCAAAGCGGATGAAATCTCCACTTGCAAATTCCACAAAAGGAGTGTTGCAAGTCTGCTCTGTGTAAAGGATCGTTCAACTCTGTGAGTTGAAAACACACAACACAAGGAAGTTTCTGAGAATTCTTCTGTCTAGCAGAATATGAAGAAATCCCGTTTCCAACGAAGGCCACAAGATGTCAGAATATCCACTTACAGACTTTACAAACAGAGTGTTTCCTAACTGCTCTATGAACAGAAAGGTTAAACTCTGTGAGTTGAATGAACACATCACAACGCAGTTTGTGGGAATGATTCTGTCTAGTTTTGAAACGAAGATATTTCCTTTTCTGCCATTGACCTTAAAGCGCTTGAAATCTCCATTTGCCAATTGCACAAAAAGAGTGTTTCAAATCTGCTCTGTCTAAGGGAACGTTCAACTATGTGAGTTGAATGTACACAACACAAGGAAGTTACTGGGAATTCTTCTGTCTAGCCTTACAGGAAAAAAACCCGTTTCCAACGAAGGCCTCTAAGTGGTCAAAATATCCACGTGCAGACTTTACAAACAAAGTGTTTCCAAACTGCTGAATGAAAAGAAAAGTTAAACTCTGAGAGTTGAACGCACACATCGCAGAGCAGTTTCTGAGAATGATTCTGTCTAGTTTTGAAACGAAGATATTTCCTTTTCTACCTTTGGCCTCAAACTGCTTGAAATCTCCACTTGCAAATTCCACAAAAAGAGTGTTTCAAATCTGCTCTGTGTAAATGAAAGTTCAACTCTGTGAGTTGAACACACACAACACAAGGAAGTTACTGGGAATTCTTCTGTCAAGCAGAATATGAAGAAATCCCGCTTCCAACGAAGGCCTCAAAGAAGTCTGAATATCCACTTGCAGACTTTACAAACAGAGTGTTTCCCAACTGCTCTATGAAAAGAAAGGTTGAACTCTGTGAGTTGAACGCACACATCACAAAAGAGTTTCTGAGAATCATTCTGTCTAGTTTCTATACGAAGATATTTCCTTTTCTACCATTGACCTCAACGCGGCTGAAATCTCCACTTGCAAATTCCACAAAAAGAGTGTTTCAAGTCCGCTCTGTGTAAAGGATCGTTCAACTCTGTGAGTTGAATACACACAACACAAGGAAGTTACTGAGAATTCTTCTGTCTAGCAGAATATGAAGAAATCCCGTTTCCAACGAAGGCCACAAGATGTCAGAATATCCACTTACAGAATTTACAAACAGACTGTTTCCTAACTGCTCTATGAAAAGAAAGGTTAAACTCTGTGTGTTGAACGAACACATCACAACGCAGTTTGTGGGAATGATTCTGTCTAGTTTTGAAACGAAGATATTTCCTTTTCTGCCGTTGACCTTAAAGCGCTTGAAATCTACACTTGCAAATTGGACAAATAGAGTGTTTCAAATCTGCTCTGTCTAAGGGAACGTTCAACTCTGTGAGTTGAATGCACACAACACAAGGAAGTTACTGGGAATTCTTCTGTCTAGCCTTACATGAAAAAAACCCGTTTCCAACGAAGGCCTCTAAGTGTTCAAAATATCCACGTGCAGACTTTACAAACAGAGTGTTTCCAAACTGCTGAATGAAAAGAAAAGTTAAACTCTGAGAGTTGAACGCACACATCACAGAGCAGTTTCAGAGAATGATTCTGTCTAGTTTTTATACGAAGATATTTCCTTTTCTGCCTTTGGCCCCAAAGCGCTTGAAATCTCCACTTGCAAATTCCACAAAAACAGTGTTTCAAATCTGCTCTCTCTAAATGAAAGTTCAACTCTGTCAGTTTGAATACACACAACACAAGGAAGTTACTGAGAATTCTTCTGTCTAGCAGAATATGAAGAAATCCCGTTTCCAACGAAGGCCTCAACGAGGTCTGAATATCCACTTGCAGACTTTACAAACAGAGTGTTTCCTAACTGCTCTATGAAAAGAAAGGTTAAACTCCTGTGAGTTGAACACACACATCACAAAGGAGTTTCTGAGAATCATTCTGTCTAGTTTCTATACGAAGATATTCCCTTTTCTACCATTGACCTCAAAGCGGCTGAAATCTCCACTTGCAAATTCCACAAAAAGAGTGTTTCAAGTCTGCTCTGTGTAAAGGATCGTTCAACTCTGTGAGTTGAATACACACAACACAAGGAAGTTACTGAGAATTCTTCTGTCTAGCAGAATATGAAGAAATCCCGTTTCCAACGAAGGCCACAAAGAGGTCTGAATATCCACTTGCAGACTTTACAAACAGAGTGTTTCCTAACTGCTGTATGAAAAGAAAGGTTAAACTCTGTGACTTGAACGCACACATCACAAAGGAGTTTCTGAGAATCAATCTGTCTAGTTTCTATAGGAAGATATTTCATTTTCTACCATTAACCTCAAAGAGGCTGAAATCTCCACTTGCAAATTCCACAAAAAGAGTGTTTCAAGTCTGCCCTGTGTAAAGGATCGTTCAACTCTGTGAGTTGAATACACACAACACAAGGAAGTTACTGAGAATTCTTCTGTCTAGCCTTACATGAAAAAAACCCGTTTCCAATGAAGGCCTCTAAGTGGTCAAGTTATCCACGTGCAGACTTTACAAACAGAGTGTTTCCAAACTGCTGAATGAAAAGAAAAGTTAAACTCTGAGAGTAGAACGCACACATCGCAGAGCAGTTTCTGAGAATGATTCTGTGTAGTTTTTATACGAAGATATTTCCTTTTCTGCCTTTGGCCTCAAAGCGCTTGAAATCTCCACTTGCAAATTCCAGAAAAAGAGTGTTTCAAATCTGCTCTGTCTAAATGAAAGTTCAACTCTGTCAGTTGAATACACACAACACAAGGAAGTTACTGAGAATTCTTTTTGTCTAGCCTTATATGAAAAAACCCGTTTCCAACGAAGGCCTCAAAGAGGTCTGAATATCCACTTGCAGACTTTACAAACAGAGTGTTTCCTAACTGCTCTATGAAAAGAAAGGTTAAACTCTGTGAGTTGAACACACACATCACAAAGGAGTTTCTGAGAATCATTCTGTCTAGTTTTTATACGAAGATACTTCATTTTCTACCTTTGACCTCAAAGCGGCTGAAATCTCCACTTGCAAATTCCACAAAAAGAGTGTTTCAAGTCTGCTCTGTGTAAAGGATCGTTCAACTCTGTGAGTTGAATACACACAACACAAGGAAGATTCTGAGAATTCTTCTGTGTAGCAGAATATGAAGAAATCCTGTTTCCAACGAAGGCCACAAGATGTCAGAATATCCACTTACAGAATTTACCAACAGAGTGTTTCCTAACTGCTCTATGAAAAGAAAGGTTAAACTCTGTGAGTTGAACGAACACATCACAACGCAGTTTGTGGGAATGATTCTGTCTACTTTTGAAACGAAGATATTTCCTTTTCTGCCATTGACCTTAAAGCGCTTGAAATCTACACTTGCAAATTGCACAAATAGAGTGTTTCAAATCTGCTCTGTCTAAGGGAACGTTCATCTCTGTGAGTTGAATGCACACAACACAAGGAAGTTACTGGGAATTCTTCTGTCTAGCCTTACATGAAAAAAACCCGTTTCCAACGAAGGCCACTAAGTGGTCAAAATATCCACGTGCAGACTTTACAAACAGAGTGTTTCCAAACCGCTGAATGAAAAGCAAAGTTAAACTCTGAGAAGTTGAACGCACACATCACGCAGCAGTTTCTGAGAATGATTCTGTCTAGTTTTTATACGAAGATATTTCCTTTTCTACCTTTGACTTCAAAGCGGCTGAAATCTCCAATTGCAAATTCCACAAAATGATTGTTACAAGTCTGCTCTGTGTAAAGGATCGTTCAACTCTGTGAGTTGAATACTCACAACACATGGAAGTTACTGAGAATTCTTCTCTCTAGCCTTATATGAAAAAAACCCGTTTCCAACGAACGCCTCAAAGAGGTCTGAATATCCACTTGCAGACTTTACAAACAGAGTGTTTCCTAACTGCTCTATGAAAAGAAAGGTTAAACTCTGTGAGTTCAACGCACACATCACGAAGGAGTTTCTGAGAATCATTCTGTCTAGTTTTTACAGGAAGATATTTCCTTTTCTACCATTGACCTCAAAGCGGCTGAAATCTCCACTGGCAAATTCCACAAAAAGAGTGTTTCAAGTCTGCTCTGTGTAAAGGATCGTTCAACTCTGTGAGTTGAATACACACAACACGCGGAAGTTACTGAGAATTCTTCTGTCTAGCATAATATGAAGAAATCCCGTTTCCAACGAAGGCCACAAGATGTCAGAATATCCACTTACAGACTTTACAAACAGAGTGTTTCCTAACTGCTCTATGAACAGAAAGGTTAAACTCTGTGAGTTGAACGAACACATCACAACGCAGTTTGTGGGAATCATTCTGTCTAGTTTTGAAACGAAGATATTTCCTTTTCTGCCATTGACCTTAAAGCGCTTGAAATCTACACTTGCAAATTGCACAAATAGATTGTTTCAAATCTGCTCTGTCTAAGGGAACGTTCAACTCTGTGAGTTGAATGCACACAACACAAGGAAGTTACTGGGAATTCTTCTGTCTAGCCTTACATGAAAAAAACCCGTTTCCAATGAAGGCCTCTAAGTGGTCAAAATTTCCACGTGCAGACTTTACAAACAGAGTGTTTCCAAACCGCTGAATGAAAAGAAAAGTTAAACTCTGAGAGTTGAACGCACACATCACGCAGCAGTTTCTGAGAATGATTCTGTCTAGTTTTGAAACGAAGATATTTCCTTTTCTGCCTTTGGCCTCAAAGCGCTTGAAATCTCCACTTGCAAATTTCACAAAAAGAGTGTTTCAAATCTGCTCTGTGTAAATGAAAGTTCAACTCTGTGAGTTGAACACACACAACAAAAGGAAGTTACTGGGAATTCTTCTGTCTAGCATAGTATGAAGAAATCCCGTTTCCAACGAAGGCCTCAAAGAGGTCTGAATATCGACTTGCAGAGTTTACAAACAGAGTGTTTCCTAACTGCTCTATGAAAAGAAAGGTTAAACTCTGTGAGTTGAACGCACACATCACAAAGAAGTTTCTGAGAATCATTCTGTCTAGTTTTTATATGAAGATATTTCCTTTTCTACCATTGACCTCAAAGCGGCTGAAATCTCCACTTACAAATTCCACAAAAAGAGTGTCTCAAGTCTGCTCTGTGTAAACGATCGTTCAACTCTGTGAGTTGAATACACACAACACAAGGGAAGTTTCTGAGAATTCTTCTGTATAGCAGAATATGAAGAAATCCCATTTCCAACGAAGGCCTAAAGGAGGTCTCTATATCCACTTGCAGACTTTACAAACAGAGTGTTTCCTAACTGCTCTATGAAAAGAAAGGTTAAACTCTGTGAGTTGAACGCAGACATCACAAAGGAGTTTCTGAGAATCACTATGTCTAGTTTTTATAGGAAGATATTTCCTTTTCTACATTTGACTTCAAAGCGGCTGAAATCTCCACTTGCAAATTCCACAAAAAGAGTGTTACAAGTCTGCTCTGTGTAAAGGATCGTTCAACTGTGTGAGTTGAATACACACAACACAAGGAAGTTACTGAGAATTCTTCTGTCTAGCCTTACAGGAAAAAAACCCGTTTCCAACGAAGGCCTCTAAATGGTCAAAATATCCACGTGCAGACTTTACAAACAGAGTGTTTCCAAACTGCTGAATGAAAAGAAAAGTAAAACTCTGAGAGTTGAACGCACACATCGCAGAGCAGTTTCTGAGAATGATTCTCTCTAGTTTCTATAGGAAGATATTTCCTATTCTACCATTGACCTCAAAGCGGCTGAAATCTCCACTTGCAAATTCCACAAAAAGAGTGTTTCAAGTCTGCTCTGTGTAAAGGATCGTTCAACTCTGTGAGTTGAATACACACAACACAAGGCAGTTACTGAGAATTCTTCTGTCTAGCCTTACATGAAAAAAACTTGTTTCCAACGAAGGCCTCAAAGCGGTCAAAATATCCACTTGCAGAATTTACAAACAGAGTGTTTCCTAACTGCTGTATGAAAAGAAAGGTTAAACTCTGTGAGTTGAACACACACATCACAAAGGAGTTTCTGAGAATCATTCTGTCTAGTCTTTATACGAAGATATTTCCTTTTCTACCATTGACCTCAAAGCGGCTGAAATCTCCACTTGCAAATTCCACAAAAAGAGTGTTTCAAGTCTGCTCTCTGAAAAGGATCGTTCAACTGTGTGAGTTGAATACACACAACACAAGGAAGTTACTGAGATTTCTTCTGTCTAGCAGAATATGAAGAAATCCCGTTTCCAACGAAGGCCACAAGATGTCAGAATATCCACTTACAGAATTGACAAACAGACTGTTTCCTAACTGCTCTATGAAAAGAAAGGTTAAACTCTGTGAGTTGAACGAACACATCACAACGCTGTTTGTGGGAATGATTCTGTCTAGTTTTGAAACGAAGATATTTCCTTTTCTGCCATTGACCTTAATGCGCTTGAAATCTACACTTGCAAATTGCACAAATAGAGTGTTTCAAACCTGCTCTGTCTAAGGGAACGTTCAACTCTGTGAGTTGAATGCACACAACACAAGGAAGTTACTGGGAATTCTTCTGTCTAGCCTTACAGGGAAAAGCCCTTTTCCAACGAAGGCCTCTAAGTGGTCAAAATATCCACGTGCAGACTTTACAAACAGAGTGTTTCCAAACTGCTGAATGAAAAGAAAAGTTAAACTCTGAGAGTTGAACGCACACATCGCAGAGCAGTTTCTGAGAATGATTCTGTCTAGTTTTGAAACGAAGATATTTCCTTTTCTGCCTTTGGCCTCAAAGCGCTTGAAATCTCCACTTGCAAATACCACAAAAAGAGTGTTTCAAATCTGCTCTGTGTAAATGAAAGTTCAACTCGGTGAGTTGAACACACACAACACAAGGAAGTTACTGGGAATTCTTCTGTATAGCAGAATATGAAGAAATCCCGTTTCCAACGAAAGCCTCAAAGATGTCTGAATATCCACTTGCAGACATTACAAACAGAGTGTTTCCTAACTGCTCTATGAAAAGAAAGGTTAAACTCTGTGAGTTGAACGCACACATCACAAAGGAGTTTCTGAGAATCATTCTGTCTAGTTTCTATACGAATATATTTCATTTTCTACCATTAACCTCAAAGCGGCTGAAATCTCCACTTACAAATTCCACAAAAAGAGTGTTTCAAGTCTGCTCTGTGTAAAGGATCGTTCAACTCCTTGAGTTGAATACACACAACACAAGGAAGTTGCTGAGAATTCTTCTGTCTAGCATAATATGAAGAAATCCCGTTTCCAACGAAGGCCTCAAAGCAGGTCTGAATATCCACTTACAGACTTTACAAACAGAGTGTTTCCTAACTGCTCTATGAAAAGAAAGGTTAAACTCTGTGAGTTGAACGCACACATCACAAAGGAGTTTCTGAGAATCGTTCTGTCTAGTTTTGAAACGAAGATATTTCCTTTTCTGCCATTGACCTTAAAGCGCTTCAAATCTACACTTCCAAATTGCAGAAAAAGAGTGTTTCAAATCTGCTCTGTCAAAGGGAACGTTCAACTCTGTGAGTTGAATACACACAACACAAGGAAGTTACTGGGAATTTTTCTCTCTAGCCTTAAAGGAAAAAAACCCGTTTCCAACGAAGGCCTCTAAGTGGTCAAAATATCCACGTGCAGACTTTACAAACAGAGTGTTTCCAAACTGCTGAATGAAAAGAAAAGTTAAACTCTGAGAGTTGAACGCACACATCGCAGAGCAGTTTCTGAGAATGATTCTGTCTAGCAGAATATGAAGAAATCCCGTTTCCAACGAAGGTCTCAAAGAGGTCTGAATATCCACTTGCAGACTTTACAAACAGAGTGTTTCCTAACTGCTCTATGAAAAGAAAGGTTAAACTCTGTGAGTTGAAGGCACACATCACAAAGGAGTTTCTGAGAATCATTCTGTCTAGTTTCTATAGGAAGATATTTCCTATTCTACCATTGAACTCAAAGCGGCTGAAATCTCCACTTGCAAATTCCACAAAAAGAGTGTTTCAAGTCTGCTCTGTGTAAAGGATCGTTCAACTCTGTGAGTTGAATACACACAACACAAGGAAGTTACTGAGAATTGTTCTGTCTAGCAGAATATGAAGAAATCCCGTTTCCAACGAAGGCCACAAGATGTCAGAATATCCACTTACAGACTTTACAAACAGAGTGTTTCCTAACTGCTCTATGAACAGAAAGGTTAAACTCTGTGAGTTGAACGAACCCATCACAACGCAGTTTGTGGGAATGATTCTGTCTAGTTTTGAAACGAAGATATTTCCTTTTCTGCCGTTGACCTTAAAGCGCTTGAAATCTACACTTGCAAATTGCACAAATAGAGTGTTTCAAATCTGCTCTGTCTAAGGGAACGTTCAACTCTGTGAGTTGAATGCACACAACACAAGAAGTTACTGGGAATTCTTCTGTGTAGCCTTACAGGAAAGAAACCCGTTTCCAACGAAGGCCTCTAAGTGGTCAAAATATCCACGTGCAGACTTTACAAACAGAGTTTTTCCAAACTGCTGAATGAAAAGAAAAGTTAAACTCTGAGAGTTGAACGCACACATCGCAGAGCAGTTTCTGAGAATGATTCTGTCTAGTTTTTATACGAAGATATTTCTTTTTCTGCCTTTGGCCTCAAAGCGCTTGAAATCTCCACTTGCAAATTCCACAAAAAGAGTGTTTCAAATCTGCTCTGTGTAAATCAAAGTTCAACTCTGTGAGTAGAACACACACAACACAAGGAAGTTACTGGGAATTCTTCTGTCTAGCCTTACATGAAAAAAACCCGTTTCCAACGAAGGCCTCAAAGAAGTCCAAATATCCACGTGCAGACTTACAAACAGAGTGTTTCCTAACTGCTCTATGAAAAGAAAGGTTAAACTCTGTGAGTTGAACGCCCACATCACAAAGGAGTTTCTGAGAATCATTTTGTCTAGTTTCTATAAGAAGACATTTCCTATTCTACCATTGACCTCAAAGCGGCTGAAATCTCCACTTGCAAATTCGACAAAAAGAGTGTTTCAAGCCTGCTCTCTGTAAAGGATCCTTCAACTCTGTGAGTTGAATACACACAACACAAGGAAGTTATTGAGAATTATTCTGTCTAGCAGAATATGAAGAAATCCCGTTTCCAACGAAGGCCACAAGATGTCAGAATATCCACTTACAGACTTTACAGAGTGTTTCCTAACTGCTCTATGAACAGAAAGGTTAAACTCTGTGAGTTGAACGAACACATCACAACGCAGTTTGTGGGAATGATTCTTTCTAGTTTTGAAACGAAGATATTTCCTTTTCTGCCATTGACCTTAAAGCGCTTGAAATCTACACTTGCAAATTGCACAAATAGAGTGTTTCAAATCTGCTCTGTCTAAGGGAACGTTCAACTCTGTGAGTTGAAAGCACACAACACAAGGAAGTTACTGGGAATTCTTCTGTCTAGCCTTACATGAAAAAAACCCGTTTCCAACGAAGGCCTCTAAGTGGTCAAAATATCCACGTGCAGACTTTACAAACAGAGTGTTTCCAAACCGCTGAATGAAAAGAAAAGTTAAACTCTGAGAGTTGAACGCACACATCACGCAGCAGTTTACTGAGAATGATTCTCTGTCTAGTTTTTATACGAAGATATTTACTTTTCTACCATTGACCTCAAAGCGGTTGAAATCTCCACTTGCAAATTCCACAAAAAGAGTGTTTCAAGTCTGCTCTGTGTAAAGGATCGTTCAACTCTGTGAGTTGAATACACACAACACAAGGAAGTTACTGAGAATTCTTCTTTCTAGCAGAACATGAAGAAATCCCGTTTCCAACGAAGGCCTCAAAGAATGTCTGAATATCTACTTGCAGACTTTACAAACAGAGTGTTTCCTAACTGCTCTATGAAAAGAAAGGTTAAACTCTGTGAGTTGAACGCACACATCACAAAGGATTTTCTGAGAATCATTCTGTCTAGTTTCTATAAGAAGATATTTCCTATTCTACCATTGACCTCAAAGCGGCTGAAATCTCCACTTGCAAATTCGACAAAAAGAGTGTTTCAAGCCTGCTCTCTGTAAAGGATCTTTCAACTCTGTGAGTTGAATACACACAACACAAGGAAGTTACTGAGAATTATTCCTGTCTAGCAGAATATGAAGAAATCCCGTTTCCAACGAAGGCCTCAAGGAGGTCTGAATATCCACTTGCAGACTTTACAAACAGAGTGTTTCCTAACTGCTCTATGAAAAGAAAGGTTAAACTCTTTGAGTTGAACGCACACATCACAACGCAGTTTGTGGGAATGATTCTGTCTAGTTTTGAAACGAAGATATTTCCTTTTCTGCCGTTGACCTTAAAGCGCTTGAAATCTACACTTGCAAATTGCACAAATAGAGTGTTTCAAATCTGCTCTGTCTAAGGGAACGTTCAACTGCTGTGAGTTGAATGCACACAACACAAGGAAGTTACTGGGAATTCTTCTGTCTAGCCTTACAGGAAAAAAAACCCATTTCCAACGAAGGCCTCTAAGTGGTCAAAATATCCACGTGCAGACTTTACAAACAGAGTGTTTCCAAACTGCTGAATGAAAAGAAAAGTTAAACTCTGAGAGTTGAACGTGCACACATCGCAGAGCAGTTTCTGAGAATGATTCTGTCTAGTTTTGAAACGAAGTATATTTCCTTTTCTGCCTTTGGCCTCAAATCGCTTGAAATCTCCACTTGCAAATTCCACAAAAAGAGTGTTTCAAATCTGCTCTGTGTAAATGGAAGTTCAACTCTGTGAGTTGAACACACACAACACAATGAAGTTACTGGGAATTCTTCTGTCTAGCAGAATATGAAGAAATCCCGTTTCCAACGAAGGCCTCAAAGAGGTCTGAATATCCAGTTGCAGACTTTACAAACAGAGTGTTTCCCAACTGCTCTATGAAAAGAAAAGTTAAACTCTGTGAGTTGAATGCACACATCACAAAGGAGTTTCTGAGAATCATTCTGTCTAGTTTTTATAGGAAGTTATTTCCTTTTCTACCTTTGACTTCAAAGTGGCTGAAATCTCCACATGCAAATTCCACAAAAAGAGTGTTACAAGTCTGCTCTGTGTAAAGGATCGTTCAACTCTGTGAGTTGAATACACACAACACAAGGAAGTTACTGAGAATTCTTCTGTCTAGCAGAATATAAAGAAATCCCGTTTCCAACGAAGGCCACAAGATGTCAGAATATCCACTTACAGACTTTACAAACAGAGTGTTTCCTAACTCCTCTATGAACAGAAAGGTTAAACTCTGTGAGTTGAACGAACACGTCACAACGCAGTTTGTGGGAATGATTCTGTCTAGTTTTGAAAAGAAGATATTTCCTTTTCTGCCGTTGACCTTAAAGCGCTTGAAATCTACACTTGCAAATTGCACAAATAGAGTGTTTCAAATCTGCTCTGTCTAAGGGAACGTTCCACTCTGTGAGTTGAATGCACACAACACAAGGAAGTTACTGGGAATTCTTCTGTCTAGCCTTACATGAAAAAACCCGTTTCCAACGAAGGCCTCTAAGTGGTCAAAATATCCACGTGCAGACTTTACAAACAGAGTGTTTCCAAACCGCTGAATGAAAAGAAAACTTAAACTCTGAGAGTTGAACGCACACATCACGCAGCAGTTTCTGAGAATGATTCTGTCTAGTTTTTATACGAAGGTATTTCCTTTTCTGCCTTTGGCCCCAAAGCGCTTGAAGTCTCCACTTGCAAATTCCACAAAAACAGTGCTTCAAATCTGCTCTCTCTAAATGAAAGTTCAACTCTGTGAGTTGAATACACACAACACAAGGAAGTTACTGAGAATTCTTCTGTCTAGCAGAATATGAAGAAATCCCGCTTCCAAAGAAGGCCTCAAAGAAGTCTGAATATCCACTTGCAGACTTTACAAACAGAGTGTTTCCCAACTGCTCTATGAAAAGAAAGGTTGAACTCTGTGAGTTGAACGCACACATCACAAAGGAGTTTCTGAGAATCATTCTGTCTAGTTTTTCTACGAAGATATTTCCTTTTCTACTATTGACCTAAAAGCGGCTGAAATCTCCACTTGCAAATTCCACAAAAAGAGTGTTTCAAGTCTGCTCTGTGTAAAGGATCGTTCAACTCTGTGAGTTGAATACACACAACAGAAGGAAGTTACTGAGAACTCTTCTGTCTAGCAGAATATGAAGAAATCCCGTTTCCAACGAAGGTCACAAGATGTCAGAATATCCACTTACAGAATTTACAAACAGACTGTTTCCTAACTGCTCTATGAAAAGAAAGGTTAAACTCTGTGAGTTGAACGAACACATCACAACGCAGTTTGTGGGAATGATTCTGTCTAGTTTTAAAACGAAGATATTTCCTTTTCTGCCATTGACCTTAAAGCGCTTGAAATCTACACTTGCAAATTGCACAAATAGAGTGTTTCAAATCTGCTCTGTCTAAGGGAACGTTCAACTCTGTGAGTTGAATGCACACAACACAAGGAAGTTACTGGGAATTCTTCTGTCTAGCCTTACATGAAAAAAACCCGTTTCCAACGAAGGCCTCTAAGTGGTCAAAATATCCACGTGCAGACTTTACAAACAGAGTGTTTCCAAACCGCTGAATGAAAAGAAAAGTTAAACTCTGAGAGTTGAACGCACACATCACACAGCAGTTTCTGAGAATGATTCTGTCTAGTTTTTATACGAAGATATTTCCTTTTCTGCCTTTGGCCCCAAAGCGCTTGAAATCTCCACTTGCAAATTCCACAAAAACAGTGTTTCAAATCTGCTCTCTCGAAATGAAAGTTCAACTCTGTCAGTTGAATACACACAACACAAGGAAGTTACTGACAATTCTTCTGTCTAGCATAATATGAAGAAATCCCGTTTCCAACGAAGGCCTCAAAGAGGTCTGAATATCCACTTGCAGACTTTACAAACAGAGTGTTTCCTAACTGCTATATGAAAAGAAAAGTTAAACTCTGTGATTTGAACGCACACATCACAAAGGAGTTTCTGAGAATCATTCTGTCTAGTTTTTATACGAAGATATTTCCTTTTCTACCATTGACCTCAAAGCGGCTGAAATCTCCACTTGCAATTTCCACAAAAAGAGTGTTTCCAGTCTGCTCTGTGTAAAGGATCGTTCAACTCTGTGAGTTGAATACACACAACACAAGGAAGTTACTGAGAATTCTTCTGTCTAGCATAATATGAAGAAACCCCGTTTCCAACGAAGGCCTCAAAGAGGTCTGAATATCCACATGCAGACTTTACAAACAGAGTGTTTCCTAACTGCTCTATGAAAAGAAAGGTTAAACTCTGTGAGTTGAACGCACACATCACAAAGGAGTTTCTGAGAATCATTCTGTCTAGTTTTGAAACGAAGATATTTCCTTTTCTGCCGTTGACCTTAAAGAGCTTGAAAACTACACTTGCAAATTGCACAAATAGAGTGTTTCAAATCTGCTCTGTCTAAGGGAACGTTCAACTCTGTGAGTTGAATGCACACAACACAAGGAAGTTACTGGGAATTCTTCTGTCTAGCCTTACATGAAAAAAAGCCGTTTCCAACGAAGGCCTCTAAGTGGTCAAAATATCCACGTGCAGACTTTACAAACAGAGTGTTTCCAAACCGCTGAATGAAAAGAAAAGTTAAACTCTGAGAGTTGAACGCACACATCACGCAGCAGTTTCTGAGAATGATTCTGTGTAGTTTTTATACGAAGATATTTCCTTTTCTGCCTTTGGCCCCAAAGCGCTTGAAATCTCCACTTGCAAATTCCACAAAAACAGTGTTTCAAATCTGCTCTCTCTAAATGATAGTTCAACTCTGTCAGTTGAATACACACAACACAAGGAAGTTACTGAGAATTCTTCTGTGTAGCCTTATATGAAAAAAACCCGTTTCCAACGAAGGCCTCAAAGAGGTCTGAATATCCACTTGCAGACTTTACAAACAGAGTGTTTCCTAACTGCTCTATGAAAAGAAAGGTTAAACTCTGTGAGTTGAACGCACACATCACAAAGGAGTTTCTGAGAATCATTCTGTCTAGTCTTTATACGAAGATATTTACTTTTCTACCATTGACCTCAAAGCGGCTGAAATCTCCACTTGCAATTTCCACAAAAAGAGTGTTTCAAGTCTGCTCTGTGTAAAGGATCATTCAACTCTGTGAGTTAAATACACACAACACAAGGAAGTTACTGAGAATTCTTCTGTCCAGCAGAATATGAAGAAATCCCGTTTCCAACGAAGGCCACATGATGTCATAATATCCACTTACAGTCTTTACAAACAGAGTGTTTCCTAACTGCTCTAGGAACAGAAAGGTTAAATTCTGTGAGTTGAACGAACACATCACATCGCAGTATGTGGAAATGATTCTGTCTAGTTTTGAAACGAAGATATTTCCTTTTCTGCCATTGAACTTAAAGCGCTTGAAATCTCCATTTGCCAATTGCACAAAAAGAGTGTTTCAAATCTGCTCTGTCTAAGGGAACGTTCAACTCTGTGAGTTGAATGTACACAACACAAGGAAGTTACTGGGAATTCTTCTGTCTAGCCTTACAGGAAAAAAACCCGTTTCCAACGAAGGTCTCTAAGTGGTCAAAGTATCCACGTGCAGACTTTACAAACAGAGTGTTTCCAAACTGCTGAATGAAAAGAAAAGTTAAACTCTGAGAGTTGAACGCACACATCGCAGAGCAGTTTCTGAGAATGATTCTGTCTAGTTTTTATACGAAGATATTTCCTTTTCTGCCTTTGGCCTCAAAGCGCTTGAAATCTCCATTTGCAAATTCCACAAAAAGAGTGTTTCAAATCTGCTCTGTGTAAAAGAAAGTTCAACTCTGTGAGTTGAACACACACAACACAAGGAAGTTACTGGGAATTCTTCTGTCTAGCATAATATGAAGAAAGCCTGTTTCCAAAGAAGGCCTCTAGGAGGTCTGAATATCCACTTGCAGACTTTACAAACAGAGTGTTTCCTAACTGCTCCATGAAAAGAAAGGTTAAACTCTGTGAGTTGAACGCACACATCACAAAGGAGTTTCTGAGAATCATTCTGTCTAGTTTCTATTAGAAGATATTTCCTATTCTACCATTGACCTCAAAGCGGCTGAAATCTCCACTTTCAAATTCGACAAAAAGAGTGTTTCAAGCCTGCTCTCTGTAAAGGATCCTTCAACTCTGTGAGTTGAATACACACAACACAAGGAAGTTACTGAGAATTCTTCTGTCTAGCAGAATATGAAGAAATCCCGTTTCCAACGAAGGCCACAAGATGTCAGATTATCCACTTTCAGACTTTACAAACAGAGTGTTTCCTAACTGCTCTATGAACAGAAAGGTTAAACTCTGTGAGTTGAACGAGCACATCACAACGCAGTTTGTGGGAATGATTCTGTCTAGTTTTTATACGAAGATATTTCCTTTTCTACCATTGACCTCAAAGCGGCTGAAATCACCACTTGCCAATTGCACAAAAAGTGTGTTTCAAATCTGCTCTGTCTAAGGGAACGTTCAACTCTGTGAGTTGAATGTACACAACACAAGGAAGTTACTGGGAATTCTTCTGTCTAGCCTTACATGAAGAAAACCAGTTTCCAACGAAGGCCTCTAAGTGGTCAAAATATCCACGTGTAGACTTTACAAACAGAGTGTTTCCAAACCGCTGAATGAAAAGAAAAGTTAAACTCTGAGATTTGAACGCACACACCACGCAGCAGTTTCTGAGAATGATTCTGTCTAGTTTTTATACGAAGATATTTCCTTTTCTGCCTTTGGCCCCAAAGTGCTTGAAATCTCCACTTGCAAATTCCACAAAAACAGTGTTTCAAATCTGCTCTCTCTAAATGAAAGTTCAACTCTGTCCGTTGAATACACACAACACAAGGAAGTTACTGAGAATTCTTCTGTCTAGCATAATATGAAGAAATCCCGTTTCCAACGAAGGCCTCAAAGGGGTCTGAATATCCACTTGCAGACTTTATAAACAGAGTGTTTACTAACTGCTCTATGAAAAGAAAGGTTAAACTCTGTGAGGTTGAACACACACATCACAAAGGAGTTTCTGAGAATCATTCTGTCTAGTTTTTCTACGAAGATATTTCCTTTTCTACTATTGACCTCAAAGCGGCTGAAATCTCCACTTGCAAATTCCACAAAAAGTGTGTTTTAAGTCTGCTCTGTGTAAAGGATCGTTCAAATCTGTGAGTTGAATGCACACAACACAAGGAAGTTACTGAGAATTCTTCTGTCTAGCAGAATATGAAGAAATCCCGTTTCCAACGAAGGCCTCAAGGAGGTCTGAATATCCACTTGCAGACTTTACAAACAGAGTGTTTCCTAACTGCTCTATGAAAAGAAAAGTTAAACTCTGTGAGTTGAACGAACACATCACAACGCAGTTTGTGGGAATGATTCTGTCTAGTTTTGAAACGAAGGTATTTCCTTTTCTGCCATTGACCTTAAAGCGCTTGAAATCTACACTTGCAAATTGCACAAATAGAGTGTTTCAAATCTGCTCTGTCTAAGGGAACGTTCAACTCCTGTGAGTTGAATGCACACAACACAAGGAAGTTACTGGGAATTCTTCTGTCTAGCCTTACATGAAAAAAACTCGTTTCCAACGAAGGCCTCTAAGTGGTCAAAATATCCACGTGCAGACTTTACAAACAGAGTGTTTCGAAACCGCTGAATGAAAAGAAAAGTTAAACTCTGAGAGTTGAACGCACACATCACGCAGCAGTTTCTGAGAATGATTCTGTCTAGTTTTTATACGAAGATATTTCCTTTTCTGCCTTTGGCCCCAAAGCGCTTGAAATCTCCACTTGCAAATTCCACAAAAACAGTGTTACAAATCTGCTCTCTCTAAATGAAAGTTCAACTCTGTCAGTTGAATACACACAACACAAGGAAGTTACTGAGAATTCTTCTGTCTAGCAGAATATGAAGAAATCCCGTTTCCAACGAAGGCCTCAAAGGGGTCTGAATATCCACTTGCAGACTTTACAAACAGAGTGTTTCCTAACTGCTCTATGAAAAGAAAGGTTAAACTCTGTGAGTTGAACACACACATCACAAAGGAGTTTCTGAGAATCATTCTATCTAGTTTCTATAGGAAGATATTTCCTATTCTACCATTGACCTCAAAGCGGCTGAAATCTCCAATTGCAAGTTCCACAAAAGGAGTGTTTCAAGCCTGCTCAGAGTAAAGGATCGTTCAACTCTGTGAGTTGAATACACACAACACAAGGAAGTTTCTGAGAATTCTTCTGTCTAGCAGAATATGAAGAAATCCCGTTTCCAACGAAGGCCACAAGATGTCAGAATATCCAGTTACAGAATTGACAAACAGACTGTTTCCTAACTGCTCTATGAAAAGAAAGGTTAAACTCTGTGAGTTGAACGAACACATCACAACGCAGTTTGTGGGAATGATTCTGTCTAGTTTTGAAACGAAGATATTTCCTTTTCTGCCGTTGACCTTAAAGCGCTTGAAATCTACACTTGCAAATTACACAAATATAGTGTTTCAAATCTGCTCTGTCTAAGGGAACGTTCAACTCTGTGAGTTGAATGCACACAACACAAGGAAGTTACTGGGAATTCTTCTGTATAGCCTTACATGAAAAAATCCCGTTTCCAACGAAGGCCTCTAAGTGGTCAAAATTTCCACGTGCAGACTTTACAAACAGAGTGTTTCCAAACCGCTGAATGAAAAGAAAAGTTAAACTCTGAGAGTTGAACGCACACATCACGCAGCAGTTTCTGAGAATGATTCTGTCTAGTTTCTATAGGAAGATATTTCCTATTCTACCATTGACCTCAAAGCGGCTGAAATCTCCACTTGCATATTCCACAAAAAGAGTGTTTCAAGTCTGCTCTGTGTAAAGGATCGTTCAACTCTGTGAGTTGAATACACACAACACAAGGCAGTTACTGAGAATTCTTCTGTCTAGCAGAATATGATGAACTCCCGTTTCCAACGAAAGCCTCAAAGATGTCTGAATATCCACTTGCAGACTTTACAAACAGAGTGTTTCCTAACTGCTCTATGAAAAGAAAGGTTAAACTCTGTGAGTTCAACGCACACATCACAAAGGAGTTTCTGAGAATCATTCTGTCTAGTCTTTATAGGAAGATATTTACTTTTCTACCATTGACCTCAAAGCGGCTGAAATCTCCACTTGCAAATTCCACAAAAAGAGTGTTTCAAGTCTGCTCTGTGTAAAGGATCATTCAACTCTGTGAGTTGAATAAACACAACACAAGGAAGTTACTGAGAATTCTTCTGTCTAGCAGAATATGAAGAAATCCCGTTTCCAACGAAGGCCACAAGATGTCAGAATATCCACTTACAGACTTTACAAACAGAGTGTTTCCTAACTGCTCTATGAACAGAAAGGTTAAACTCTGTGAGTTGAACGAACACATCACAACGCAGTTTGTGGGAATGATTTCTGTCTAGTTTTGAAACGAAGATATTTCCTTTTCTGCCATTGACCTTAAAGCGCTTGAAATCTACACTTGCAAATTGCACAAATAGAGTGTTTCAAATCTGCTCTGTCTAAGGGAACGTTCAACTCTGTGAGTTGAATGCACACAACACAAGGAAGTTACTGGGAATTCTTCTGTCTAGCCTTACATGAAAAAAACCCGTTTCCAACGAAGGCCTCTAAGTGGTCAAAATATCCACGTGCAGACTTTACAAACAGAGTGTTTCCAAACGGCTGAATGAAAAGAAAAGTTAAAGTCTGAGAGTTGAACGCACACATCACGCAGCAGTTTCTGAGAATGATTCTGTCTAGTTTTTATACGAAGATATTTCCTTTTCTACCTTTGGCCTGAAAGGGCTTGAAATCTCCATTTGCAAATTCCACAAAAAGAGTGTTTCAAATCTGCTCTGTGTAAATGAAAGTTCAACTCTGTGAGTTGAATACACACAACACAAGGAAGTTACTGGGAATTCTTCTGTCTAGCCTTACATGAAAAAAACCCGTTTCCAACGAAGGCCTCAAAGAGGTCTGAATATCCACTTGCAGACTTTACAAACAGAGTGTTTCCTAACTCCTCTATGAAAAGAAAGGTTAAACTCTGTGAGTTGAACACACACATCACAAAGGAGTTTCTGAGAATCATTCTGTCTAGTTTCTATAGGAAGATATTTCCTATTCTACCATTGACCTCAAATCGGATGAAATCTCCACTTGCAAATTCCACAAAAAGAGTGTTTCAAGTCTGCTCTGTGTAAAGGATCATTCAACTCTGTGAGTTGAATACACACAACACAAGGAACTTACTGAGAATTCTTCTGTCTAGCATAATATGAAGAAATCCCGTTTCCAACGAAGGCCTCAAGGAGGTCTGAATATCCACTTGCAGACTTAACAAACAGAGTGTTTCCTAACTGCTCTATGAAAAGAAAGGTTAAACTCTGTGAGTTGAACGCACACATCACAAAGGAGTTTCTGAGAATCATTCTGTCTAGTTTCTATAGGAAGATATTTCCTATTCTACCATTGACCTCAAAGCGGCTGAATTCTCCACTTGCAAATTCCACAAAAAGAGTGTTTCAAGTCTGCTCTGTGTAAAGGATCGTTGAACTCTGTGAGTTGAAAACACACAACACAAGGAAGTTTCTGAGAATTCTTCTGTATAGCAGAATATGAAGAAATCCGGTTTCCAAAGAAGGCCTCAAGGAGGTCTGAATATCCACTTGCAGACTTTACAGAGTGTTTCCTAACTGCTCTATGAAAAGAAAGGTTAAACTCTGTGAGTTGAACGCACACATCACAAAGGAGTTTCTGAGAATCATTCTGTCTAGTTTTTATACGAAGATATATCCTTTTCTGCCTTTGGCCCCAAAGCGCTTGAAATCTCCACTTGCAAATTCCACAAAAACAGTGTTTCAAATCTGCTCTCTCTAAATGAAAGTTCAACTCTGTCAGTTGAATACACACAACACAAGGAAGTGACTGAGAATTCTTCTGTCTAGCATAATATGAAGAAATCCCGTTTCCAACGAAGGCCTCAAAGAGGTCTGAATATCCACTTGCAGACTTTACAAACAGAGTGTTTCCTAACTGCTCTATGAAAAGAAAAGTTAAACTCTGTGAGTTGAACGCAAACATCACAAAGGAGTTTCTGAGAATCATTCTGTCTAGTCTTTATACGAAGATATTTCCTTTTCTACCATTGACCTCAAAGCGGCTGAAATCTCCACTTGCAAATTCCACAAAAAGAGTGTTTCAAGTCTGCTCTGTGTAAAGGATCGTTCAACTCTGTGAGTTGAATACACACAACACAAGGAAGTTACTGAGAATTCTCTGTCTAGCAGAATATGAAGAAATCCCGTTTCCAACGAAGGCCTCAAGGAGGTCTGAATATCCACTTGCAGAATTTACAAACAGAGTGTTTCCTAACTGCTCTATGAAAAGAAAGGTTAAACTCTTTGAGTTGAACGCACACATCACAACGCAGTTTGTGGGAATGATTCTGTCTAGTTTTTATAGGAAGATATTTCCTTTTCTACATTTGACTTCAAAGCGGCTGAAATCTCCACTTGCAAATTCCACAAAAAGAGTGTTCCAAGTCTGCTCTGTGTAAAGGATCGTTCAACTCTGTGAGTTGAATACACACAACACAAGGAAGTTACTGAGAATTCTTCTGTCTAGCCTTACATGAAAAAAACCCGTTTCCAACGAAGGCCTCTAAGTGGTCAAAATTTCCACGTGCAGACTTTACAAACAGAGTGTTTCCAAACCGCTGAATGAAAAGAAAAGTTAAACTCTGAGAGTTGAACGCACACATCACGCACCAGTTTCTGAGAATGATTCTGTCTAGTTTTTATACGAAGATATTTCCTTTTCTGCCTTTGACCCCAAAGCGCTTGAAATTTCCACTTGCAAATTCCACAAAAACAGTGTTTCAAATCTGCTCTCTCTAAATGAAAGTTCAACTCTGTCAGTTGAATACACACAACACAAGGAAGTTACTGAGAATTCTTCTCTCTAGCAGAATATGAAGAAATCCCGTTTCCAACGAAGGCCTCAAAGAGGTCTGAATATCCACTTGCAGACTTTACAAACAGAGTGTTTCCTAACTTCTCTATGAAAAGAAAGGTTAAACTCTGTGAGTTGAACGCACACATCACAAAGGAGTTTCTGAGAATCATTCTGTCTAGTTTTTCTACGAAGATATTTCCTTTTCTACCATTGACCTCAAAGCGGCTGAAATCTCCACTTGCAAATTCCACAAAAAGAGTGTTTCAAGTCTGCTCTGTGTAAAGGATCGTTCAACTCTGTGAGTTGAATAAACACAACACAAGGAAGTTACTGAGAATTCTTCTGTCTAGCAGAATATGAAGAAATCCCGTTTCCAACGAAGGCCACAAGATGTCAGAATATCCACTTACAGACTTTACAAACAGAGTGTTTCCTAACTGCTCTATGAACAGAAAGGTTAAACTCTGTGAGTGGAACGAACACATCACAACGCAGTTTGTGGGAATGATTCTGTCTAGTTTTGAAACGAAGATATTTCGTTTTCTGCCATTGACCTTAAAGCGCTTGAAATCTCCACTTGCCAATTGCACAAAAAGAGTGTTTCAAATCTGCTCTGTCTAAGGGAACGTTCAACTCTGTGAGTTCAATGTACACAACACAAGGAAGTTACTGGGAATTCTTCTGTCTAGCCTTACAGGAAAAAAACCCGTTTCCAACGAAGGCCTCTAAGTGGTCAAGTTATCCACGTGCAGACTTTACAAACAGAGTGTTTCCAAACTGCTGAATGAAAAGAAAAGTTAAACTCTGAGAGTTGAACGCACACATCGCAGAGCAGTTTCTGAGAATGATTCTGTCTAGTTTTTATACGAAGATATTTCCTTTTCTGCCTTTGGCCCCAAAGCGCTTGAAATCTCCACTTGCAAATTCCACAAAAACAGTGTTTCAAATCTGCTCTCTCTAAATGAAAGTTGAACTCTGTCAGTTGAATACACACAACACAAGGAAGTTACTGAGAATTCTTCTGTCTAGCCTTACATGAAAAAAACCCGTTTCCAACGAAGGCCTCAAAGAAGTCCAAATATCCACATGCAGACTTTACAAACAGAGTGTTTCCTAACTGCTCTATGAAAAGAAAGGTTAAACTCTGTGAGTTGAACCCACACATCACAAAGGAGTTTCTGAGAATCATTCTGTCTAGTTTTTATACGAAGATATTTCCTTTTCTACCATTGACCTCAACGCGGCTGGAATCTCCACTTGCAAATTCCACAAAACGAGTGTTTCAAGTCCGCTCTGTGTAAAGGATCGTTCAACTCTGTGAGTTGAATACACACAACACAAGGAAGTTACTGAGAATTCTTCTGTCTAGCAGAATATGAAGAGATCCCGTTTCCAACGGAGGCCACAAGATGTCAGAATATCCACTTACAGAATTTACCAACAGAGTGTTTCCTAACTGCTCTATGAAAAGAAAGGTTAAACTCTGTGAGTTGAACGAACACATCACAACGCAGTCTGTGGGAATGATTCTGTCTAGTTTTGAAACGAAGATATTTCCTTTTCAGCCATTGACCTTAAAGCGCTTGAAATCTACACTTGCAAATTGCACAAATAGAGTGTTTCAAATCTGCTCTGTCTAAGGGAACGTTCATCTCTGTGAGTTGAATGCACACAACACAAGGAAGTTACTGGGAATTCTTCTGTCTAGCCTTACATGAAAGAAACCCGTTTCCAACGAAGGCCTCTAAGTGGTCAAAATATCCACGTGCAGACTTTACAAACAGACTGTTTCCAAACTGCTGAATGAAAAGAAAAGTTAAACTCTGAGAGTTGAACGCACACATCGCAGAGCAGTTTCTGAGAATGATTCTGTCTAGTTTTTATACGAAGATATTTCCTTTTCTGCCTTTGGCCCCAAAGCGCTTGAAATCTCCACTTGCAAATTCCACAAAAACAGTGTTTCAAATCTGCTCTCTCTAAATGAAAGTTTAACTCTGTCAGTTGAATACACACAACACAAGGAAGTTACTGAGAATTCTTCTGTCTAGCATAATATGAAGAAATCCCGTTTCCAACGAAGGCCTCAAAGGGGTCTGAATATCCACTTGCAGACTTTATAAACAGAGTGTTTACTAACTGCTCTATGAAAAGAAACGTTAAACTCTGTGAGTTGAACACACACATCACAAAGCAGTTTCTGAGAATCATTCTGTCTAGTTTTTATAGGAAGATATTTCCTATTCTACCATTGACCTCAAAGCGGCTGAAATCTCCACTTGCAAATTCCACAACAAGAGTGTTTCAAGTCTGCTCTGTGTAAAGGATCGTTGAACTCTGTGAGTTGAATACACACAACACAAGGAAGTTATTGAGAATTCTTCTGTCTAGCATAATATGAAGAAATCCCGTTTCCAACGAAGGCCTCAAAGGGGTCTGAATATCCACTTGCAGACTTTATAAACAGAGTGTTTCCTAACTGCTCTATGAAAAGAAAGGTTAAACTCTGTGAGTTGAACGCACACATCACAAAGGAGTTTCTGAGAATCATTCTGTCTAGTTTTTATATGAAGATATTTCCTTTTATACCATTGACCTCAAAGCGGCTGAAATCACCACTTGCCAATTGCACAAAAACAGTGTTTCAAATCTGCTGTGTCTAAGGAAACGTTCAACTCTGTGAGTTGAATGTACACAACACAAGGAAGTTACTGGGAATTCTTCTGTCTTGCCTTACATGAAAAAAACCCGTTTCCAACGAAGGCCTCTAAGTGGTCAAAATATCCACATGCAGACTTTACAAACAGAGTGTTTCCAAACCGCTGAATGAAAAGAAAAGTTAAAGTCTGAGAGTTGAACGCACACATCACGCAGCAGTTTCTGAGAATGATTCTGTCTAGTTTTGAAACGAAGATATTTCCTTTTCTGCCTTTGGCCTCAAAGCGCTTGAAATCTCCACTTGCAAATTCCACAAAAAGAGTGTTTCAAATCTGCTCTGGGTAAATGAAAGTTCAACTCCTGTGAGTTGAACACACACAACACAAGGAAGTTACTGGGAATTCTTCTGTCTAGCCTTATATGAAAAAAACCCGTTTCCAACGAAGGCCTCAAAGAGGTCTCAATATCCACTTGCAGACTTTACAAACAGAGTGTTTCCTCACTGCTCTATGAAAAGAAAGGTTAAACTCTGTGAGTTGAACGTACACATCACAAAGGAGTTTCTGAGAATCATTCTGTCTAGTCTTTATACGAAGATATTTCCTTTTCTACCATTGACCTCAAAGTGGCTGAAATCTCCACTTGCAAATTCCACAAAAAGAGTGTTTCAAGTCTGCTCTGTGTAAAGGATCGTTCAACTCTGTGAGTTGAATACACACAACACAAGGAAGTTACTGAGAATTCTTCTGTCTAGCAGAATATGAAGAAATCCCGTTTCCAACGAAGGCCACAAGATGTCAGAATATCCACTAACAGACTTTACACAGTGTTTCCTAACTGCTCTATGAACAGAAAGGTTAAACTCTGTGAGTTGAACGAACACATCACAACGCAGTTTGTGGGAATGATTCTGTCTAGTTTTTATACGAAGATATTTCCTTTTCTACCATTGACCTCAAAGCGGCTGAAATCACCACTTGCCAATTGCACAAAAAGAGTGTTTCAAATCTGCTCTGTCTAAGGGAACGTTCAACTCTGTGAGTTGAATGTACACAACACAAGGAAGTTACTGGTAATTCTTCTGTCTAGCCTTACAGGAAAAAAACCCGTTTCCAACGAAGGCCTCTAAGTGATCAAAATATCCACGTGCAGACTTTACAAACAGAGTGTTTCCAAACTGCTGAATGAAAAGAAAAGTTAAACTCTGAGAGTTGAACGCACACATCGCAGAGCAGTTTCTGAGAATGATTCTGTCTAGTTTTTATACGAAGATATTTCCTTTTCTGCCTTTGGCCCCAAAGCGCTTGAAATCTCCACTTGCAAATTCCACAAAAACAGTGTTTCAAATCTGCTCTCTCTAAATGAAAGTTCAACTCTGTCAGTTGAATACACAGAACACAAGGAAGTTACTGAGAATTCTTCTGTCTAGCATAATATGAAGAAATCCCGTTTCCAACGAAGGCCTCAAGGAGGTCTGAATATCCACTTGCAGACTTTACAAACAGAGTGTTTCCTAACTGCTCTATGAAAAGAAAGTTTAAACTCTGTGAGTTGAACGCACACATCACAAAGGAGTTTCTGAGAATCATTCTGTCTAGTTTTTCTACGAAGATATTTCCTTTTCTACTATTGACCTCAAAGCGGCTGAAATCTCCACTTGCAAATTCCACAAAAAGAGTGTTTCAAGTCTGCTCTGTGTAAAGGATCGTTCAAGTCTGTGAGTTGAATACACACAACACAAGGAAGTTACTGAGAATTCTTCTGTCTAGCAGAATATGAAGAAATCCCGTTTCCAACGAAGGCGTCAAGGAGGTCTGAATATCCACTTGCAGACTTTACAAACAGAGTGTTTCCTAACTGCTCTATGAAAAGAAAAGTTAAACTCTGTGTGTTGAACGCACACATCACAAAGGAGTTTCTGAGAATCATTCTCTCTAGTTTTGAAACGAAGATATTTCCTTTTCTGCCATTGACCTTAAAGCGCTTGAAATCTCCACTTGCCAATTGCACAAAAAGAGTGTTTCAAATCTGCTCTGTCTAAGGGAACGTTCAACTCTGTGAGTTGAATGTACACAACACAAGGGAAGTTACTGGGAATTCTTCTGTCTAGCCTTACATGAAAAAAACCCGTTTCCAACGAAGGACTCTAAGTGGTCAAAATATCCACGTGCAGACTTTACAAACAGAGTGTTTCCAAACTGCTGAATGAAAAGAAAAGTTAAACTCTGAGAGTTGAACGCACACATCGCAGAGCAGTTTCTGAGAATGATTTCTGTCTAGTTTTTATACGAAGATATTTCCTTTTCTGCCTTTGGCTTCACAGCGCTTGAAATCTCCACTTGCAAATTCCACAAAAAGAGTGTTTCAAATCTGCTCTGTGTAAATGAAAGTTCAACTCTGTGAGTTGAACACACACAACACAAGGAAGTTACTGGGAATTCTTCTGTCTAGCAAAATATGAAGAAATCCCGTTTCCAACGAAGGCCTCAAAGAGGTCTGAATATCCACTTGCAGACTTTACAAACAGAGTGTTTCCTAACTGCTCTATGAGAAGAAAAGTTAAACTCTGTGAGTTGAACGCACACATCACAAAAGATTTTCTGAGAATCATTCTGTCTAGGTTCTATAGGAAGATATTTCCTATTCTACCATTGACCTCAAAGCGGCTGAAATCTCCACTTGCAAATTCCACAAAAAGAGTGTTTCAAGTCTGCTCTGTGTAAAGGATCGTTGAACTCTGTGAGTTGAAAACACACAACACAAGGAAGTTTCTGAGAATTCTTCTGTCTAGCAGAATATGAAGAAATCCCGTTTCCAACGAAGGCCTCAAAGAGGTCTGAATATCCACTTGCAGACTTTACACACAGAGTGTTTCCTAACTGCTCTATGAACAGAAAGGTTAAACTCTGTGAGTTGAACGAACACATCACAACGCACTTTGTGGGAATGATTCTGTCTAGTTTTTAAAGGAAGATATTTCCTTTTCTACATTTGACTTCAAAGCGGCTGAAATCTCCACTTGCAAATTCCACAAAAAGAGTGTTACAAGTCTGCTCTGTGTAAAGGATCGTTCAACTCTGTGAGTTGAATACACACAACACAAGGAAGTTACTGAGAATTCTTCTGTCTAGCCTTCCATGAAAAAAACCCGTTTCCAACGAAGGCCTCTAAGTGGTCAAAATATCCACGTGCAGACTTTACAAACAGAGTGTTTCCAAACTGCTGAATGAAAAGAAAAGTTAAACTCTGAGAGTTGAACGCACACATCGCAGAGCAGTTTCTGAGAATGATTCTGTCTAGTTTTTATACGAAGATATTTCCTTTTCTGCCTTTGGCCTCAAAGCGCTTGAAATCTCCATTTGAAAATTCCACAAAAAGAGTGTTTCAAATCTGCTCTGTGTAAATGAAAGTTCAACTCTGTGAGTTGAATACACACAACACAAGGAAGTTACTGGGAATTCTTCTGTCTAGCATCATATGAAGAAATCCCGTTTCCAACGAAGGCCTCAAAAAGGTCTGAATATCCACTTGCAGACTTTAAAAACAGAGTGTTTCCTAACTGCTCTATGAAAAGAAAGGTTAAACTCTGTGAGTTGAACGCACACATCACAAATGAGTTTCTGAGAATCATTCTGTCTAGTCTTTATATGAAGATAGTTTCCTTTTCTACCATTGACCTCAAAGCGGCTGAAATCTCCACTTGCAAATTCTACAAAAAGAGTGTTTCAAGTCTGCTCTGTGTAAAGGATCGTTCAACTCTGTGAGTTGAATACACACAACACAAGGAAGTTACTGAGAATTCTTCTGTCTAGCAGAATATGAAGAAATCCCGTTTCCAACGAAGGCCACAAGATGTCAGAATATCCACTTACAGAATTTACCAACAGAGTGTTTCCTAACTGCTCTATGAAAAGAAAGGTTAAACTCTGTGAGTTGAACGAACACATCACAACGCAGTTTGTGGGAATGATTCTGTCTAGTTTTTATAGGAAGATATTTCCTTTTCTACCTTTGACTTGAAAGCGGCTGAAATCTCCACTTGCAAATTCCACAAAAAGAGTGTTACAAGTCTGCTCTGTCTAAGGGAACGTTCAACTCTGTGAGTTGAATGTACACAACACAAGGAAGTTACTGAGAATTCTTCTGTCTAGCCTTATATGAAGAAATCCCGTTTCCAACGAAGGCCTCAAAGAGGTCTGAATATCCACTTGCAGACTTTACAAACAGAGTGTTTCCTAACTGCTCTATGAAAAGAAAGGTTAAACTCTGTGAGTTGAACGCACACATCGCAGAGCAGTTTCTGAGAATGATTCTGTCTAGTTTTGAAACGAAGATATTTCCTTTTCTGCCTTTGGCCTCAAAGCGCTTGAAATCTCCACTTGCAAATTCCACAAAAAGAGTGTTTCAAATCTGCTCTGGGTAAATGAAAGTTCAACTCTGTGAGTTGAACACACACAATACAAGGAAGTTACTGGGAATTCTTCTGTCTAGCATAATATGAAGAAATCCCGTTTCCAACGAAAGCCTCAAAGATGTCTGAATATCCACTTGCAGACATTACAAACACAGTTTTTCCTAACTGCTCTATGAAAAGAAAGGTTAAACTCTGTGAGTTGAACGCACACATCACAAAGGAGTTTCTGAGAATCATTCTGTCTAGTTTCTATAGGAAGATATTTCCTATTCTACCATTGAACTCAAAGCGGCTGAAATCTCCACTTGCAAATTCCACAAAAAGAGTGTTTCAAGTCTGCTCTGTGTAAAGGATCGTTCAACTGCTGTGAGTTGAATACACACAACACAAGGAAGTTACTGAGAATTCTTCTGTCTAGCATAATATGAAGAAATCCCGTTTCCAACGAAGGCCTCAAGGAGGTCTGAATATCCACTTGCAGACTTTACAAACAGAGTGTTTCCTAACTGCTCTATGAAAAGAAAGGTTAAACTCTGTGAGTTAAACGCACACATCACAAAGGAGTTTCTGAGAATCATTCTGTCTAGTTTTGAAACGAAGATATTTCCTTTTCTGCCATTGACCTTAAAGCGCTTGAAATCTACACTTGCAAATTGCACAAATAGAGTGTTTCAAATCTGCTCTCTCTAAGGAACGTTCAACTCTGTGAGTTGAATGCACACAACACAAGGAAGTTACTGGGAATTCTTCTGTCTAGCCTTACATGAAAAAAACCCGTTTCCAACGAAGGCCTCAAAGAGGTCTGAATATCCACGTGCAGACTTTACAAACAGAGTGTTTCCAAACCGCTGAATGAAAAGAAAGGTTAAACTCTGTGAGTTGAACGCACACATCACAAAGGAGTTTCTGAGAATCACTCTGTCTAGTTTTTATACGAAGATATTTCCTTTTCTGCCTTTGGCCTTAAAGCGCTTGAAATCTCCACTTGCAAATTCCACAAAAAGAGTGTTTCAAATCTGCTCTGTTTAAATGAAAGTTCAGCTCTGTGAGTTGAACACACACAACACAAGGAAGTTACTGGGAATTCTTCTGTCTAGCCTTATATGAAAAAAACCCGTTTCCAACGAAGGCCTCAAAGAGGTCTGAATATCCACTTGCAGACTTTACAAACAGAGTGATTCCTAACTGCTCTATGAAAAGAAAGGTTAAACTCTGTGAGTTGAACACACACATCTCAAAGGAGTTTCTGAGAAACATTCTGTCTAGTTTTTCTACGAAGATATTTCCTATTCTACTATTGACCTCAAAGCGGCTGAAATCTCCACTTGCAAATTCCACAAAAAGAGTGTTTCAAGTCTGCTCTCTGTAAAGGATCGTTCAACTCTGTGAGTTGAATACACACAACACAAGGAAGTTACTGAGAATTATTCTGTCTAGCAGAATATGAAGAAATCCCGTTTCCAACGAAGGCCTCAAAGAGGTCTGAATATCCACTTGCAGACTTTACAAACAGAGTGTTTCCTAACTGCTCTACGAAAAGAAAGGTTAAACTCTGTGAGTTGAACGAACACATCACAACGCAGTTTGTGGGAATGATTCTGTCTAGTTTTTATAGGAAGATATTTCCTTTTCTACCTTTGACTTCAAAGCGGCTGAAATCTCCACTTGCAAATTCCACAAAAAGACTGTTACAAGTCTGCTCTGTCTAAGGGAACGTTCAACTCTGTGAGTTGAATGTACACAACACAAAGAAGTTACTGGGAATTCTTCTGTCTAGCCTTACATGAAAAAAACCCGTTTCCAATGAAGGCCTCTAAGTGGTCAAATTATCCACGTGCAGACTTTACAAACAGAGTGTTTCCAAACTGCTGAATGAAAAGAAAAGTTAAACTCTGAGAGTTGAACGAACACATCACAGAGCAGTTTCTGAGAATGATTCTGTCTAGTTTTTATACGAAGATATTTCCTTTTCTGCCATTGGCCTCAAAGCACTTGAAATCTCCACTTGCAAATTCCACAAAAAGAGTGTTTCAAATCTGCTCTGTGTAAATGAAAGTTCAACTCTGTGACTTAAAAAACACACAACACAAGGAAGTTACTGGGATTTCTTCTGTCTAGCATAATATGAAGAAATCCCGTTTCCAACGAAGGCCTCAAAGAGGTCTAATATCCACTTGCAGACTTTACAAACAGAGTGTTTCCTAACTGCTCTATGAGAAGAAAAGTTAAACTCTGTGAGTTGAACGCACACATCACAAAAGATTTTCTGAGAATCATTCTGTCTAGTCTTTATACGAAGATATTTCCTTTTCTACCATTGACCTCAAAGCGGCTGAAATCTCCACTTGCAAATTCCACAAAAAGAGTGTCTCAAGTCTGCTCTGTGTAATGGATCGTTCAACTCTGTGAGTTGAATACACACAACACAAGGAAGTTACTGAGAATTCTTCTTTCTGGCAGAATATGAAGAAATCCCGTTTCCAACGAACGCCTCAAGGATGTCTGAATATCCACTTGCAGACTTTACAAACAGAGTGTTTCCTAACTGCTCTATGAAAAGAAAGGGTAAACTCTGTGAGTTGAACGCACACATCACAAAGGAGTTTCTGAGAATCATTCTGTCTAGTTTTGAAACCAAGATATTTCCTTTTCTGCCGTTGACCTTAAAGAGCTTGAAAACTACACTTGCATATTGCACAAATAGAGTGTTTCAAATCTGCTCTGTCTAAGGGAACGTTCAACTCTGTGAGTTGAATGCACACAACACAAGGAAGTTACTGGGAATTCTTCTGTCTAGCCTTACATGAAAAAATCCCGTTTCCAACGAAGGTCTCTAAGTTGTCAAAATTTCCACGTGCAGACTTTACAAACAGAGTGTTTCCAAACCGCTGAATGAAAAGAAAAGTTAAACTCTGAGAGTTGATCGCACACATCACGCAGCAGTTTCTGAGAATGATTCTGTCTAGTTTTTATAGGAAGATATTTCCTTTTGTACCATTGACCACAAAGCGGCTGAAATCTCCACTTGCAAATTCCACAAAAAGGGTGTTTCAAGTCTGCTCTGTGTAAAGGATCGTTCAACTCTCTGAGTTGAATACACACAACACGCGGAAGTTACTGAGAATTCTTCTTTCTTGCAGAATATGAAGAAATCCCGTTTCCAACGAAAGCCTCAAGGATGTCTGAATATCCACTTGCAGACTTTACAAACAGAGTGTTTCCTAACTGCTCTATGAAAAGAAAGGTTAAACTCTGTGAGTTGAACGCACACATCACAAAGGAGTTTCTGAGAATCATTCTGTCTCGTTTCTATAGGAAGATATTTCCTATTCTACCATTGACCTCAAAGCGGCTGAAATCTCCACTTGCAAATTCCACAAAAAGAGTGTTTCAAGTCTGCTCTGTGTAAAGGATCGTACAACTCTGTGAGTTGAATACACACAACACAAGGGAAGTTACTGAGAATTCTTCTGTCTAGCAGAATATGAAGAAATCCCGTTTCCAACGAAGGCCACAAGATGTCAGAATATCCACTTACAGACTTTACAAACAGAGTGTTTCCTAACTGCTCTATGAACAGAAAGGTTAAACTCTGTGAGTTGAACGAACACATCAGAACGCAGTTTGTGGGAATGATTCTGTCTAGTTTTGAAACGAAGATATTTCCTTTTCTGCCATTGACCTTAAAGCGCTTGAAATCTCCACTTGCCAATTGCACAAAAAGAGTGTTTCAAATCTGCTCTGTCTAAGGGAACGTTCAACTCTGTGAGTGGAATGTACACAACACAAGGAAGGTACTGGGAATTCTTCTGTCTAGCCTTACAGGAAAAAAACCCGTTTCCAACGAAGGCCTCTAAGTGGTCAAAATATCCACGTGCAGACTTTACAAACAGAGTGTTTCCAAACTGCTGAATGAAAAGAAAAGTTAAACTCTGAGAGTTGAACGCACACATCGCAGAGCAGTTTCTGAGAATGATTTCTGTCTAGTTTTTATACGAAGATATTTCCTTTTCTGCTTTTGGCCTCAAAGCGCTTGAAATCTCCACTTGCAAATTCCACAAAAAGAGTGTTTCAAATCTGCTCTGTGTAAATGAAAGTTCAACTCTGTGAGTTGAACACACACAACACAAGGAAGTTACTGGGAATTCTTCTCTCTAGAAGAATATGAAGAAATCCCGTTTCCAACGAAGGCCTCAAAGAGGTCTGAATATCCACTTGCAGACTTTACAAACAGAGTGTTTCCTAACTGCTCTATGAAAAGAAAGGTTAAACTCTGTGAGTTGAACGCACACATCTCAAAGGAGTTTCTGAGAATCATTCTGTCTAGTTTCTATAGGAAGATATTTCCTATTCTACCATTGACCTCAAAGCGGATGAAATCTCCACTTGCAAATTCCACAAGAGTGTTTCAAGTCTACTCTGTGTAAAGCATCGTTCAACTCTGTGAGTTGAAAACACAGAACACAA